>NC_000004.12:31195200-31819295 GCF_000001405.40 Homo sapiens | reverse complement strand
TGTATTTTATATATAATATAATATATATAATATATATTATATATATTATATAATATATATAATATATATTATATATATTATATATGTTATATATAATATATATAACATATATAGTATATTATATATATTATATATGTTATATATAATATATATAACATATATAGTATATTATATATATCTTATATACATATAATATATACTATATATCTTATACATATTATATAAATAATATATATCTTATACATATTATATAAATAATATATATATTATACATACTATATAAATAATATATATGTTATACATATTATATAAATAATATATATGTTATACATATTATATAAATAATATATATATTACATATATTATATAAATAATATATATATTACATATATTATATATAATATATAATATATTATATATACTATATGTATATATTATATATAATATATCTATTATATATATTCTGTATAATATATTTTATATATAATGTATATATGTATTATATATTATACATAATATATGTAATATATATTATACAGAATATATAATATATATTATACAGAATATATATAATATATATCATACATAATACATATAATATATATCATACATAATACATATAATATATATCATACATAATACATATAATATATATTATACATAACTTATATAATATATATTATACATAACAAATATTATATATATTATACATAATATATATAATACATATTATACATAATATATATAATACATATTACACATAATATATATAATATATATTATACATAATGTATATAATATATATTATACATAATATATATTATACATAATATATATTATACATAATATATATTATACATAATATATATTATAAATAATATGTATTATATATATTATACATAATATGTATAATATATATTATACATAATATATAGTATACATATTATACATAATACATATTATACATAATATACATAATATATATTATACATAACATATATTATACATGATATACATAACATATTATACATGATATACATAACATATTATACATTATATACATAACATGTATTATACATGATATACATAACATGTATTATACATGATATACATAACATGTATTATACATGATATACATAACATGTATTATACATGATATACATAACATGTATTATACATGATATACATAACATGTATTATACATGATATACATAACATGTATTATACATGATATAATATATAACATATATTATATATTATACATAACATATATTATATATTATACATAACATATATTATATATTGTACATAATATATATTATATATTGTACATAATATATATTATATATTATACATAATATATAATATATATTATATATAATATATATTATATAATATACATAATATATATTATATAATATACATAACATATATTATATAATATACATAATATATATATTATACATTATACATAATATATATATTATACATTATACATAATATATATTATACATTATACATAATATATATATTATATATTATACATAATATATAATATACATTATATATTATATATTATGTATATGTATATATAATATAACATATATAATATAATATATAATATAATATATAATATAATATTATGTATAATATATATATAATATTTTATAATATATATAATATAATATTATATAATATTATATTATATATAATATTATATTATATTAATTATATATATTATATTATACATAATATAATATTATATATATTTTATATTATATGATATATAATATATTTTATATTATATATAATATATATTATATATACTATAGTATATATAATATATATTATATGTAGTATAGTATATAATATATATGATATATACTATCATATACATCATATATATTATATATACTATTATATATACTATGGCATATATAATATATATCATATGTACTATATATAATGTATCATATATAATATATTAGATATATCATATATAATATATTAGATATCATATATAATATATTATATATGTTATATATAATATGTTACATATGTCATATATAATATATTATATATGTCATATATAATTATATATATGTATATATAATATATATAATTATATATGACATATATAATATATCATATATAATTATATATATGTCATATATAATTATATATATAATATATCATATCATATACTATATATCATATCATATATAATATATTATATTATATCACATATAATATATTATATCATATATATTATATTATATCATATATAATAGATTATATCATATATATGATATTATATTATATATTATATAATATATCATATAATCTATTATATACAAAGGGGATATATATATACACACGTGTGCATGTATGTATATACCTGTATGTGTATGTACATATATTATATATATTATACATAGTTTATACATAATATAACTATGTATAACTATTATACATAGTTTATATATAATATATCATAGATATTATATAGAATATATAATATATAACATATAATATATAATATATAATATATAACAGATAATATATAAAGATAATATAGAACATATTATATAATATATAATATTATATAATATGTTATATATTATATAATTATATATAACATATGATATATTATATATAATATATAATTATATAATACATAATATATTATATATAATTATATATTATATATAATATATAATTATATAATACATAATATATTATATATAATTATATATTATATATAATATATAATTATATAATACATAATATATTATATATAATTATATATTATATATAATATATAATTATATATAATATACCATATATTATAATATATAATTATATTATATTATATTATAATAATCATATATATTATATAATATATGATCATATATTGTAATATATGATCATATATTATAATACATGATTATTATGTATAACATATAACCATACATTATAATATATGGTATATTATATATAATTATATAATATATGATCACATATTATAATATGTAATCATATATTATAATGTATGATCATATAATATATCATATATATAATATATGATATATATTATATATATGATCATATATTATATATATGATGTACATTATATATATGATCATATATTAAATATATGATATATATTATATATATTATCATGTATTATATAATGTATAATCATATAGTATATAATACATAATATATTACAATATTTAATAATTATTTATGATATATAATATATGATATAATATATAATTATTATATAATATATATGATATATCATATATATGATATATGGTATATATAATATGTGATATATCATATATAATATATGGTATATTATATATAACCTATATATTATATAATATATGTAATATATACACATACACATACATGTATATACATATATGCACATTTGTGTTTGTATACATCCCCTTTATATATAATATATTATACATGTAACCTATATAGATTTTATATATAATATATTATATAGGTTATATATATAATATATTATATATAGGTTATATATTATATATAATATATTATATAATATATTATATATAATATTGTATATATTATATGTAATTAGATATTAGTATATAATAATATATAATACATTATTTAATTTATTATATATAATATTTTATATAACCTGTATAATATATATTACATATATAGGTTATATATTATATATTTTATATATATAACCTATATATTTCGTATATATAACCTATATATAATATATAGTTTACACCTATATAATATAAAGCTATATATAGGTTTATAGGTTACACTTATATAATATACTCCTATATAATATATAATATATACATGTATATATATTATATAATATATATACACACCTATATATAATATATATAAACCTATATATTATATAATATATATATAATATACACCTATATATAATATACACATATAATATACACCTATATATTATATATGTATATTACATTTATTTATATATGTATTATGCATATATCATATACACGTATATACACATATATACACATATAATATACATTTATAATATACATATATGCATATGTAATATACATATATGTATATAATATAATATACACCTATATATAATATATATCACATATATAGTTTATATATAATATATAATATATTGTATATTATATTTTATATATGTAACCTATATATAATATATATTACGTATAACCTATATAATATTTATATTATATATGCACCCCATATATATAATATATATATTATGTATGCACCCCATATATATAATATGTATATTATATATACACCCTATATATATAATATATATCCAATATTGTATCCTTGGGGTTGAATTTGATTTCACAGTGTACAGTAAGTATTTGCTAAATAAATAAATGGCTAAGTGAGTAAAAAGTCAACTCTTAGTTCAAACCCCTTATTCTCTTTGCCAGTTTAAACATCATCTCTGAACTCAGGACTTCAGATTTCTAAGCTACATAATGAGAGTTTTGAACTAGGTGACAACTAACTTCAATTTCAGATGTTAAATGCTTTTTGCTTTACAAGTGGTGAGCTTGAGATGGAACCTACCTTCCATTGGCATCATATTAATGTTATGTAGGACCTTCATAATAGTGATATTCCTGACTTCTCTTTATTCCTTTCTGGACAAGGAAGAATGATTTACCTGACTGGTGAGTTTGGGTGAAGAAACTGGCCATAAATTGCATTTGATGGCAGCTAGGACATGTTCTCTTCTTCAGTCTTAGTCTTGCACCAACACGACCAGGACAGATTTTGTTCCTGCTGGTAAGGGATGATGCTGCCTTTGGCCAGGGAATTATTAATAAGTGCCTCTAACTTTGGCTTCTTTGCCTATAAACTGAAGTCATAGTATACACCACTTCATCAGTAATGGAAAGAGTGGTTTTGTTTCCATTTTCCTGAGTCTTTGTCTATCTCTAACTTGGTTCTGAACTTTGGAGGAAAAAATAAGACTGTTATTTATGAGGCTTTACAAATTTCAAGAGGTAAAAGCTAAGAAAATGGTACTTACTTTTCTCTGTTTTCAACCTTTTCAGATAAGCAGGAATGTAATTTGAACATTCACATGTGTGTGCCTATATTTGTGTGTGTGTCTGTATATATGTATATATATATATGCATGTGTATATACATTAATACATAAGCATATGTAAAGAAAAATAAAAATGGTGGCTACAATTTAGATATACCTCAAGGTCAACTGTTTATAGCTGCATAATCAAAACTTAAGTCATTCCGATTTGCCCAAAACGTTAGTTCCAATTACAAAAAAAATACACAAAATATAAGCTTTAAATTCTTATCAGTGTCATTTGATGATATTAAATCAATCAGCTATAGATGAATCAGCTTAAACAGCTCCACTTGCCCTAAATAGAGTGTTAACGTATATCAGCCAATCACAAATTAGATTCTTTATGCATCATAAACTATGCTGTAACTGCTGTGAGCTGGACTCCTTGGCACTTTCAGTTTGAGGTCTCCCAATTTGTGAACTATTATTTCATATGCACAAGAAACTTTTAAAGATTGTTAAATTCCATCTGATATTATTAATGACATATATACATGTAAATATATTTATATATTTTTACAAGGCTATTTATGATATGCAAAATTTAAACTTGTGTACTTATAAACTCAAATACTTTAAATATTGAGTTTGAGTACATTACAGTCCAAATCCCTTCAGTGGTGCAGGAAATGGTACATAATATGCGAGCAAGACAATTTCACACTGAACATTCGCAAATTTCGTAAAGGAAAATAGTCACAGATAAGCTGGTAAAATAAACTGTTGAAATGGAAATTGAGAATCTACAAATTTCTGAGACCTTGTGTCTCAAAGATTATATTTTGTAAATTGGGTTTTCTTATAATTCATATTTTAATTTTTATTTTTAGAAATGGGTTCTAGCTCTGTAATCCAGGGTTGAGTGCAGTGGTGCTATTATTGCTCAGTGTAACCTCAAACTGTTGGGCTCAAAAGATCCTCCCGCCTCAGCCTCCTGAGTAGCTGGAATTACAGATTTGTGCCATTACACCCAGCAATATATACATATATTTTTTTTCTTAAAGAAACAAGGTCTCATTACATTGACCATGCTGGACTCGAACTCCTGGCCTCAAGTGATCCTCCTACCTCTGCTTCCCACAGATTATAAAAGCCTATAGTTTTCTGGGAACATTTTAGCTGCCAAGGGAGAATACTCATCAGAAGGAGAACACCCAGAGGGAAAAAAGTGGAAGGTGGTAAGAGAGGTACAAAATTCTAATGGCATTGTTTTATATCCTGAAATCAGCACTGCATGAAGCCGCCTCTCCTTCACATACTCTATAAGTATGTCATAAGCAAATACATTCATTCTTTTTCTCCTGTTAGAAATAGATTCTGATACCTCAACCAAAAGAGTTCCGACCAACAAATAACACATAAATCATGAGATTTAACAAATATGGAATCAGAAATTAGTTTAGGAAGAGTTTGGACTGATGTAAAGATTAATGAAAGATGATATTGGCTTCAACATTTCTTTCATTTAAACAATTATATTTTATTTAGGAAGAGATGAGGAAACTTTGGAAGAATTTGGCATCGCATAGTGTAGTTATTAACTAGGTTTTTTTTATTGTTGTTGCTAATCCAGTTACAGAAATGGGATTCTAGCATTGTATTAAAGCTCATCAGAAAAGACCGTTGTGACATTAGTATTGTGTCTCCTGGTTGCAGTGAAATTAACAAATGTGCCGTGTGTGCCATTCATCATATATAATGGAAAGATTATGGACTTGGGGATGATATTAATCCTGTATCCAGTACTACCTAGATAGATACAATTGTTGTTTATATGTATTCAGTATAATCCACATCACTTATCACGATATTAACTGGCTGTGATATTTATCCCTATTTCAAAGAAGAGGAAATCGAGTTCTCAAAGGTGATGTGGCTAACCTAACATTTCAGAATTAGTTTAGGGAGAAGCTACTCAAATTCAAATTTATCAGGCATAACGCTTAAATTCATTCCCAGGTCCTGTTATTTGTTTGATGTTTATGTTTTGTTTGTTTTGTTAATCAACATCCCAATTTTAAAAAGCCACTCTAATGTTCATAAAGAAACAGAAAGGTCAATGAATTGGAATGATCTATTAAGTGGTGTTGGTTGAGATGGCTCTTTAGTTGACCAACAAGTGGCTTTTTCGCCCTCCCCCTGGCCCCCCCACCAAAGCAGTAATCATGAGAGCCTCTGTAGAAAAATTTGTTGGTCGGGCATGATGGCTTACAATTGTAATACCAGCACTTTGGGAGGCCAAGGCAGATGGATCCCTTGAGGTCAGGAGTTCAAATCACGACTAGCCTGGCCAACATGGTGAAACCCCATCTCTACTAAAACCACAAAAACTAGCTGGGCGCAGTTGCACACACCTGTAGTCTCAGCTACTCGGGAGGCTGAGGCAGGAGAATGTCTTGAACCTGGGAGGTGGAGGTTGCAGTGCGCTGAGAGCGTCCCACTGCACTCCAGTGCTCAGTCTCAAAAAAAAAAAAAAAATTGCCTACCTCACAACTTTATGAAAGTTTTATGCCTTTCTGTGAACTGGACAACACCATAAAAAAATTATCAGGAAAATTTCAAATAAGTGAACACATACTTCATTTTAAAAATGACAAAGTGATTTTGTTTGTTTGGAAATATTTTATTCAATCTTCACACTCATTCTTTTCATAAAACTTGATAAAAATACATACAAAGATATTTTTCTACATTAAAAACATCTAAAAGGATTTTTCCTTATTGAATATCACACTATTTTTTCATATAAAATTGTCAGAAACCTTTTCCCTTTAGTCTATAATATGATGGCAATATGACAAGTCATGTTTTACTACCACATATCTAAATTCCTTGGGAGACTGTTGTAACTTTTATGCAATGGGGAGCCATGTGTAGATATATGAGTTGTTGAAATTTTAAATAGCTTTAAATGAAAATAATATGTTGCCTAAATAATGCAAAGAATATATTTTAATATTCAAAATGATTCTATAAATTACTGTCTTACCAAAAATTTCAAGGTCAAAGATTAAAGAATACATGTCGAGGTATTTATAGTTATAAGGATGAAAAATAGGCTAAAACTTTTAATCAGGCATGATGGTATTAATGTGGCACTAAAATCTATCAATCAAAATCAAAATGTTCTGTGGATAAACATAGAAATGACATCATTACTTAACACATTCGTTAATACATAGAAATGCACATGCTTACAACAATCAAATATTTCAGTGATTCAATTTTACAGTGGTAAGTAGATGAATATATATAAATATTCCTCTGTTTAAAATGTAATCATATTTTATAAGTAGTCTATGTTTTTTGAGTTTTAATTTATGTTTTTTGTTGTTGTGCTTACATGTTTTCTCTATATCTTTTTCTTAAAGTCGTATAATAACTTCTACTGTTCAATAGATAATAATATTTCTTCTCTTGGATTTAATGGATAATGCCGCTCTATTGTTAATTGTATATAAAGAAACCCTGCTCTTTTGCTAATTCCCTATAAAAATTATATTGGCATTTTCCTAGAGAGCAGCAACATGTTGCCATACAAAAGTCTTGGTTGAGAGTTTATGGCATGTGGATATTGGTCTCAGTCATGCCACCAATAATAGTTACATTGAGTATATATTGCACAGTAATTTTTTTCAGTCTGTGTTTCCTAAGTAGTAAAATAAGTTATAGGAAGATGTTAAAGCAAGATGTCTTTAAGGAATTTTTTGTTTCTGAGACATGTATTGATTCTATTTAAATAATAAGGGATAAATTTTATAAGGTTATAATAATAGGGTAACCATTTTTTCTATGCTTTCATTAAATTAGTGCTGTTAATTCTGAGCTTTTCTATTATAAAATCCTTAACTTGAAAAAGCACCTCAAGTTTTCAAGCAGAAGTACTATCGAGCAAGTGTCCTCTGCATGGGGACTACTGAAGAGGGCACTTTTTGGAGTGTGATTTCCCTCAAAATATCATCTTTCTGTCTACTTAATTCTCTATCTAGCTTTTGTTGAAAACTTTGCAACTGTTTCTTCCACCCGTGAGCAAAGAATCCAATTAAAACTGAAATAAAAGCATTTATTCCTATTTCATTTTGTTGGTTCAGATCAGCACCAGCTGGTATTTTCATGGTGTGTGGTTTCTACAAACCAACATATTGAGGTCAATTCTGGATTTTCATCAGTTGCAAACTATGAAAAATGTCAGTTCATGATGAGTGATAATCCAAAAAGTGGCGTGGCCAACTAATTTAAGGTTACACATGTGAGTCCCTCTCACTTTGGTGGTTTCATGTATGCTCAGATAAAATGTACCTTCAGAAAACACTGAAGGTGCTGTCTTTTAATTTTATTTGTGAGAACACTTTACTTCATGGCTTTGATGGTTTCAGTTGAAATTATAGTTTCAGTCATTTGTAAAACCTCCAAATTTACTTCGTATTATATTTTTATATTTGATTTTAATTGGAAGATTATTTTGGAAAATATGAAGTTCTCTTCATTCTACTTCTAATTTCCAATTTGTGGCTACTATCATCTAGCATACCCATTGAAAATTATAAATGAAATTTAAAGAATTATCTCAAATAGTTTTTCTAACATAAAATAAACACAGCACAATTTGATAAAAATTGCCTTCTACAGCTTTACAATTAGTTTTTCTTTGAAAAAACATCTAGTTTCAAAGTGGTGTTGATGATTGCAATGAATTTTTATTCAAATAAGATAAGTTATATAATGGGCCTAAAGTAAGTAAGAAAGATTCTTTATCATTAAACTTTCACATTTTTCTAGATTTTGAAATGGCATTCTCCTTCAATAAATCCCAGAGAAGAAATATTATTGTCTATTGAACAGTAGAAATTATTATAGGACTTTAAGAAAAAGATATAGAGAAAACATGTAAGCAAAACAACAAAAAACATGTATTAAAACTCCAAAAACATAGACTACTTATAAAATATTAATAATAGAGAATGTATGGCAGCATTTTCTCTCTTACTAAATGCTATAAATAGCTACACATATTGGGAGAAATGGATCAGAAGTCAAAATTACAAATAAAATCCTGAAAGATGCCTATTACCTCTATCCTTTATAGTTTATCAGATTGGTACTTGTGAAATATCAACCTCAAAGTAAAATCAAACAACAGAAATAAAAACAAATTCTCCATAATAGACCAAATTTTCATTAATTCAATGGACTGTGATAAATGAAATTTGGGGAAAACCATGGTTATCTTACATTTTAACAGCTTAGATGTAGAAAGGCAAGAAGAGAGAGAAGGTGAAGAGAGAGAGTCCAGGAATTTCCTTGCAGAAATAAGCTTGCCCTAAGGAACTAGGGCCCTATGCAAAATCTGATTCCATGTTTCTTCTTTTAAGTCAGTGTCCCTTGCTCCTTGTCTCCCGCTCCACCTTTCACCCTTTCTTTTTTTTTTTATTTTTTATTTTTATTTTGAGACGGAGTTTCCCTCTTGTTGCCCAGGCTGGAGTGCAATGGAGCGATTTCGGCTCACCGCAACCCCCGCCTTCCAGGTTCAAGTGATTCTCTTGCCTCAGCCTC
The DNA here is from genome assembly GCF_000001405.40 of Homo sapiens. Lineage (NCBI taxonomy): Eukaryota > Metazoa > Chordata > Mammalia > Primates > Hominidae > Homo > Homo sapiens. Next base: position 31,808,605 of record NC_000004.12, on the reverse strand, counting down.
CCCAGTAGCTGGGACTACAGGTGCCCGCTCAGCTAATTGCTTTTTATTTTTAGTAAAAATGGGGTTTCCCCATGTTGACCTAGCTGGTCTCGAACTCCTGACCTCAGGTGATCCGTCCGCCTTGGCCTCCCAAAATATTGTGATTACAGGCGTGAGCCACCGCGCCTGGCCCCCTTTTCATCCTTTCTCTCTTTCTAAATACCACTATAACTATTTTCTCTGAAGGTTTATTTTGCTTGCACTCTCTGCGTGTGTGTGTGTGTGTGTGTGTGTGTGTGTGTGTTTCTAAATACCACTATAACTATTCTCTTTGAGGGTTTATTTTTGAAATCTTTCACTCAAGGTTTCCTCCATCAAAGTCTGTCAGATTTGGGCATGCCCACAGTCAGGTTGTGATTGGAAGTCAGACTCTTTGTGCTTCTCCTTGTGGTCTTGTAATTGCCTACACAAGAGCAATCAAACATATCAGCTAGAACAATCATCTGTATCAGCTGGAAACCTGTCTTTAACTTAAGTGAACACCCCAGTTGAACACATTTTATTTGGACAGTTATTTCTGCTGGAAAGAAATCATGTCTCTTCCAAGGTTTCCTGAATTGAAGAATAGGGTCTACAGGTTTTAGGAGCAGAATGTGTGGAAATAATCAGAAGACATGCTTTGCCCTTTGTATATAGCTAAGTGAAATAATGTAAAAATCAATATTTGGTGACCCTTTGAGAAAAATCTTGAAATTCCAGTCTGTCAAATATCTTTTAGGATTCTGAGCATTCGTGTAGCCTTTATTTCCTTCATAATAAACTAAGAATGAAAAACTATCTTGTATTTTATAAATAGATTTTCTTCTTATCCTAAAAAAATGAGTTGCACAAATGACAGTAAGTAACTCCAAGTCAGTGTTTTTACCCAATTCACCTTTTGCAAATTTAGCTCTAACAGCAGTTATTATTGACAGTGACACATATAGACTACATAACACAAGGTGAGGGCCTGGTAATCTAGCATATGGCTTAAAGTACATTAGAGGATTTTGACAAACAAAATTGGCAATTTAATTGCATTACTGAAAACTCTAAAATATACACAATAAAGAAAACAAAGAAACTACATTATTTAAATCTCCATGATTTTCACACACACACAAGTATGTGAAAAATAAAAGGATTAAAATAATTAAATTAAAACACGAGATTCCTTGTATTAACTGTAAATATATCACATTTCAGATTTTACAAATCTTTATTCAAGTTATTATACTACTGAGTAATTATCTTTAGTACTTTTCAAACAATGCCTCCAATGATCTACAGGGATCATTTTTTTCAAACTAGTTTCTTGGTTTCAAACTCTTGGTTATCTAAACCTCAGTCCCTAGGAATAGTGCCAATGTCTTATTCATCGTAGAATACAGCTTATTTCTTAAGACAGAAAAAAAAAATTCAATCAATGTTTCTTGAATGAATAAAATAAAACTATTCTTACACACATGCACAAAATCATACAAGAGGTAATTAATCTGCTACTCTGGGGTCAGTCCCTTCATGCATATTTATAGCAACTCACCAGGATGATAACTTATGGATCAAGAAGAGCTTTGTATGTACCTATGATAAAGAAATATGTTAAAAAGACTGCCTAATACTCCCTTTTCATCTAAGTTTTCCATTTTGTGCTGAACCAAGCATATACTTGTTTGATGAATATATTATATTAAGCAGTCAGGGGGTTGGGGAGAGTATTGAATATTCTTCCAGATTTTTAAATACCAGTGAGGCAGAAGAGAAGAGCTGCTAACTGCATTTGCAGTTTTCTAGCCAAAATTAGGCTAGAAAACATAAGCATTTATGTTGCATTGACATCACAAACTTCTTACTATTCGAGCAAGATAACTGTATTATGAACTTTAATATGCTTTGGAGAAATAAAGAGGAAATAGAATGAAGAAGCTTTCTTTATTCTCACTTATGGCAGAGAATGCCTTGTGTGAAATGGTTTACAAAAGGAGTCATTTAGAGAATTGAACTAAAAGACATGTTTTAGCTACATTTTTGCAGACACAGAAATAAATATATTTATAATGCATAGTACAATAGTGGATGTTAAATGAAAATTTATTCAATTGTGCTGAAATCACAATTTCTCCTCATTTTTTGTCTTTGTTTCTAGAAAGTTATAATAAGCTACAGAAACACACATAGCCAGAAAATCAATTTAATTTGGTCTAAGGCAGCACACGTTTAAAATAATGCTAACACACAGATATTGGCTAGATTAATTGCCACTCTAACTCTCCTCATCCTTGAAAACTTTAGGATGAAAAGGTGAAATATTTGAAGAAAGAAGAAAATATGTGCCGGATTTTGATGAATGAAATCTAAGTGTATCTCTACTGTGAACATGCTAAGAATGTTTTAGCCTTCTTAATAAGTAAAAGGGGCAGGTAGCCTTCTCATTCACACTTAGAAAATAAATTAATAACTAGATCTCTGGCAATCTCATATGACTGATAAGTCCAAGAGAACATAGGGATGCTGAACCCAGCATCAGAAACTGCCTATTTGTAGATGTCTTGTTAAGTATGCAGGTTTTCTTTATACGTTGCTATGTTATTATCAAACATTAATTAGCTATTTGTAAGATATAATTTAGTTTATTGATTCATTCTTTCATATCTGTTCACTAAGTTCAGTTATTAGTAAAAATAGAAAAATGAAGAGTATAGTTATTTTTTTCAAGAAATATTAATGTCTCTTGTTTCTTGGTTTTGTTTTTTGTTTGTTTTGTTTTGTTTTGTTTTGTTTTGTTTTGTTTTTGCGAAGTCTATCCCAGGTCTAATGATGAGTGAGACAAAAATGAAGATATCTAAAAGCTGTTATCATAAAAATATATAAACATTTATAGACACTGGCATACATTATCTAGTCAGAGAAATGTTTTCATATGGTAAAAGTATAAAACTTGTATATAACTTACTATAAAACAATGCCTTAAAACAGTAAATCAGCACAAATAACTATAAGAAAATAATTGTTTAAAAACATTTTAATAATCTAAACATTATTTACTTTGTAAAGGATATACCAAATTAAGTTTTAAATAGTTTAGACATTAATAAAGTTTAAATCATTGCGTGTTGTTAAACCATAGTACATGACCAAGGCTCTATTCAATAAAATGCATAGGTTTAAGTATATTATTATAAAGCCAATTTAATAGAATTAATGAAAGAATTTAAGATGTTTGTAAATAATAAAATAATACAAAGACAATTAAATGGCAGAAAAAAAACGAACACCATTGCAGTATATATATAAATTAGAGAAAAATCTGAAAAACAAAAACTGTAAAATAAATAAAGAAAGCAAATAAAACTGTGACCTAGTTCTTTAAAATGATCAACATGATTTATTAAACTTTTAGGCAGCTGAGAGTTATTGGCTTTGAAGGAAGAACTGGAAAATGAAAATCAAAGTGACTAGACACATATAATCTTTTCTATGAGTATTTATATGGCTGACTTACCTTTTCCTATTTGTAGTTGTTCTTAATCAGAATTGTTCTGTCATTGACAGTGATGTCAAGTCTTACTTATCATAGAGTAATATTTTATTTTATATTTAATATTTAATATTACTTATCATAGAGTAATATTATTTAGCATAACTTATTTTGGACATCCTAAATTTTATATAAAATTTAACCGACAATTCAAATATTTCTAACTGTATAAATACACAGATGTTTTAATAGACAGTATGTAAAAAATTGAATAATTAATAGGATTCTGCTAGTCTTAAAAATCAATAGACATAATGGTGTTAAAATATATATTTGTTAACAATAACAAGTAAAATGCTTATAATAATTTGACATTTCTGTATTGACTTTCTACATGTGTAAGCAAGAGGTATTTTGTCATAGCTAATTGAAAAAGGAGATTGATCTTATTTCTTTTTAGTGCATTCATCTGTGAATGGATTTAGTGATAGAAGGAGAAAGGAGACTATGTGAGTAGAGCAGTATGGTTCCTGTTTGCCTTCTGACTCCTGAGAACTGGATGATTGTTATTATGAACTGGTTGTGCAGGAATCAATCACTTTTTTTTATCCCAAAGGACCAACTATTAATTTTGAAGTGGGTGGAAGAGTGACTATCAATGTATTTACAAATATGAAATGCCTGAAATTTTACTGCAGTCACCCGGATGGTCAATTTCTTTTTCATTTTAAATGACACTGGAATATGCCAAATTATATTTAATGAAAAACAGCCAAATTTTTTTTGTTTTTTATTTTTCCAACAAAGATTTCTTGGAAATTAGTTTTATTAACCCATCTCCACTTTTTGTCCCAACAACTTGTAAGAGACTTTATGCTCCAGATTAAGTTCAATATATATTAGAAACATAAGTTCTTTATTATGTCAAAGCAATCACAAACATCAAGCCTCTCTCTCTCTCTCTCTCTCTCAAGGCAATCACAAATGTGTATGAGGAATAACATCTGAAGAAGTTGACATTATGGACATTCCACTACGTTGCAGAATAGAAGGAGATTTTCAGCCTTACACTCAGGTGATGACAGAATGCTTAGTGGATAGCTCTATCTTGACCTGTGGTATCACCCCACCCACAAATCGTCCCCTTTTACAGTCTGTCATCACTCTTAACACATAGTTTTCCTTGATAAAACTTCTAACTTTCCCCATTGGAAGGCGTTTCACCTTTTGGAACCTCCTTGTTTCCTGTTACTTTAAGCAGTTCTTTAGGTTTGGGCCACACAATTATAAAAATATTTTCTCAATCTTCTTGGGCTCAAAAGAAAATAAACAGTTCCAAGAATTAGATCTAATGCAAGTGACCCACTTTCTAGCCTGCCTTCCCAGTAGTGAGAGTTATTTCTCATGTGAAGTAAGCACAGCTTCAGTGATAAACATTTTTCTTCAGTGATTCAGTTAACCCATACTGAGCTAATGGTCTTTTTCCTTTTTACATGGTTCTAGTTTTATTCAGTTAGGAATAATAGCCACCCCTCCTTTATTATTTTCCTGAGATGAACTTGGTTCTTTTCTGCCCCACATAAAACCTGGCTGAATTGTAAGAGAAAGTACAGGGACTGTAAAATGTGTCTCTCTCTGTGTCACTCAGTGGACTGGAACAGATCCAATGCACCAGCAAAAAATAACCACATTTCGACTTGAAACCTCCTTTCTAATGGAAGAAATAAGGAAGGACTTGATGCTGCTCTTTGTGAATATTCTCCTGTTCTCAAATACTTCTTTTTTTTCTTTTTTCTGTGACAAGGAATAAGAGAGTACTTTTATTGCTCCCCAAAAGACACCCCTGAGATGGAGACAGAGAAAGACAGTCGAACAAAAGCCTCCACTAATTTTCTTCCCGGCAGGAACACCAAATAAGCACTTTCATAAGAACCAGATATTAGCTTAGGTACCGGCTTAACCCAAGTGGAGTAGAGCACTGAGTGGGTTCTTACAGTCCCTGATTCTAGGGCTTGGCTCTTGGATTGCATTTCTAGACCTGCCCTGGGCCAGAGGGGAATCCACTGCACTGGAGAGTCTCACACCTTGCAGCATTCACTACACACTGAGCGGAGAGCCCTTGGGCCTTGAGTGAATATTGGCAATAGCCAGGAAGTACTCACCATGGAGCTGCAGTGATGGTGGCCATGAGGAGTAACTTCTCTGACTGTGTAAAGGGAAGGGAAAAGTTGAAAGTTTAGTGGCTTAGATGTAAATTTAGCCACAGTAGAATAAAGCACCAGGTAGACTCAAGGTTTTCAACTCTAGGCCCTGGTTCCCAGATGGCATCTCTGGACCTACTGAGTAATAAAGGAAACATGCAGCCCTAAAGGAAAGGACACAAGCATTGTCGTCTTTTTCTTTTTTTTTTAAATTTAATTTAACTTAATTTTAGGTTCTGGGATACATATGCAGGACGTGCAGGTTTGTTACATAGGTAAACATGTGCCATGGTGGTTTGCTGCACCCGTCAACCCATCACCTAGATATTAAGCCCTACATGTGTTAGCTATGTATCCTGATTTTCTCCTTCTCCCAGCCCCTCCCCTGACAAGCCCCAGTGTGTGTTTTTTTTCTCCCTGTGTCCATGTGTTCTCATTGTTCAGCTTCCACTTATAAGTGAGAACATGCAACATTTGGTTTTCTGTTCTTGTGTTAGTTTGCTGAGGATAATAGAGTCCAGCTCCATCCATGTTCCTGCAAAGGACGTAATCTTGTTCCTTTTTATGGCTGCATAGCATTCCACAATGTATATGTACCACATTTTATTTATTCAGTCTATCATTGATGATCATGGACATGATACTACGTCTTTGCTATTGTGAATAGTGTGGCAGTCAACATACGTATGCATGTATCTTTATAATAGAATGATTTATATTCCTTTGGGCATATACCCAGTAATGGGATTTCTGGATCAAATGGTATTTCTGATTCTAGGTCTTTGAGGAATCACCACACACTGTCTTCCACAATGGTTAAACTAATTTACATTTCCACCAAAAGTGTAAAAGCATTCCTGTTTCTCCACAACCTTGCCAGCCTCTGTTGTTTCTTGACTTTTTAATGATCACCATTCTGACTGGTGTGAGATAGTATCTCATTGCTACAAAATATTAAAATACCTAGGAAAACATCTAACAAGGGAAGTGAAGGACCTTTTCAAGGAGAACTGCAAATTACTGCTCAGGGAAATCATAGAGGTCACAAACAAATACAAAAATATTCCATGCTCATGGATACAAAGAATCAATATCATGAAAATGGCCATGCTGTACAAAGTAATTTATAGATTCAATGCTATTCCCATTAAACTACTATTGACATTCTTCACAGAATTAGAAAAAAATAGTTTAAAATTCACATGGAACCAAAAAAAGGACATATAGCTAAGACAATCCTGAGCAAAAAGAACAAAGCTAGAGGTATCACTCTACCCAACTTTAAACTATATTAGAAGGCTACAGTAATAAAAAAAAAATGGTACTTGTACAAAAACAGCCACATAGACCAGTGGAACAGAAGAGAGAATTCAGAAATAAGACCATATATCTACAAACATCTGATCTTCAACAAATCTGACAAAAACAAGCAACGGAGTAAGGATTCCCTATTTAATAAATGGTGCTGGAAAAACTGGCTAGTCATATGCAGAAAATTGAAACTGGACACCTCCTTACACCTTATTCAAAAATTAACTCAAGATGGATTAAATACTTAAATGTAAAACCCGAAACTGTAAAAACCCTAGAAGAAAATCCAGGCAATATCATTAAAGACATAGACTTGGGCAAAGATTTCATGATGAAAACGTGAAAAACAATTTCAACCAAAGAAAAAATAGGATCTAATTAAACTAAAGAGCCTCTGCACAGCAAAAGAAACTATCATCAGAGTGAACAGACAACCTACAGAATGGGAGAAAATTTTTGCAATCTGTTCATCTGACAAAGGTCTAATATCCAAAATCTACAAGGAACTTAAAAAATACAAGAAAAAAACAGATAACCCCATTAAAAAGTGGACAAAGGACATGAATGGACTCCTCAAAAGAAGACATTTATGTGGCCAACAAACTTGAAGAGAAGCTCAACATCACTGATCATTAGATAAATGCATTGCTGTCTTTACCACCTGCTGATTATAGAGCCCTGGGGCCTTGAGCAAACATACGCAGTAGCCAGGTAGTGGTTACGTCAGGCCTTGGTGACACTCAGTGCTGTGTTGGCTTCAGATCTGACCCAGCACAGTCTCAGTGGTTGTGGCTATAGTGGTGCTTTTGTCACCTTTCTGGGAGCTCCAGGCACCTCAGCACAGAGAGGGTGCCTCCATTTATTTGGGTGAAAGAAAGGGAAGAGAACAAGATTCTCTGCCTAGTAATTCAGAGAAATACTCTAGATATTATCCAAGACCATCAAAGTGGTACCTCTACAAGTCTGGAAGAATCACAGCGTTACTGGGCTTGGGATGTCCCTTAATGCAGATATGGCTGCAGCGACCAAAAGCTTAGATCACAAAACTCAAATCCCTTTGAAGACTTGGAAAATTTTCCCAAAAAGGGCAGGTATAAACAAGCACAGACTGCAAAGATTACATACAGTAAATCCATGACTCCTCAATTCACAGACACCATTGATATTCAAAAGCATCAAGACCATCCAGGAAAACATGACCTCACAAAACAAACACAATAAGGTATCAATGGCTAATCTTGGAGAGAAAGAGATATATGACCTTCCAGAAAGTGAATTCAAAATAGCTGTTTTGAGGAAACTCTATGGAGTTGAAGATAACACAGAGAAGAAATTGAGAATCTTACCAGATAAACTAAAATAAAAAGATTGAAATAATTTAAAAGAATCAAGCAGAAATTCTAGAGTTGAAAAATGCAATAGACACACAGAAGAATGAATCAGAGTCTCATAACAGCAGAATTGCCCAAACAGAAGAATCAGTGATCTTGAAAACAGGGTATATGAAAATTCACAGAGAGAACCAAAGAAAAAAGAATTAAAAAGGATGATGTGCCTACAAGATCTATAAAATAGCCTCAAAAGCGCAAATTTAAGAGTTATTGGTCTTAAAGAGTAGGTAGAGAGACAGGGGTAGAAAGTTTATTCCAAAGGATAATAACAGAGAAATTCACAAACCTAGAGAAAGATATCAGTATTCAGGTACAAGAAATTGTAGAACAGCAAGCAGATTAAATCCAAATAAGACTACCTCAAGACATTTAATAATCAAACTGTGAAAGGTCAAGGATAATGAATGAATCATAGAAGCAGCAAGAGAAAAGAAACAAATAACATATAATGGAGCTCCAATACATCTGACAGCAGACTTTTTAGTGGAAAACTTACAGGCCAGGAGAGAGTGACATAGCATATTTAAAGTATTGAAGGAAAAAAAAAGAACTTTTATCCTAGAATAAAGGTAAAAATAACCTTCAAAATGAAAGTGAAATACTTTCCTAGACAAACAAAAGCTGAGGGATTTCATCAACACAAGACCTTTTCAACAGGAAATGCTAAAGGAAGTTCATCAGTCTGAAAGAAAAGAAAATTATTGATCAAGAGGAGACCATCTGAAAGTATAAAACTAACTTATAATAGTAATACACAAGGCTGGGCATGGTGGCTCATGCCTGTAATCCCAGCACTTTGGGAGGCCGAGGTGGGTGGATCACCTGAGGTCAGGAGTTCGAGACTAGCCTGGCCAACATGGTGAAACACCATCTCTATTAAAAGTACAAAAATTAGCCGGGCATGGTGGCAGATGCCTGTAATCCCAGCTACTTGGGAGGCTGAGGCAGGAGAATCACTTGAACCCAGGAGGCAGAGGTTCCAGTGAGCCGAGATGGCGCATTGCACCCCAGACTGGGGGACAAGAGCAAAACTTTGTCTCAAAAAATAAAAAGTAATACACAGAAAAACACACAGTATTACGACACTGTAATTGTGATGTTTAAACTATTTATATCTTAAGTAGAAAAGACTAAAAGATGAACCAATTAAAAATAATAATTACAACAATTTTTTAAGACATGGATAGTACAGTAAGATATAAATAGAAACAACAGAAAGTTAAAAAGTGGGAAGATGGAGTTAAAAAGTGTAGAGTTTTCATTAGTTTTCTCTTTTTGTTTATTAGTTTTTTTGTTTATCCACTGTTGTCATCTTTTAAAAATAATGGGATATATTATATTGTTTGCAAGCATCATGTTAACCCCAAATCAAAAAACATACAGTTTATACACACACACACACACACACACACACACACACGTAACAAGAAATTAAAATGTACCACCAGAGAAAACCACCATCACTAAAAGACCAGAAGGAGGGAAAGAAGTAAGAGTTGACCACAAAACAATCAGAAAAGAAAAAACAAAGTGGCAGGAGGAAGTCCTTACTTATCAATAATAGCATTGAGTGTAAATGGATTCAATTCTACAAAAAAAGACATACAGTGGCTTAATGGATTAAAAAAAATGACCCAACAATCTGTTGCCTACAAGAAGCACATTCAATTATAAATACAAATGTAGACTGAAAATAAAGGAATGTAAACATATATTTCATGAATATAGAAACCAAAAATGCAAGGGTATTTATAATTATATGAGGAAAAATAGCTATTAAGATAAAAATATAAAAAGACACAAGTATGGTCATAAATAATAATAAATAGATAAATTCAGCTAGAAGATATATCAGTAGTAAATATTATATATATATATATGTATATATATATATATATATATATATATATGCACTCAACACTGGAACACCAAGATATATAAAGGAAATTTTATCAGAGCTAAAGAGAGAGATAGATCCCAATACAATAATAGCTGGAGACTTCAACATTCCACTTTTAGTGTTAGGCAGATCATCCAGACAGACAATCGAACAAAGAAACGTTGAACTTAAATGGCACTGTAGACCAAATGGACCTAATAGATATTTACAGAACATTTCATCCAATGGCTACAGCATATGCATCGTTCTCCTCAGCACATGGATAATTCTCAAGGATAGACCATAAGAGAAGTCGCAAAAAATGTTGTAAAACTTTTCAAAAATTATTATAATAGATATTAAATCAAATATCTACTCTGATGAAAATAAAATAAAACTAGGAATCAATACCAAGATAAGTTTTAGAAGCGATACAAATACATGAAAATTAAACAATGTGCTCCTGAATGACTAGTGGGTCAATGAAAAAATTAAGAAGAAAATTTAAAAATCTTTGAAACAACTGGTAATGGAAACACAACACACCCAAACCTGCCTATGAGATACACCAAAAGCAGTACTAAAAGGGAAGTTTGTATTTATAAGTATCTACCTTAAAAAAAGGAGATAAAACTTCAAATAAACAACCCAATAATGCCTCTTAAAGAACTAGAAAAGCAAGAGCAAACTAAACCCAAAATCAATAGAAAAAAAGAAATAACAAAGAGCAGGCTGGGCACAGTGGCTTACACCTGTAATTCCAGCACTCTGAGAGGCCAAGGTGGGTGGATCACCTGAGGTTGGGAGTTCAAGTCTAGCCTGATCAACATGGAGAAACCCCATCTCTACTAAAAATGCGAAATTAGCCGAGCATGGTGGTGCATGCCTGTGATCCCAGCAATTCGGAGGCTGAGGAAGGAGAATCACTTGAACTCAGGAGGTGGAGGTTGCAGTGAGCCAAGATTGCACCATTGCACTCCAGCCTGGGCAACAAGAGTGAAACTCTGTCTCAAAATAAAATAAATAAATAAATAAATAAATAAATAAATAAATAAACAAACAAATAGCAGAAATAAATGAAATTGAAATGAAGACAAAATACAAAATGAAACAAAAAGTTTTTTGAAAAGACAAACAAAACAGACTGACCTTTAGCCAGACTAAGGGAAAAAAAAGAGAAAAGACCTAAGTAAATAAAATGAGAGTTGAAAAATGAGACATTAAAACTGATACCCCAGAAATTCAAAGGGTCATTAGAGGCTACTATGAGCAACTATACACCAATATATTGAAAAATCTAAAAGAATTGGATACATTCCTAGACACATAAAGCCTACCAAAACTGAACCATGGAGAAATCCAAAACCTGAACAGATGAATAAAAAGTAATGAGATTGAAGCTGTAATAAAACATCTCTAAATAAAGAAAAGGCCAGGACGCAATGACTTCACTGCTAAATTTTACCAAACATTTAAATACCTAATACTAATCCTACTCAAACTATTTTGAAAAATAGAGGAGGAGGGAATACTTCCAAACTTATTTTACAAGGCCAGTATTACCGTGGTATCAAAACCAGACAAAAGCACGTTAAAAAAAAAAAAGGCAGGCCAATATCTCTGATGAACATTGTTGCAAAAATCCTCAACAAAATACTAGCAAATCAAATTCAACAACACATTAAAAAGATTCTTCTTTATGACCAAGAGAGGGTGCAAGTATCGTTCAACATATGCAAAACCAGGGTTTATCCTGGGCATGCAAGGATGGGTCAACATATGCAAATCAATCAGTGTGATACTTCACATCAACAGAATGAAGGACAAAAAACATATAGTCATTTTAATTGATGCTAAAAAATTATTTGATAAAATTCAGCACCCCTTCATGATTTTAAAAAAACTCAAAGAACTGGGCATAGAAGGAACACATCTCAACATAATAAAAGCCACATATGATAGACCCATAGCTAGTATCACATTAAATGGGGAAACACTGAAAGCTCATGATAAGGTAGCCCACTGTCACCACTGTTAATTTAACAAAGTACTGGAAGCCCTAGCTAGAGCAATCAGACAAGAGAAAGAAATAAAGGGCATTCAAATTGGAAAAGAAGTCAAATTATCCTTGCTTGCAGATGATACAATCTTATATTTAGAAAAATCTAAAGACTCCACCAAAAATCTATTTGAACTAATAAACACATTCAGTAAATTTCAGGATACAAAATTGACATACAAAAATCAGTCTCATCTCTGTATGCCAACAGTGAACAATTTGAAAAAGGAATTAAGAAATTAATCCCATTTCCAATAGCTACAAATATAATAAAATATCTAGGAATTAACTTAATCAAGGATGTGAACAATCTCTACAATGAAAACTAAAACATCAGTGAAATAAATTGAAGAGGGCACAACAAATGAAAAGACATTTCATGTCTCTGGATTGAAATAACGAATATTATTGAAATAATCATCCCATCCAAAATAATCTAAAGAGTCAATGCAATGCCTATTATTAATAAAATACCAATGACATTTTTCACAGAAATAGAAAAACCATTTCTAAAACTTATATAAAACCACAAAAGATCCAGAATATCCAAACCTGTTCTGAACGAAAGAGAACAAAACCTTTAGGAATCACATTACCTGACATCAAATTATACTACAGAGCTATAATAACCAAAACAGCAGGTACTGTCATAAAAACAGACACATAGACCAATGGAACAGAAGACAGAGCCCAGAAACAAATTTATACATCTACAATGAATTAATATTTAACAAAGGTGCCAAGAACATACATTGGAAACAGGACAGTCTCCTCAACAAATGATGCTAGGAAAACTGAATATCCATATTCAGAAGATTGAAACTATACCCCTATCTCTGGCCATATGCAAAAAACTAAATCAAAATAGATTAAAGACTTAATCTAAGACATCAAACTATGAAACTAATAAAATAAAACATTGGAGTAACTCTCCAAAACATTGGACTGGGCAAAGATTTCTGGAGTAATGCCCCACAAACACAGGCATCCAAAGTAAAAATTGACAAATGGGAACTCATCAAGTTATAAAGCATCTGCACAGCAAGGGAAACAATCATCAAAGTAAAGAGACAACCCACAGAATGGGAGAAATTATCTGAAACCTATCCATCTGATGAAGAATTAATAACAATAATGTATAAGGGGCTCAAACAGCTCTATAGGAAAAAAAATCTAATAAACCAAGTAAAATGGGCAAAAGATTTGAATAGACATTTTTCAAAAGGCGATATACAAATGGCAAACAGGTATAGAAAAAGATGTTTAACATCATTGATCATCAGAGAAATGCAAATCAAAACTACAATGAAATATTATCTCATTTCAGTTAAAATTGTCTTTATCTAAAAGATGGGCAATAACAAATGCTGGTAAGGATGTGGAAAAAAGGGAACCCTTGTACACTGTTGATGAGAATGTAAATTAGTATAACCACTATGGAGAACCATTTTGGAGCTTCATCAAAAAACTAAAAATTGAGCTATCCTATAATCCAGCAATCCCACTGCTGAGTATGTACCCAAAAGAAAGTATGGAATGGATAAAGAAAATGTGGTACACATACACAATGGAGTACTATCCAGCCACAAGAAAGAATGAGATCTTGTCATTTGCAATAACATGGATGGAACCAGATGTCCTTAAGTGAAATAATCCAGGCAAAGAAAGACAAACTTTGTGTGTTTTCACTGAATTATGGCAGTTAAAAATTTAAACAATTGAACTCATGCACATATAGAGTAAAAGGATGGTTACCAGGGGATGGGAAAGATAGTGGGGTGGAGAGGAAAGTGGGGCTGGTTAATGCATACAAACATAGAGTTAGATAGAATAAATGAGATCTAGTATTTGGTAGCATAGTAGGGTGATTACAGTAAAAAATTAATAGTTTGTTATTGATTATAGTCCAATCAATTTATTATACATTATAAAATAATGAAAAATGTGTAATTGGATTGTTTGTACAACAAAGAATAAATGCTTGAGGTGATGAATACCCATTTACCCTGATGTGATTACTACAAATTGTACACCTGTATCAAATATATCAAATACTCTATGAATATATACACCTACTATATACCCAAAAAAATTAAAAATATTTTTTTAAATAAATTGAATTTTAAAAAAAAGACGCCCCCTCCTGGCAAAAACACGCACGCGCACACACACACACACAAACACACACACACCATCTCTTGGGAAACATGGACATATTTACTCTTTTTTAAGAAGAAAAAGAGACTAGTCAATTATGCCATACAAAAGATTACTTTAAACATTTTAAAAAAGAGGATAATACTGTTAAAGTATCTCTGTATTTTTAATTTTTAAAAATTGTTATTTATATTGCTATTGGAAGAAAAGATTATCTGTTCACCCAATTATCATCAATAAAATCATTTCCTGATTTTCTAAACTCTGTCAATATTTTTTTTCCCACAAGTGTCTAGTTTGATGTGTTAGACCTTTCTGGTAGGGGGTGGGTGGGGGCTGGCCCAAAACCGAATAAATAAGAATGAAAGAGAGAAAGAGAATAGAATGACAGAGGTTGGGAGAAAGGACACAAAACAAAACAAATCTTGGAAAAAAGAGGTTGAACTGTTTATTTGCTTTTAAATGACTATTTATTTTGGTAGAAAGGAAGGGGAGTTGAATAGCCCTTTGACTGGTCCTTGTCCCTTTGTGTCCTTAATTGTTTGCCTTCTTGCAGTAACCAAGGTTAGACTTACAGCAGAAAATGATTTCCTGTCTTGGAAGTAGTTTGAAACAAGTATTATAGAACAGCAAGAAGAAGCTAAGGTGGTTATTTTAAGAAGGGAATTTGAGTCTTAGAGCAAGAGTTTAATTTGAGGGCTTAGTGACATATGGTAACAAAATTATAAGTTTATGTATACTTTGTTTATACATAAATGTAGTATAAAAATATGTCATATATACCAATATTAATAATATATGCTATAGTGGTTTAAGACATATACATATACATGTGTATACATTATGAGTGGGGTATACATACCTATGTATTATCTGTGTGTGTGTTTTTTACTTTATTATTGTTGGTATTTTAAGAGTTCTATAAAGCCCCTTAGATGATAATGGTGAAATAAATCATAATTTAATTGATAATTCATTTGAAGGTTAACTTACTAACTACAGTTTCTTGAAAAATAAATAAAACTTTCCATTAGACAATGAAGTTAATATGATGACTTAGATTCAGATTATTTTATAGCAAATGCTCACATTCAAATATCATATGTTGATTGATAACATTACATTTGGTGACAAAATTTTTTTTCAGAAAAGTTTAGTTATAAACTGGGTAGGTGGCCTATTACATGATTGTATGATACACTTTCATTTCTCTAAGTGATAACCTTAAACAATTTGGACTATTTCTTTTCTCCTATCTCTTACACTACATATACAATGGTATAGTTGGCCACTAATTGGGGACATATTATTTGGAACAATTGCATCGAAATGAATAAAAACTAAGGATTACAACATGCCAGTGCTTAAAATTATTATTTTTCCTTGTTCTTATTTTACTAGAAAAGCTTTCCCAGTTGATGGTCATGTACTACAAAAGACTTAAGCAATTATTAGTATTTCCTTATGGATTTAGATTCCTTGAGGGAGCATTGTGAAGAGGAAACATAAAGTCTAAGCTCTGACACTTGTCATTGTTCAATATCTCCTGATATTGCTGATGCAAGCAAAGTTGTTAAACTGTTTTCCTATCTAATTTCCAGTTTCTATTATAATGGTCTGCCCACCCAAAATCCTCTTGTACATTCACAGGAATTGTTTTTATATTTTCTTTTGTATACTGCTATACAGCTCCAGTGCTTTGCATTGTGTTATATGCTGTTAACTTACATAGTTTTAATCTAATAGAGAAAGTTAGTTTGTTTTACAGCACTGTTCAATATTATGCCTTTAAGACATTAAATTGATTAAGTTCTCAGAAAACTTAAGGGGTGTTAGTATTATCTTGTGGCCAATATATTAAATTTTAAAAATGTCATCATTTAAGTAAATGTATGTTTAAATATTGTTTATAAAAGAAAGTACCCTTCACTTATTCATATGCTTTTTAGCATAGAGGAGGAATTGCGTTTTACCTTGTGCTTTACTTACATTAGATATCCTTAAGAAGCCTAAGTATTTATACCATGACCTCTTCAGGAATACTAGACTCATTTTATTTATGACATTTTACTGTATAACAACTCATGAAAAAATTATTACTTTAAAACAACTATATTTTAGTTTGTGCTGTGACTTGGAAATTGAAGATAGGTTCAGCAAGGCATTTGGCCAAATCAGGCCAGGACTGGCTGATCTCAGCTTGGCTCACTCATAAAGCTCCATTAAGCTCCTGGGCCAGCTGTAGGTTGGATCTCTGATCCTCCAGCAGCCTAGGCTGTTGTTCATATGGCTGTCTCAGAAACCCATGTGTGACAGCAGGAGCACATAAAGTACAGGTTTAGATACAACAGCAATTCCACCACATTGCTATTGGCCAAAACTGAATACAAGGCGAATTCAGATACCAGGGAAGGAAAAATTGGCTCCAGGGATGAATTATAATCATTATTTGTAGTACACCACAATTACCTTCCTCTCTTTCTGGTCTTTTATGTGTGCACTAGAGGGATGGATCAGAGAAAAAGCTTTAGGAGAAGGTATTGAAGACTTTCAATATTTTATTACTTTTGAAGAAGTTTATAAAAACAGTAAAAGTGTTAGTGACAGTTTATTAAAAACATAGACTATTAAGGAGATTTATTTTCCATATTTTTTCAAAAGGATTTTACCTTACGAGAGCCATTCCCAGGCTTACAGGGACCTCCAGGGCTCACAAACGAAGGAGCACAGACTGCATATCATCACAGTCCAGCATATTTTGTCGGCAGTTCCAGGCAGCTACACATGAACTGAACCCAAACCTGGGAGCAGACCATTGCTCCCAGACATCATATAAGGAGCTTTTGGTGGAGAGCAGGGCAGGGAGGGGTAATTGCTGACTGCTAGCTGCACATGGCTATGGATTATTCAACAGAAATAGCTTGTGCCCATACCAAGCAAATCACTAAGCCCTATTTCAGCTGTTTTGTGTACCAGGTATAATCATAATCTCTCTTGAAATCATAATCTCATAGGGCCATATTCTTATCTCTGAGACGGGTTATAATATTTTAGAGGATGAGAATCCAGGCCCTTGAATTTCAGTCTTACTACACAATGATAAAGTATGCCCATATTACATGATTATTTAACATTTAAATTGTATTTCTGCTCTCCTTTGTGTTTAAAAATCTTAGCTAGTTATATGGGTTCTTTGTTATTTCCTTCTCAGTGTTTAACAGAGTCATTTGTTAAATGTGCTAATTCCAGTAAAGTTAAAGAGTATTAAAAAAAGGTATACTATAGTAGAAGCAAGCATGGCTAGCTAGGCAGAATGTAGTATCTGCTTCTGTTCTTTGGAGGTCATCAATGCCAAAAGGAAAAGGGAACGTAGAGGAGAAAACAAGGTCACTTGATTTGTCATTTGGAGAAAATTGACTTTATTAGGTTGCTTAATGTAATCAAACATAACACAATTCTTTTCCTTCATTCAAGGACTTCAACAGACTCTTCAAGCAGATAAGTGCCTATAAAAGTTTGGTAAACTGTAGAAGAATCTCCATTATAAACTCCATTTTGGAGCTGTTTTCTGATGAACTCTATTGGAAAAAAGTATAAAGAGTGAAATTTACAAAGTAATGAAATACAGCAATCCAATTAAAATTAACATCACTTTCCTTCATCAAGTAGGAAAATGAAACAGTCTATAACAGATAGCTTAACAGCATGAGACACCATCAAAAGCTAGATATAAGTGAGGAAGCAGTAGCAATG
This sequence comes from Homo sapiens, assembly GCF_000001405.40. NCBI lineage: Eukaryota > Metazoa > Chordata > Mammalia > Primates > Hominidae > Homo > Homo sapiens. The sequence continues at coordinate 31,790,358 of NC_000004.12, read as the reverse complement.
CTTACTCCATGTAAGCAAGGGTACAGATACAGTGATAAGAGAATTTTGCGTTTAAACGATCTCTTACTTTGTGAAAACTTTAAAAAATAATAATTATCATTCTTAGAATTCTTCCTAAATGAAGAAAAGTATAAGGAAATTATCCTGGTCTTAAAATTAAACCCAGACTAAGTTAATAGATCCAATGTGCTTTGTAATTTTAAATCTTTGGAGTTTGAAGCTAGTGCCAATTACCTATTTAATATTTGGAGAAATTTAAAAGTATCTGTAAATTCCTTGAGAACATATGCTTTAACCTACTTTGGAAATAGATGAATGCGTGACTTTTAACATGAATTTATGTTGTAAAATTCCAAAAGACTTACAAGAACTACTAAGCTTATCTCATATTGGGGGAACATTCCTGAAACAATAATGAAAAATATTCTTTGATGATTTACAGCAAAAGAAAACTCTCATACTTTTTGTGTATATCTCTAAGGAATATAATTTGACATCATGATGAAAAAATTCTCTCTTGTTCTGTCACTAATGATTATGCACTGAAAATTGGTCTTAAATGGGTTCTGCAAAGCATCATTCTGCAACTTATTTCATTTTTCAAGGCTTGAACTTCAAATAAAAAATTTAAGTTTTGGTTTTGCCAAGTAACTCACTTACCTTTTCCCTGTTTTCTACTTTTTAAAGTTCTGATGTCTGTTCTACTTCCTTTCGCAGTTCCAAGACTAAAATAACTAGAAATATCCTTAGACATTTTGAAACTGTACAAATATATAGAATTTCGGTTACTTAATATAACATTCTTTTAATTATGAAATTGCACTAAAATTTCTTCACAGCTCTCGTGGTGCATTGATTTCTCAAGATATTTATTTATTCTGGAGGCACCCAACCAAGAAATTCTCAGCTCTGTAGATTTTTATCCCCAAAGTCACCTTTGCAATCTTCCCATAAAACTAATGTAATAAATTGTTTTCTTATGCACCTTTTTATTGATAGAATAAATAAATATTTCCATTGATATAGTGAAAAACATAAAATCAGGTTTTTAATACAGGAACAATATAAATAAAAAGCAGGTCAAAATTAGTAGGCAGTGAGATGGAAACGAATCACAGTACTAGGAGTCAGGACACCCACAGTTTCCACTCAGTGTAATGACCTTCAGCAACACACATCACTTCTCTGAAGTTATTTCCTCTTTTCTAATATGGAAAGGTTACCCTTGATAATTTTAAGGTCTCCTCTAATGCTACATTCTATGAAGCTTTACATCGTTTTCTCACAATGCTTCATATTTTGTTGACACATCAGCAGGGAACTTCACACTTCATTGGAAACCCATTAAAACAATTACCATGTCATTAGTGAAGACTTTTAATTACGAGCTTAGTAACCTAAAGAATTCACCGTGATAGGCAAGATTAGCTCTGTGAGCATGTGCTACATTGGAATGCATTGAGTGGAGAGATGTCTTCCCTTTGGAGAATTTGAAGCTGTCATTCACAAAGCAGTCAGCATTCTTGATTAGGCATGACAGCAGAAAAGTCAGGAAACAGGGTAAAGACTGATAACCTTGCAGATAGTTTCATGACTAAACATCCCAGAAACCTGAATGAAAACTTGTTTCATTTGATCTGATTCAATGAGAGAATAGCTGGTAACCACAAAAGGAGGGACATTCCAAAGATAATGAGGAGGAGTAAAGAAGAAGAAGACCTGTAGATGTGAATTCATAGCTAAAGAAGACCAGAGTTGTGAGTATAATTCTGCTGAAATGGCAGATGTGACAAGAGCACTGGTCATAATTTTCTGCATGCTTGCCATGCTTTCATATTTTATGTGCTTTCATTATAGTAAATATGGCCCTATATGTAGCCCAAGTCATTACTCAAGGAGTCCTCCTCTTCTTCCTCCACCTCCTCTTCCCCCTCATTTTCTACTATTCCTCCTTTTTTTCTTCTTTTCTTATGAAGTGGTATATCCTATAGTGTTCCAACTAAAAATCAAATATATAGTCTGGAAAAATGACTGCGTATATCATATAATTAGTTTACAGCTGCCCTGAAAGTAACTGAGCTTTCCTTGTCTCCTACCTTGCTGTATATATTTAGACACCTTTTAGTTCTCTCCTTTTTAGGAACTCTCTCTGCCATCTACAACTTGAAAATTGAGATTACCCAGGATAGCATTCTCATGTTTTCTCATTCTTTTCACAATTTTTCTTACTGCTTTAAGCAAACTGTTTGATTTCAAGGGAATCTACAAGCAAGTTCAATCGGAGACAAATGTTGGTTTTGTGAAACAGAAAGAAAGCATCCTGCAATAATTTTAATTATAGCCTCAAGAGTTAAATTTTCTGTATCCTGGTTCCTATTTATATACTATGGAAAATTTGTCACTGTGTTTATACTCTCTTAGCTTTTTGTTTTCTGTGTGGAATCAGAAATTCCCATATAATTGGTTCCAAGAAATATCTGGCACATAGTAACTACTCAATATATGTTAACAAAATCCCACTGTATCACAGAGGATAAATACATGTGGGATTCCAGAGCTGGGAGCTAAGGACCTGGAAAACACCAGGATCTGAAGTAATTACACTTCTCCATCTCTCTTTATTTCTTCCTTATGCTCTATGATATCACCTTATTTTCATTATACCTTTAAATTTTTCTGTCCTAGGAATCTGACCCCCCTCACTAGAGTCAGTGTTTCCCCAAATGTAGTCAGATGTGTCAGGAGACATGTGGTAAAAGCAAAGACAGCTAGCTCTTACCCAGAATTTCAAAAGGCTGTGTTTAGCAGTACTCCTTACAAAAGTGGTGTATAGAAGTTAAGCCTCATACATATACTGAGTAATTTCTGTGTATTACAAATTTACATATACTGAGTAAATTCTGTGTATTACAAATTACAAATTTCTGCGTGATTTCTGTGTATTCAAGGTGTATTCCAAAGTCTTTTTATCTTATCCCAACTTTTCCCTTCTACATGTCTCTCCTGGTTAGGCCCTCCCCGCTAATACCAAAGTAATACTTACAAAAGACAAATTGATCATACTTATTATTCCACTTAAAATCCTTCAATTATTCCAGTCTCTTATTTAGAAATAGACAACAAGCAATCAAGCTTTTAAAACGTCTTTGGAGGCTGGGTGTGGTGGCTCACGCCTGTAATCCCAGCACTTTGGAAGGCCTAGGCAGGCGGATCACAAGGTCAGGAGATTGAGACCATCCTGGCCAACATGGTGAAATCCCATCTCTACTAAAAAATACAAAAAAAATTAGCCGGGCATGGTGGTGCATGCCTGTAGCCCCAGCTACTCGGGAGGCTGAGGCAGGAGAATCGCTTGAACCTGGAATGCAAAGGTTGCAGTGAGCCAAGATTTCACCACTGCACTCCAGCCTGGCGACAGAGTGAGACTCCGTCTCAAAAAAACAAACAAACAGAAAAAGGTCTTTGGAAATTAAAGTCCAGAGTAACTTCCCTGTGTCATTTTCCATCGCGTTGCCATTACTGACCTCTATAAAACACAAGTATTTGTAGATTTTTAAATGGAGTCATAGCTTCTGATCTTTTGTGCATCTTTTCCAATTCCTGAAGATATCCGTGCCTTTGAGTTCACCAAGGGAATACCCTACGTTGTGTTTCATGCTTTTGAAACATAGTACATCACTTTTGGCTCCAACGGTCAGGAAGTTTCCCAACATTAAGGCAGGATTTGATGTGTATATTATAGAACATTACTACCCAACAATTTTGGCTCCGGGGACCAGTTTTGTGGAAGACAATTTTTCCACGAACCGGTGGGGTTGGGGGTAGGGGGGTGGGACAGTTTCAGGGTAATTCAAGTGCATTACATTTACTGTGCACTTTATTTCTATTATTATTACATTGTAATATATAACAAAATAATTATACATCTCACCATAATGCAGAATCACTGGGAGCCCTGAGCTTGTTTTCTTGCAACTAGACAGTCCTATTTGGGGGTGACAGGAGACAGTGACAGATCATCAGGTGTTAGATTCTTATAAGAAGCATGCAACCTAGATCCCTTGCATGCATATTTCACAATAGGGTTCACACTCCTATGAAAATCTAATGCCACCTCTGATCTCTGGTCTAACAGGAGGTAGAGCTCAGGTGGTAAAGTGAGCGATGGGGAGTGGCTGTAAATACAGATAAAGCTTGGCTCAGTCATCTCCTGTTGTGAGGTCTCGTTCCTAGCAGGCCACAAACCCTTACTAATCTGTGGCCCAAGGGTGGGGATCCCTGTTATAGAACACATAAAAATTAGAATTTTTAGGAATCAACTAAATATATTTTTACATTATTTTATTTTTATGATGCTATAATACAAAAAATGGCTTATTCATGATATATTTTACTGAGTTTTTTAAGTCAGTAAACAATAAATAAATGTTTCATTTGTTTTAAATTTTGATTTAATATTTTGCAACATTTGAAATATAGCACTAAAAGTATAATACCTTCACCAGTTGAATAACATTCTTTGCAAATAAACTAATACAATGCATAGTGCAAGTGGACTTGAATAGGAAAAAATAAACAAATAAAGTGATTAAACTTCTACACAAGATCGATATGAGGAAAATATATAATAAAGTAACAAAGTCTGAGAAATCATATCACTATATTTTAATAATTCAATTGATAACCAAAGAAAATTTGCTCACTAAACATAGAATATTTGAAATCATAAGCAGTTTTGGTGAACTCTTGTACTGCTAAGTATTGATTAACTTTCAAATTTACAGTTAATAAGCATAATTTTCCATCCTATCTGTATTTTCTGAATATTTTGCTTACAGAAATTCTGTTAAAACATCACAAAATTTTCTTGAAACTATGAGTTATTTACCAAATAGCTTGGCCTAATTTCTTTTGAATTATGGGTCAAGTTTATATATACTTTTCTAAAGTTTGCACAATTTACTTACTCTAAACAATTTTGTGGGCTATATGTTTTATAACACAGGCTTGTGAGCAGTCTAAGAGGCTCTTGGTTTATGTTCTCAAATTATCTTTAACAGCAAGTTAGGTTTCTTTTTTAAGTGCTCATCATCTTAAGAAGGCCCTATGGGTGGAGTACATCTCTTTATCCTTGTATACATCTTGTATTTACACAGTTATTTGCAATTGCTTCTTGAAATTATATTTGAAAATTATTGTTTTCAAAGTATTTTTACTACTAAGGAAAATCAGTTAAATTTTTCTGGCAAGCTTTGGAAACATCAAGTTCTGTTTCTATTCAATTAACATTGATTGATTAAAACATTGTGGGTGTTTTTACTGTTATTTGAAGGTCTTTAAGACAAATTAAGAGTGAAATATTATCAGAAAACCTTCACCTATTCAATTCTCCTGCCCAGAGAGCAGTAACATCTAGCCTTCTCACTAGTATCCAGGTTTATTGGAATGCTTTGCTGATTAACAGATTGCTAAGCTGTGATTTAAGTGTTTCCTCGAAATTATAAAGTAAATTTTCTAATACAGAGCTTTAGATTTGCTATTTCTATATTCAAGTCAAAATCAACAGTCATCTTCCTCATTTTCACATTTGTTTCCTTTTTGTGTTAAGTGTCTAAATTTCCACTTCCTCCTTCGAATTAGCTCTATTGAGTAGGTAACTTGTTATCTTTAAAGAGACTAAAATATTTTGTACACAGACTACATGTCCAACAGATTAAATAAACATTGCATGGAAATATATATAGCTGGAATATATAAATATATATAAATATTGCTGGAAATATATACATGTACATATGTATACACACACACACACACACACACACACACACACACACACACTGGTTTCATCTTAGGCTACATTGTGCTCCATGTGAATATGAATTCATGTTTTGTCCTGAACTTAATGCAGAGTTCTTCATTAAAATATTTAGTTTTGAAGTTTAATTTCTGGAATTGGGAATTCTTCTTTTGCTCTGTCTCTCAGTAACCACCACTACACATTATTTCAAAAGGTTTAGGTAGGACACAGATTATCTAAAACAAGGAGATTTTTTTGGTTTACAAGATTGAAACAAGAATTTCTCAGCCCAGGCAGCCTAAGGCACCAAAACAGAAACAGGCATCAAAAAGAAATTAAAACTTTAAGAGAATACAGGGATTTTTTTTTTTTTTTTTGCCAAAAATCAAAGGTGTTCTATGATGGGTCCCATGAAAAATTATGCGAATGATCATGAAAACAGCCAAAGGAAGAGGTGACTAGGGTAACATACAAAGAAAATTTGGAAAAAATTTGGATGCTTATTTAGTAAAATAGCTTTTATGCATTGACCAAATTTACTGAAAAGCATGGCTGTCAAGTCGTGACTCTACTTGAACAACAGAACCTTATTTAAAAGTAATTTGTACATTTTCTCCATTTTCAACTTTAAATGTAAATGGCTAGTGCTGATAAAGGTAAATAATTATGACTATTGAATAACATACGGATAATAAAAATAACATAATATTGGGAACATGAACTCTGGGGACAAAGATCTATGTCTAGATTCACCTTGACCACATACTAATATAAGAAAGGGAGGAAAGAGAGAGAGAAATGTATGTTTACTGTTGATATAGCTTGGATATTTGTCCCTTCCAAATATCATGAAATTTGATTCCCAGTGTTGGAGGTATAGCCTAGTGGGAGATGTTTGGGTCTTGGGGGCAGGCAGATCCTTCATGGTCAGCTTGGTTATGTCCTTGCAATAGCGAGTGAGTTCTAGCTTTATTTGTCCCCATGAGAGCTGATTGTTAAGAAGACTCTGGCACCTCCTGCCCACTCTCTCTTGCTTAAGCTCAAGCCATGTGATCTCTGCATGTCAGCTCCCCTTTGCCTTTCACTAGGACTAAAAGCAGCTTGATGTCCTCATCAGAACTTCACTAGATGCTGTTTGCCATGCTTTTTGTATAGTCCACAGAACTGAGAGCCAAAGAAACCTCTTTTCTTTGTACGTTACCAAGCCTCATGAATTCCTTTATAGCAACAAAAAAAGACTAAGACAAGTGTCTAGAAAATAGATAATAGCAGATGATCTTACACTATAATACGAAAGTAGTTTCATTACATTTTGATCATTTGGTATCAGCAATCATGAGAAACTCAAATTCTAATATAAAATAGAATGCTACAAATATATCCATTGTAAACTTGTCATCGTTAAAAATGGAAAAGCAAAAGCAAAATTCCCAACACACAAACCCACTTTTATCACTAAATTTTAATATCTCCATATTTGGTAATAACCATTCAACAAGTCTCCAGAAAGTTCCAAACTTTTCCACATCTTCCCGTCTTCTTCTGAGCCCTCCAAACTCTTCCAACCTCTGCCCGTTACCCAGTCACTTTCACATTTTCAAGTATCTTGAAATGTGAGCAGTACCTCACATTACTGGTACCAATTTTCTGTATTAGTCTGTTCTCACACTGCTATAAAGAACTGCCCAAGACTGAGTAATTTATAAAGAAAAGAGGTTTAATTGACTCACAGTTCTGCATGACTGGGGAGGCCTCAGGAAACTTAGAATCATGGCAGAAGGAGAAGCAAACGTCTTCTTCACAAGGTGATAGTGGAAAGAGAGAGTGTGAAGTGGGGAACTGCCACACACGTTTAAAAACATCAGATCTCATGAGAACTCAGTCACTACCATGAGAACAGCATGAGGGAAACCACTCCCATGATTCAATAACCTCCCACTAGGTCTCGCCCTTGACATGTGGGGATTACAATTTGAGATGAGGTGGGTGGGGGAACAAAGCCGAACCATATCACCACTGAACATGCAAGGAAAAATATTCATTACAATTCAAAATGTGTGTGTGTGTGTGTGTGTGTGTATACACATGAGAATAATAGGATATAAAAATATTGATGCTAATGGATAGCCTTTCCTTTGTCCTTTCTCTCTTACATCTGTTTCAGATATGTGAAGAAACATGTATCCATAATTTAATATAAAAGTCATTAAACAGCAAATGTTTTTCTTTAAGACAAACACATAGTAAAAGGAATAAGACATTGTATTATTGATTATATTTTTGAAGGTAACATACATGCTCTTTGGATATAGTTGGTAATCATTTATATTATTAACATTACTATATACTATTAAAAATTACTTCCATAAATTCCCTCTTCTTTAAGTTTTTAAAATTCCTTCTTCTCTTTCCTGAAGCATCACCCATTTTTAATTACATAGATATGAAAATGTTCAAAATGCATTAGTTTATTAGGCATTTTTACTATTATTTTTGTTTTTCTTTTTTTTGCCCTCCTTTTCCCCCTCCTCCTCTCCCTCTTGCTTTTCCTTTTAGCCTTCTTACTAATCACATAGTTATCTGGCATATTCAGTTGCCTCAACGTCCTACCTAATGTTTCTAAGGCACAATAAAATCACCAACTTTTCATAATTATAATTTCTTAATTAGTTTTTTTTAAATAAACATGCTTTTGTATGTTAAAAACTAAAATAATTAATTCATTTAACCTGGTGCTATAGCCATGATAGGATGTTTTTCTTTACATATGAATTAATTATGTTTACTTGCTATTGCTTGTTTTTTTCTTTGAGTCTTCAATATAGCCACAGTACTCCCATCAGAGAGTGTTCTATAGTTCTCACCTGTACGAAAACTCTGTACATTTCAGGTTTTTGTCAATATGATCCACAAGTAGGATGTCCCTTTTTCTCCATCAACCTTCTAGCTAAGACATGATTATAATTTCATAAAGTGGATTTTATAAACATAAATTCATAGGTTAAATAAAACTATTAAGAAAAAGAAAAAAGCAGAAGAAAGAAAAAATAAATGTATCAGGAAGACTTACGGTGCATCATTTTTTCAGATGTGATTTCCAGTATTTATATTTCAATAATCTGGGTTACCATGAATGAATCATGATCAATCTATGTTATTATTAGAGCATTTGTTGCTTTGACTTTGTAAAATTTTTATGTGTATACATATTTAATCTCTTCTATCTACTTTACCAGATTTGTAAAGTCTTTTGGGATAGGCCATCTTTGGTTTATTTGTGTGTTCGATGAATACTAGTTGATATAGTTTGGATGCTCCCTCCAAATCTCATGTTTAAATGTAATCTCCAGTGTTGGAGGTGGGACCTCTTGGGAGGTGATTGGATCACGAGGGTGGATTTCTCATGAAAGATTTAGCACCATCGCCTTGGTGCTCTTTTCACCATAGTGAGTAAGTTCCCTCAAGATCTGATTGTTTAAAAGTGTCTGGCAACTTCTCTCTCGCTTTCTTTTGTTCCTGCTCTCATCATGTCTTGTGCCTAATCCTGCTTGGCTTTCCTTATCAGTAAACACCTCCCTGAGGCCTCCCCAGAAGCCAAGCAGATGCCAACACTATACTTGTACAACCTGCAGGATTGTGAGCCAATTAAACCTCTTTTCTTTATAAATTACCCAGTCTTAGGTATTTCTTTATTGCAACCCAAAGAATAGCCTTACATGGACTTTATATGTAGCAGTTTATAGCATGATTAGATGTATGTGAGCCAGAAATTTAACTATAAATAATCTAAATTTCATCAATGAGAGATACGATAGTAAAATTTGTTTGCATTACATAGGCATCTGTACAATGGCAGAAAGCCTCGTTTACTAGAAATTTAATATTGGATATGATTTACTTAACTTCTCTGGGTCTCAGTTTTCTCATCTGATAAATAGAGTTTATTCTAACCATAGTATGTGAATGGATGAGTAAAGTAATTGGCACATTGCTTAGTACACAGTAGATACCAAATAAATCCATTTGCAACCTCTGTTTTGAACCCCGCCAGTTTTCTATTCTTCAGTATTTTAAAAGTATATTGTTTTATAGCTTAATATAACAAACTTTTAAAAAGGTAAGTAAATAAAGTTGTTTTTAAAAGTTGTGCTACAGAATGATTTTTCTCCCAATGGATTTGGTTGCAAATAAAGTGCTACTCATTGTACATCACATGACTAGTGGTGGCACATCAGTGTTACAATTATTTTCAACAAATATCATGGCAAATAAACATGACAATACCTTATGTTCTCTTTCACAATCCTGGTTAGGCCATATGGTTTATGAGAGATGGTACTGTTACAAGAAAAAAAGTGGGGTTTTGGACTCAAGAGACATTTGAGTTCAAATCCCAGCCACACTAATAACTAGTTGTGTGACTTGAGACAAGCCAGTTAACTCTCAGTGACAGTTTAAAACTTCATAAAATGGGATTAATAATAACACTAGGATAGCATAGGTGGAAACATACAAAAGATATGGGGGACAAAGGCTTAGTGAAAATATTTTATTTTGAGTAGAAATAATAAACTGAGCTTACATAATCAGCATCACCAATATTGTCAATGCTTTCTCCTTACCATAACATATTAGCATACCTCAAACTCCTTCAATTTTCATTCCTTATTCTAACATATCATAGCTTCCTTAAATTAGAACTTCAGAGAGTATTTGTAACCAATGTGAGGACTATAAATGAATGATGCTCATCTTTTTTCTTCAGAGAGTTTATCGAAGAAAAGAAACTTACATATAACTATGCCCTCTTAATTCTGTAAGTGTGAAAGATATCCTTTTAATTAGAAATTTTAGGTCCATAAAAATGTCTGTTTTTCTGATAAAAAATAATGACTCTTGCCTACTGAGTTGTCAAAATATTAATCTAGAAGTAAACCCAAACCTTAACTAATATATTTTGTCTAAAAATAATACTCATATTCAGGATCTGTGATTCAGCAGGTTTTCTAACATTATGATTCTTTCATTTAAAGTTAGTTAAAAATAGCAATAATTAATATAAAATGACTGAGGCCATAATTTAGGAGACTTGGATTTACATCTTTATTCTGCCAGGAGTTAGCTATAACATTTAGTGTTATTATCCCTCTAAATATTGTTAAATACATGTATTGCACCAGGCACACTAGGAATATCTTCTGTTTTGCTTAATATTCTCAAGTTTTTATAGGATGTGGCAATTTTGAAATAAATAAGCATTCACAATATAGTGTATTACAGTGAAGGAAAAATTAAATGAGAGAAGCCATGTAAAATAATAAAATATCATGTAATGTAAATTTTAAATGATGAATTTCCTACTATATGCATTCATATGACATTATATGGTAAAATTGACCATTTTATTTCGGGCATTGACTATGCAGTTTATCCTTTGATCTATAATTGCATTTTTTATTCCAGTGGAATTTAATATATTTACTTATTTGAATTATATGGTCTCTTCATGTGGCAAGTATTGAGTTATCAGCTAGAGTAGCATATGTGCCGAATGTTTGTTTTGTTTGCACGTAAGCATTTTTCAATATTTGTTTGACTTTAAGTCCCACCTCAAAATCCAGGTTGAGTGTTATTCTGTTTATTCTCAACATTATTGGATGTACAGTGAGAGAAAGTGTATACTGCTTCCTAAACACGCTTGAGTGTCTGTCAATGATCATAAATCATATCTTGATATGCTAAATGTTATATCACAATTTAAATTATTGCCTACCATTCCAGAAAATATTGTGAAAAAAGTTAATTTCCTTGTATAAAAGCAATTTCAAAATTTGTATGTATACACATAGACCTACAGTAGTATACTTATAGCAAAAATGTGAATAAATGCGGAAAAAATGCTTTAAGAAAGATTATAAGATTTTCCTTTGAAACTTTGAAAACTGAGGATAGCACAGCTTTTTGTTGCTGTACATACAAGCCTTTTTTGTATTTACATCATTTAAAAATTCATACAATTCACTTGTTCTTTCTCTCTAAAATTATAAGCTAATATGATCAAAACAAAATCTATTTTTATGACACATTGGCTCACTAAACAAAATGAACTAAATATAAGGAATTTTCGGCCTGAATAAACATTTCTAAAATCTCATATATAAATTAAACATATTCCTTGGCTTTTGGAATATTTAATAACTCCATTACTGAAAGAACATTAACTTAGTTGATCCTCATATATAAACTGTTAGTATAAATTTGTGGATGTGTAAATGGTGACCATTATGGTTTTTTAACACATTGAGAAACTAACGCAAAAATTATGTTAACACACGTACTATACTTGGTATTTATTTCACTGTGAAGTAATGGCCTCTATTTTTTATTACCATGTGGACTTGATGTTCATCTCTCTCTCTCTCTCTCTCGCACACACACACACACACACACACACACACACACACACACACGCATTATACCCCTAAGTGCTCCATTTTTATTTGTCCTCATCTTCCTTATTCTTTGTTTTTCCCTGATCTAACCCAGGTGTTGATCTCTACAGAAGCAGAAGGATATCAGAAATATCATAGTTTGAAAATTCATCCTATTCATTCAATGGCATTAAAAAAAAAACACTGTATTTTGGGCTGTAAATTACTATTATTTCTACCATCCTGTAGTTACACAAAAGCTCATCAGAATTTTACATGGATAAATAGAAAGTTTAAAAAAATATTGAAAAGGAAAATAATATGAAGGAAAATAGAAATGAATAAAGGAAAAGAGAATGAAAAGGGAAAAGGGAGGGAAGGAAGAGAGATTTTAGGCAAACATGCATATAAGTATCATCGCACTGAAACCTTTGTTCCTCTTTGCTATTAATTACATGCTAGAAATCGACTATTGTAAATAGTTATCAATTCACTATCCCCAGCTTATTAATTTGTGTCTCCTATGATCTGGTCCTTCTCAGGCATTGCATCGAGATTCCAGGGTCATAGAGATATTTTCAACTGTCCATTACCCTCAAGAAACTCACTATATATGAGGTTTGCATTCATCTGGACCTGTAATAGCAAGGTGAAGGATGTCAGAAATACTAGAAGGATAAAATAAACTGAGACTTTTATTGAACCCAGAATGTTATGAGATTTATGTTTGTGGGAAGAGATATTGAAGTTGGAATTCAAAGGATGACAGGATTTGTACCAACAGGAAGGGCAAACTGAACAACAAACAAAAGCAATAGAAGTTAAATAAGCTTAGGGCATGTAACATTAAAGGCAAAGTAAAATAAACACACACAAACATAGATTGCTCAGAGGAGAGTGACAAGGGATAAATCCAGAGTAGATTATGTGAAGATTCTGCTAATGTTGGCTCTCTTGCCATGTATCTTGTTTGATGGTGTCTTTTACATTGCAGGAGTTTAATAAGTATTTTAGTTTAGTTGTTTGAAGTACATTTATCTAGTTTACAGACAATATTCTATATTTTTATACTTCTAGAGATTTTATTATACAAAAAATGTGGGTTATATATTTTGTGTTCTTAGGATTTTTCCTGTAGCCAACTTTTACAAAGATTGCTGGTTTTCTCGGCTTTGCATGTATCACTCAACATTCCCAGAACTGGTTTGCGTGTCTTTCATGACTTACACACAATTTTGAGCTGCCTATTGATAGCATGCATCATGCATATTACCCTGTATGCCATAATTATTGTGCTTTCTATATGTTGCTCTTCCCTATGTTTTTATACTTGATTGTATCCAGTGTGTTTACAATACTTAAATTTTAGCTCTAAATTAGAATCTGGAAATACCTGGAAAATAAATTAGTACTTATTGAGCACTTACTATGGCCTAAGTGTTATACTATATGCTTTATGTTTGTTATCTCAATTATCCTATCAAATAATAACTGAAAAAAAACAGTAGCCAGATAAGTAAGTCCTTTGCACCAAATCAAGCAGGTATGAGTGGTTATGTTTAGACCAGAGCAAATTTTGTCAGAATCAAGGCAATTTTCCTATACCTTCTTGACTTTGTAATAAAAGGAATCTAAAGTTAGAATTTGAAATACACAGAGAATGTCAAGTAAAGGGTATTCAAGAGATGCTCTACTAAATCTCCCAGGATTGGTCATTTTAGGAGAGGAAGTGGTTACTTAGGCTAATCACTAAAATCTAGTAACAATTAAGAGACAAAATAGAACAAATGCCCCAAAAAATTATTAGTTACTGTCCAATAAAGATGAAGCTGTTTAGGAACCCAATGATTCTTTAACACATTTGAGCTGGTAATATAATTTCTGCATTATGGAAGATGTTTCACTAGGGTTAGAATGGTGGGAGAATAGTACAGTAAAACAAGGTACAGATGTATTTCATATCTTGCAATATTTTAAAGTACAAGTTTCAGCTGAAAATTATTTTGTAATATATTAAACCCAAATTTGATTCTATATTATAGATGTGGTTAAAAGAGATATAAAAGAGTAAGATTGCCAAGTTCAGAAGAGAGGAAAAATCCTGGAAATCCTTAAAAATTATGTAAGAAATACATATTTTAGAAGAGCTGGCAAACGTACAAGAAAAATATGAGTTGTACATAATGCTAGTATGCACGAAATGTGGAAAAATAATCTTATTATTGTAATTGTTTTTGTGTATTGATATTTACACCCATCAATAATTTACTCAGTTATAAAAATATTTGAGTGGCATTGATTATTAAATTATAGAACATTGAATATAATACTTTGAAATTATATTTTAAGAATGAAAAAGATAAATTATAATTATTAGTTTGCTTTCATTGCTCATTCCAATTCCCAATTTGCTGAGAAATAAGAAAAACAATATTATTTTGAAAAAATGAAATGTGTGTGTGTGAAAAAGAGAATGAATAAATGAAGTTTACTCCAAAATCATAGCAGATATTTTAATAAAACCACATTACCCTAATAAGTACTTCAACTACTTTAAAAGTGAACATTTAAATAAGTGGTTTAAAAAATTCAAATTGATTATAAGATTTCATCATTGTGTGCAGTTCATACTTGTAAAGAATTCTCAAAACTATGAAAAAAAGAGTAAATTTATTACAAGACTAGATGCCAGATATATACATGATATGTTTAAAATACAGCCTATGAAGAATTTTATGGAAAGTAGCTATATCAAACTAAATGGAAGCAATAATGAAAGTTATAATAGAAGAAAACTTTCCATAAAAATTAATAATATTCTGAAATATGTTGTATAAAGGGATTCAATAAGCAACTTATAGACAAGCCATACCTAAATGCATCATGGTAAATAAAAAGAAAAACAATTTTTACAGGTAGTATCCAGGGAACAGAGGGGAGGAGAGGGAAAGATGTTTTCAAAAGAGACAAAATCCAGATGGATTCAGATTTCTCTTTTTTAAATTACCTGACACTAATGGAGAAACTTTTGCAGGTTTTGAAGGATTATTGAATAATTCTTTACCAAGAGATTAACGAAAATGACAACAACAACAGCGGTGTTACTTTTCTGGAAAACGATGAGAATAATACATTAGAAAAATAATCATTGTAATCTCCAGTTGATTATTTGCCTTCTTTATGAGGGATATATAATTAAATCTTCAAAACAATCCAGTGAGTTGGATGAACATTAGTTTTATCGTTTGTAGATAAAAAACTGATTTTCAGACAGGTCAATTGTCTGTTATTACACTAGCAGTATGATTCAATCCCAGCATTATTATAATAAAAATGAAGTATCTCTTCTGATGGAAAAGCAGTAGAAAATATTATCCAATATAAACGGGTTCATAACATGTTTTGTCTATTTACCCTCCACAAATAATTATTTGAAAACATACCATTCTGCAAAGACATAAATAACAATTGAGAAACTCATGCATGAACAAGTTTTAGAAAAAAAAATGAAGTTATGGTTCAAAGAAGTAGCCATCCTACAGAGGAGTGAAAAATGCGTGGGTCGTAGTAATCTGGTGTAAATGTCTGAGACCTGATCTGCAAAGTTGGACAAATTATTTAAAATCTGATTCCAGTAATATGAGCCTGTTAATAACCCCTACACCACATATCGTAATAAATAAAGGAAAACAAATGGTGTAAAACTCTTAGAACAAGGCAAGGTATGTTGTAAGCCTAAATAAATCCAAGCTTTTATTATTGTTGTGAAGTCTTGAAAATGGTTAGACAAAGAGACAAGGCCAGACAGGTTCTGTAAACACTACTACAAAATTGTCAACTGGAATTATTAAAATAATTTCAATAATTATATTAGCAAATGTCAACTGAAACTATTGAAGTAGTTATAACTCATAACTTAAAATCATTATCAGTCAGGTTTGGAAAATCCCTTTTAAAGAATTTTTAAATAAAACATTATAATGTTCTTGAAATTATTTTTTTCATATAGTCTTTTAGTAACTTAAGTAATTACAATACAATTATTTTTATACTGATGGTTTAAATTGTATAATAAGAAAAATAAAATATTCAAGTCAATGAACTTAATTGTTTATAAGGGAGATTTCGGGTTCACTCTGCAGTGCTAGTTGCAATATACATTCATAAATGAAAAAGTAGCAATGTACATTAAGAAAAAATAATACCAAAACAAAACAATTTTGTTATCTTGAGGTGACTTGAGTAATAGTCACAAAGTCTGTTTTTGAAGAGCTCCAGCTGTGTTGCTGCTCAGATCTCTTGAGCGAAAACCTAAATTGTGAGTATATCTAAAAAAATACTCACAATTTTAAAATTATATGTTCAAATAAAAGCCATATGTAAGATTGGGTCAGTTATCTGTACTACATCTTAATGAAAAGGCAGTCAAATACACAGAACCGCACTCCAGAATGTTTTAGAAAAAAATAAATATACCATAAATTCACAGAAAGTAATAATGCATACATATCATATCATGAATTTAGAGAAAGCAGATAAATAGGGATTTTTTTAAAAAAGCAAAATGTTGTATTTAAGCATCAGAATGATAATCAAATATTATTAGATAAATACATATCAAATTTAAAGAATACATAAAAATGTAAAAGAGAATAGAAATACAAATATAAATAACCATTTAAAACAACACCCTAACTAATAATTAAGATAAGAAAAATAAAACAAGATACCAACTTTTCATGGATCAAATAAAAAATATTTTAATGTAATTTTCAGCTCCAGGAAAGATATGATGAGGGATCATATGACACAATCCAAATTGTTATAAAGTCAATATCAAGTCTAACCAAAAATATAATTCTAAATTAGAAATGTATTTATCTGTTTGTCTATACATAAATCTTTGCATCTAGGTTTTTTAACATAAGAACTTGAGGGGATAAATAGAACTAAATTTTGCTAACAGAAACATGGTAAGTAAAATGTAACGTATTCCTATGAAAGACCACTGCATAGCCATTGGCAATTACATGTTTTAGAACAGTGTTGCGACAGGAGACACACTTGTGTTAGAAAGCTAAACGCACAACCTGAAATGTTATGATTTCTCAAGATAGAGATATTAAGTATAATGTTTACTCTCTCCTCTCTGTATTTTTTTTTTCGGTATACTTGAGGATTTTCAGGGTTCAATTCAGGCTTTCACATTACGTTTAATTATGTCTCTCTAGTCTCCATTAGCCCTTTTGTCTCCATGACCTTGACACTCTTAGAGAGTACTCGCCGGTTATTTTGTATAATTTCCTCAGTTTGGTCTTGTGTGGTGTTTCCTCAAGATTAAATTCACATTTTCAGCAAGAATCACACAAAAATTATTTCTCTGTGCATCGCATCAAGAGTCTATGTTACAGTCCCATGAGAAACTCGAAAGGCACCACCTTTACCAAGTCATCTTATCTTTTTGAAAGAAAATTTAGAGGCAGCTAAATGGAGCTAGTGTCTTAATTATATTTTCTGAAATTGTACTTTTTTAAGCGGTTTTATCCTCCGATTCCATTTGACGTTTTTGTACGTGCAGCTCGCAGTTTAATTTGCCATTATGTGCACCTAGCATTAGTGTAACTTCATAGTTCTGTTCCTAGAATCATATTTCAGGAATCACATAACCATATTTTATACTTAATGACTCTTTTAACTCTCCAGTATACCTATTATTTTGTAAGCTCCTGAAGACAGACATAGATATCCCCTAGCTTTTGAATTTTTCCTGAAAATTACTTGTGTGTGTTTGGTACTGATTAAATGGTAATGACTGCCGACTAACAAGTTAAAAGTGGAAATACCATCTTTAGGATTCAATGAGGATTTCTCATTTTTCCAAATAGCCCACAAAAATATCTCTATAGGCTTCCAAGGCAAAAAACAAAGACTGCATAAGGCAGCAATTCTGATTTTTTTCTTACAAAATTTAGAAAACTAATAGACTTGGTGTTTCATTATACTTTTACACTGCCACTTCATACCTTTTAATCACTGTTATTTTCTAAAATACATTTTGTAAAAAAAGTTTTTAAACCGTTATCAACAAAATAAGAAATCGAAATAAAATCAGCCAAGTCAAAACAGCAGGATACAGTATTTTTGTTTCCTTATATTATCACACTTATTTTAGTTTAACATCTGTCCAATGACATCTCAGGCTATATTTTGGGATGTGTGACAATTTTTTTCACAAATTCTTTACTCACAAGTCAGGATGTTCCCATTAATTGTGATTTGTAAAGGAAGCATTTAACTCAGGGCAGATGCTGAGCAGCGTGAGTATGGAACTATGGCAGGTACGAAATGACACATGGAATTCGCAAGTGGGCACGGATGGCCAGATGGTATTGGCATCTGAGAGATTTATTACACTAAGTTGGCAATAAACCATGTGTGATCACTAATTTAACATACAAAACTGGTCCAGAAAATGTTTATGTTAAACAAATTTCCTCTCTAAATATCAGGTGCAACATATTTTATTATGTTTCATTTCTCTTTTGAGAGATCCAAATATTGAAAATTGAATCCTTTCTTTTCAGCAAGAGTCCCATTCATTTAGGGCAAGTCATGTCTATATAAGCAAATTTAACTAAATAGATGCACAATTCTCCATATATTGTAGGCAAGTGAAATGAAAGAGTAGGGATATGATTTTCCTTGGTTTATCTAAATTATTACGTTGGTCCTATACTTAACTGTGGTTGGCTAAGCCCTCTGTTTTTGACATATAACTCTTGGCTAAAATGTTGAAAATTCCATATAGGGAAATGTAGAATTCTTTTGAGATTATCAGAAGAATCTTCATACTGTGTATTAAATCGTTATTTAGAAAACCAAAGTATATGACAATGTTCAAATATAATTGAATTGCAAGAATTTTCCTGGAGTGCCTTTTCTTCTTTCTGACTCCTAGTTAGCTACCACTCTTTTATTAAGTTTCACCTCAAGTGTTATCACATACATGGAGATTTTCTAATTTTCTCCATTGTCATTGGATGCTCACTTATTAGACAGAGTTCTCTGGCATCCAATTAATACCTGTTATAGATCTCCTCTCAAACTGCCAAAGGGAAACATTGGAGCTTACTTGATAGCATTTCATGTTAGATGTAACTGGTTTCTAAGGTGTGCAACTATGAGCAAGGTATCTTATCATTCAATTTCTTATTTTGTAAAGCAGGGATAATAATACCAATTCTATGGAAGGTTTAATTTAAACAATTTCATTAGATAATACCCATAAAAAAACTAGCAAAATGTGTAGAACATAATAAATAGTATTCCTTATAGATGTTGATATATATCAACATTCTGCAAGATTCTGAACATTTTTGATGGCAGACAGTAAATTCATCTCTATATTACTGAACCTGCTGCATGCTATTTGGAACACACCATATGCATGCACACATATAACAGTGAGAATGTGTACATGTGTATTTAGATTGAATAGAATAATTTAAAGAAATAAACAGAAAATAAGCAATTTCAGGTAACATGTAAAAGAGACTCATGGTTTCTGTTCTGAGGCTTCTTTTCAAACCAGCATGTACCAAATAACAGAATTTAAGGGCAGGATCATGGCCAAATGATATATTATCCAATATCAAGTACGCTACGTTAATCTGTGGAGTTAGCTATAAAGACCAGAACTAGCTTTATCTTCATTTACTGAGGCAAACATACTAAGATCTAGATTGAGAATCAAGCAGCCATTGACAGGAAAAGGAGTAGATGCAATTATCTACAAAAATTATATTGGGACCATTTTAAAAAGCAGACTTCTAATTCATTAAATTGTTGTAATGTCAAATAAGGTTGTAGTTATTTTCACATACAACCACACTCCAACCATAAACTCTAAGAGTGTAGCTTTCATGGTCCAGAAATTCTATCAGAGACCAATGTATCTCAGTTTTCTGTAATACATAGCACTAAGGTGATAATATTGCAGTGATGAAAAAGATGAAATAAACCATTCAGCATGACTAATTCTAGTTGCTAATATCGGAATTTTTTTCACCTAGCACCTAGCTGAAAATGTAAATTTTTAATCTACAATGAAAGTGTTTATTCTGTAGAACATCTGGATGTTCTGAAACACCTGGACTGTTTTCAGTTTTTATCCCAAAGTATCTCAGCAGTCAAAAATAGATTGTAGGTGTCTGTATAGAGGTAAAATATTTTGGTGCAAAATTTGAATTTTAGTAACTATATGTAACAGTATTTGAGAAACAAAAGTAGTTTTACTTTTTTCAGATAAAATATATTTCTTTAAAAGTACTACAAACTCTGAAAAATGATCATAACACAGGAAAAGGCCTATGATATTATGTAAAATGAGAAATTCACAACATGAATCAGTTTATGTGAAGTATGATCAAAACAATGAAAAAAAAGTGCAAAAACTACCGATATTTGATTGCTTACGCAATTCTAGACTATGGTTTAAGCGTCTTATATAGATAATTCTGTTTGATTTTCAAAGGAAACTAATGATATGAGTATTATTATTATTATTATCACCATTTTACAGAGGAAAACCCCAAGTCATGGGGTGGTTAAACAATTTACCTGGTATCATGCAACAGGATTCAAGATTAAAAAAGAGTTCTTATTAGAGCCCACTTTGCGACTATGTGGCAGAAAAAGAAAATTGGGAAGGTATACTAAAATGTTAAGAGTCATCTTCATCTGATATTTTTAGTTAAAATATTTTAGCAAAATTTTTATGATGGACATGAATTATTGTCATACTAAAAATAACTCTTATTTTAACAACATCATCCATGCAATTTAAAAATTAAGTAGACTGCCAAAATGACCAATAAAATCTATTTTTGTAAGTTGCTTCTAACAAATGAGATGGAACACTGTTAAGATTGAGAAACATACTAAGTTTAAAATAGGAAACTTTATTCTCATAGCTATACTGACTTGTTTCATGACTAAATGATTAAAGGTAACTCATGACTTTGCAAAAGTTATTTTGTTCTTTTGATTCTAAGTCTAAAACAAAGTTGATAATATCTTATCAAAGAAATGAAGAAACTAGAGATTAAATAACATCTAATGAATTCCTTTGTGCTCCTAGGAATGTGTACCACACTATCAATGGATACTACAATTGTATAATTGTTCTCTGTCAGCTTAAATTCCTTGCATGTCTCCAGGAGATGTCACTCAGTTTGTACTAGTCAGTAACTATTATTGTTATGAGTGCCTAGATCACTAACAAACTTGTTTATAATATTTGACTTCTATTGATACAATTAGACCAGGTTGAAGACTTCCTCTTAATATATTAATTTCTTAATAATTTGCCTTGAATTGCCAAGAAGTTCCAGATATGATAGGTCTGGAAATACAGGCAAAAAAAAAAAAAAAAAAAAAAAGAGAGAGAGACTGTTGCTTGTTTCCATCTATAATTGTTCTCTGCTGAGGAGATGATAATGTAAAATAGCTATTGCAATACAATAATGTATTTTCTGAAATACAGGAAAAACAAGGCATTAAGAGAGCAATGCCTGAAGTGGAGCTAAAATGGGCCTAGGAAAGTCTAGAGCAGCATGTGAACCAAACTTCAGAGACAGTCAACCAGATGAACACTCACAGGAAGGACTTCCGGGCAGAAATAACTACAAATGCAAAGGCTTGAGAAATGAGAAAGCATAGTGTGATGGTTAATAGTGAGTGTCAACTTGATTGGATTGAAGGATGCAAAGTATTGTTCCTAGATATGTCTATGAGGATGTTGTCTCAGGAGATTAACATTTGAGTCTGTGAACTGGGAGAGGCAGATCCACCCTCAATCTGGGTGGGCATCATCTAATCAGCTGTCAGCATGGCTAGAATAAAGCAGACAGAAGAAGGTGGAAGAGGCTGACTTGCCAAATCTTCTGGCCTTCATCTTTCTCCTGTGCTGGATGTTTCCTGCCCTCGAACATAGGAGTCCAAGTTCTTCAGATTTTGGACTCTTGGACTTACACCAGTGGTTTGCCAGGGGCTCTGGGGCCTTCAGCCACAGACTGAAGGCTGTACTGTTGGCTTCCCTACTTTTGAGGGTTTGGGATTCGGATGGACTTCCTTGCTCTTCAACTTGTGGGACTTCACCTTGTGATCATGTGAGTCAATTCTCCTAATAAACTCTCCTTTATACATGCATCTATCCTATTAGTTCTGTCCCTCTAGAGAATCCTGACTAATACGCATAGCTCAAAGACATACAGTTACTGTTGATGTATATGGAGTGATGGAGCAAGCCGAGATGAGTCTGGAGGAGTATTCACAAAGCAGATGAAGAACAATGTTGTATCTCATGCATAAAAGTTTAAAATGTATTCTTAAGACTTTGGGGGCCGGGCGCGTGGCTCACACCTGTAATCCCAGCACTTTGGGACACTTTGGGAGGCCGAGGCTGGTGGATCATGAGGTCAGGCATTCGAGACCAGCCTGGCCAATATAGTGAAATCCCGTCTCTACTAAAAAAAATACAAACATTAGCTGGGCGTGGTGGCGTGTGCCTGTAGTCCCAGATACTTGGGAGGCTGAGACAGGAGAATTGCTTGAACCCTGGAGGTGGAGGTATCTGTGAGCCAAGGATCGTGCCACTTACTCCAGCCTGGGTGACAGAGGGAGACTCTGTTAAAAAAAAAAGAAAAGAAAAGAAAAGAAAAAAAAGACTTTGGGGAGCAAATGAAGACTATTGATCAAGGCAGTGAAAAGGAAGATATATATGGCAGGAAGATGACGATGGTGGCATACTGTAGACTATAAAGGAGCTGGTGGGACAAAACAACATTATTGCGATTCTCCAAAGAAGATAATAAATTATTTGGACTAAGCTAATGTCAAAGATGATGGGCAAGGGAGGGAGGATATTTTTGTATGTGCGATATTCTAAATCTATACTTGCAGGATTTAAATATTAATTCAAATTCAGTGGAAAGAAGGTTGGGGAAATAAGGTAAGACTTCATTGTTTAATAAATTTTGACAAACTTAACAGAAGGATGATGAATCCACAGACTTTGAGAAGTGGGAAGCTGTTTATATAAAGCTAAATAAAGGAAGGTGAATGAATGTGGGTATAAAATAACACTAAGCTCAATGTTGGATCTATTATAATACACGGGCTCTTAAAATATCCAGCTAGAGACTGCTGGCAGGTATTTGGATGTATACATCTGAAGATAAGTTTGATGTGTCCTTGTAGGCATGAGTGTCATTTTTACAAAAGTGATAGTAGAAGTGTTAGGACCTGAGTAAAATAAGCCATGAAGAATGTTAAAGTGAAACAAAACAAAACAAAACAAAACAAAAACAAACAAACAAAAACAAACAAGGGATATAGAAAAAAAGCTTGGGAAATATCCACTTTTATGAAATGGCCAAGAAAAACCTAGTGAAATGAATAGCAAAAACTGAGAGGTAGAAAGAGAAGCAGGTAATAGCATCATAGAAATTAGGAACAGAAGTTGTTTAAGAAAGGTATTAAATATGGAAGAGAGAAATAAATTAGGAAAAAGACTGAAATAAACCCATTGTATTTATAAGGAATGGCAGGAGCCATTTGTGAAACGGAGACCTTGGAAGCTAAACTTCAGTGGGTGGCAAAGTGAAAGGAGGGTATCATGTATCACTATTATATGTATACAATTCTTTGCAAAAATGTTGAATGAAAGGAAGCTGAGAAACAATTAAATAACTAGAAGTAAATGCCAGGCCAAGGGAAGATCTCTTTGTATTTAAGCAATATACTCAGTACTCATTTGTGACCAGACAGGTTGCACTTAATCAACTTAATACTAAAACAATGCAAATATTCAATGTAGGGTCCATATTTTAAGTTTCCAATTAACCTAATAAAGTGTTTTAAACTCTTCTCTTATCCAAATAAGAATCCAACCAATGCAATGTATTTTAGTTTGTTTAATCTAGAAGAGTTTACCATGTTGATTTTTTAAATCAACTAAAAGCTATTTTTAATAGCTTTACCATATTTTTAAAATTCCAAGTCATTCATCTTGCATAATGTCTTTCAATTTTGGTTTGCCTGATTGTTTCCTCATGATTAGATTCAGGTTATTTTTCTTATTCTTCTTTGTTTTTACAGGAATATCACATAGGTGATATTGTGTTATTCTCGAGGTATCACATTTTAAGGTATGTAATGGCAATTCATTATTGGTAATGTTAAGTTCAACCACTCAATTAAAATGGCATCTGCCTGATTGTTATACGGTAAAGGTAAACAACTTCCTTTTGTAGTGAATGACTAATCTGTGAATTGATCATTTGAAACTAAGTAAATAGCCTGTTTTTCAACAACATTCTGCCCAAAGTTTAGCATCAATTCACAATTATTTCCTGCATCACATTTTACTATGTTTTTTTGTGAACGGATAATTTTTTAAGTTTTATTATTCCTTCCACCCTTATTGGTTGATATTTCACGTGAGATAATTTTTAATTCAGGATTGGAGCTGAGGAGTAATCTTAATCTTGTCATCACTGAAAAAAATACATATTCATTAGAGAACTTTGCCGTAGCCCTCTGTTGTACTTCATATACATTTCAAAATATAATTAATCCATATTTTAGAAAAAGCATTGTTCCCCAGTTTAAAATTAGTTTAAGGCATACCTTTCTTTCTTTTGCACTATTTTAGTTAGCACTTGATGAAGCCGTAAAAAAAAAAAGAAGAAAACAAACATGATTTTGAAGACCCAGGAAATATCTACTTTCCAGAAATGGTATATGAACTAATTCATCTAGTTTTGTGAAGTGTATTAAACATGAGATAAGACATGAGTGCTAAGAACTGTTTTCATCACGTTTAAGCTAAAGAACAAAATTGGAAAGAAGCTATGTTCTCCCACATATTTTCCTAGCCAATCAAAACATTTTTCCTATTAATTATAAGGTAACAATTACAAAGACCAAGTGGAATTAAATAATGAAAGTGTGATAACATCACTGGACTAACAGTCTGTTGGAAAACATTCCTGTCACGTATAACAAGTGATTTTGTTATCGCTCATTAGCTACAAAAGACTGCAGGAGACTTCCTAGGGAACTCCCAGAAAGAACTTTAAAGCAAATTCATAAAATTAGACTAAATTAAACAATTTGAAAATGTAATTTGAGTCATAGGAAGAAGAACTAAAACTAGTAACAGCAGATAGAATCTTTTGTTGCTATAGTGCAGATTAACATCTGGAGAACATTTTTCTTTCTTTCCATATGTTGGAATGAAACTTTTCTTGAACAACTTGACCTAAGCAAATCTTTTTAAAAATAACTATATGTTGTAACATGTTTAAATGGAAAGGCATTCTCTAAGTTAGCAATATCTTATTCTCACAGCCTTAGTGCTAATTCCATCCCTTACTTTCCCTTAACTGAAATATATTAAACTCTTACGTCCAACTGCATTTTATTTTTCTTTCTTCATTTACACCACATGTAGATTAATATTTTTGCAATTGTAACTCTGCTCACTATTTGCTGCTTAGAGAAATAGCTAAATTCCTTGACATTCTATAATCTGGCCACATTCTATCTGTTGCTTCAATTAGTTTCAATTCAATTCAAGGCAATTTATTAAAATCATGATTGCAACTATTTATTTTGCCAGCCAAAGTGTTAGATTTTTTTTCTTAAAGAGCTCTCTGGTAAAAGTGGTAGATGTTTTAATAAGTCTTACAATAAGCAATGAACTATACATGTAATTTATTAATTATGTAAGAAGAGTTAGCTGAAGATGGAGTCATTATTTCCTGTGTGGAGACAGGTAAAAAGTCCAATAGGAAGGTGTGTATGAGGTGTGTGTTGAAAGATTTTAATAAATTAACAAGCAAATGAGACAGGAGGTAGGGACTGAAAATGACCTTCTGTCTGAAGGAGTGAGGGTAGGAACAGAGAAACTGTGGAGGATGGTAGAATAGATAAGAATTGTGTCATAGGTTTGGTTAACGACGATAGATATATCACACTGCAAGGGTTTGCAAGGAAGGGAAACAGACAATATAAGGTATTAGAAAAGTAGGTAGCTTTCAGAGTGAAGATAAATTTTTCTTCTAGGGCATAATTTCCAACAATTTTCAGACAATGCCCAAACTGAACTGTTCCTAAATATTCTAAATATTCAAGTATAGGAATGCTTGTGTGTATGTGTGTATGTGTGTGTGTGTGGTGTGTGACTGTGTGCATATACATGGGTGTTTGTGTGTGTGTGTGTGGTGTGTGACTGTGTGCATACACATGGGTGTTTGTGTGTGTGTGTGTGGTGTGTGACTGTGTGCATATACATGGGTGTTTGTGTGTGTGTGTGTGTGTGTGTGGTGTGTGACTGTGTGCATATACATGGGTGTTGTTCGCAGAGGTCAGGTGTTGCACTACATTTACTACTTATTAACTTTGAGAAGTGTGGGTTTACCTAAAGGAAGTTGTATTTGCTTTCTGAGATTTCTACTTAAATATCTAATCCAAACTTTAATTTACTTTTGAAAAAGGAGATGCAGTTTTTAAAAAAACTTGCCCCATGCCCAAGCTTTCTGAATATAGTGAGCTAAAAGATATTTAGAGGGTAGGAGTAACATAGGTTCCTCTGGTGTCTAGTTAGTAACTGATACACTAGCAGTTAATTAGTGTTCTCGAAAGAATGATTGGGAGAAAAATAAAGCATACATAAGCAGAAAATTTTGTGGTTTTTTTGTTGTTTGTTTGTTTGTTTTTGAGACAGGTTCTCGCTCTGTCTCCTATATTGGAGTGCAGTGGTGAGATCTCACCTCACTGCAGCCTCAACCTCCTGGGCTCAAGCGATCCTCCCACCTCAGCCTCCAGAGTAGCTGGGACCACAGGCATGCGCCACCAGCTAATTTGTGTATTTTTTGTAGGGACAGGGTTTTGCCATGTTTCCCTGACTGGAATATTTTTTTTTTCATGACATTTGTTGTTTGTGATTTCCGGTACCATTGAGTCCAACCTCAGTTTCTAGCATTCTACATTTATTCCAGAAGGGATAGCTTCACCATATTGGATAAAATTTGCTGTCACTCTAATTCAGAGTGCTCTACTCTAGCAGACAAAGTAATGTGCCTCCCACTCTCCCGAAGGTAACCCTGTCCAAATCTCTGGAACCTGTGGATATGCCATCTTCCATGGCACAGCTACTTTGCAAATCTGATTAAGTTAATAATCTGGGGATGCAAAAATTACCCTGGATTATCTTAGTGGGCCAATGTAAACCCACAGGATTTATAAGAAGGAGGCAGGAGCATCAGAGTCAGAAAAGGAGATAGGATGACAGAAGAGGTTAGTGACATGTTCTTTGAAGATGGTTGTGGGGTCCATGAGCCAAAGAATACAAGTGGTCTCTAGGATTTGGAAAAGGCAAGGAAACTGATTGTCCCCTGGAGGCTACAGAAAAACTGCAGCCCTGCTGATAACTTGATTTAAATCCTGTAGGACTTATTTTGAACTTTGACCTGCAAAACTATAAGGTAATAAATTTGTCTTGTTTTAAGCCACTACTATTTTGTTAATTTGTTGCAGCAGCAATAGAAAGATAAAACAGCCCTCAGAGTCAATCAGTGAACCCATGAGTGAAGCTAGAGCAAAAAGACACTGGTTCCTTGGACAATTGAGATGGTGGCTCATGACTAACACTATCTGAATCTGTGGTGCTACCTTGAGGAAAGCACGTTACTTTAATGAACATTACCAGCACTTTTTTATTGCCTGTTATTTTAAGTTAGGTTTCCTTAACAGCAGATTTTGAAATGCAAATTTGACTGCACATTGCAGGGTTGAAGGAACAGAGACTGAAACAGAAAAAAAGTCGAAAAAAGACCAAGATGTTTAATGTAAAGTCCTTGCATTAGGCACAGGAGTGGGTGCTGGAGAGGTAACTAGAACACCTTACACACTGGTTTATCTGAAGGCTGGGACATTTATCCACGGCAATTATTCCCTAGTGGTTGAGGGATGCCCTGAGGGTATTTGACTTCCCTACACACTTGGCTACACCCTTAGGTCAGCAGGCTCCTCAGGCTTCAGAGAAAGCCCTGAGACAGAAAGGTGGAGATACTTAAGTGCTAGCTTCAGGTAGGACACTGTTAGCATGGACTACTGTGACAGAAATCACAGGTTAGCCCAGGGGATGGAGTGCAGTACATCCAAAGCATCCAACCTGCTCTTCTTTATAACCTGGTTCTCCAGTTCTCGGCCCTTCTGCACCGTCCAATCGTCTCTTTTTCTTTAGGCAACTCTGTCAGTTTTTCAGAGCTTGCCAACAAGAAGACTAGTTGCTAAACGCTTCCAATGGGATTCTCCCACGGTCCAATCTGTTCTTTATCAAAAGTGTTTTAGTCTTAATCATTTTAGGTTCATTTAACTAAAAATTAAGTGAACTTTATTTCTTGTATAGTGAGAATTACACTTCAGTGTGTGCCCTTATATTTGTTGACTCACTTATATAAGCCCAATGAAAGAGTTTGGATGTTTGTCGTCGCCAAATCTCATGTTGAAATGTCACTCCCAGTGTTGGAGGTGGGACCTGGTGGGAAGTGTTTGGGTCATGGGAGTGAATCCCTCATGATTTGGTGATGTTGCTGTGAGAGTAAGTTCTTCTGAAATCTGGTTATTTTAAAATGCATGACACCTCCCCACCCCTTTGCTCCCACTCTGGCCGTTTGAGACACTTGACCCACCTTCGCCTTTGGCCATGATTCTAAGTTTTTGAGGCCTCCCCAGAAGCCAAGTAGATGTCAATATCACATTTCCTGTACAGTCTGCAGAACCGTGGGCCAATTAATCCTTTTTTCTTCATAAATTACCAGTCTCAGGTATTTCTTTATAACAATTCAAGAGTGCCTAAAACACTCAACATACATTGAAAATGTCAAACAGAATTTAAAACGCCTTTAAATACAAAAATCATAGGTAAATATGACATTGTCTTGTGAATTTTCTATCATGTATCATTACTTATGTTAAAAAGAATAACACTGTATTTTCAAAGCCAGATTGTGGTTATATAAGAAATTTGAAGATACATTAAAGATTACACTGATTTAGAGTAATTTTTGTCACATAGATTCTTTTAATTTTGTTCCATTTTAAACTTTATTGATGCTGATGAAAAGGAACATTAAATTTTCAACTCTGTGAACCACTCCATAAAGTTACATAGACCTGATTTGTGGAAATCCAGCATAGTCAGGTCTAAATGGTCTCTCTTTCTAGCCTAGCCCAGTGTCATTCTGCCACACCCCAGCATACAATGGCAATTAAGCTGTCCTAGGCTGACTCTGCAGTGTGATGCCACATGTGGGAGGCTGTCGGCTCGAATGATTCTTCCCCACATTGTGCCTGTCCTGGGTATCACACACATGCTGTGCACTAATTTTCTTCTGCTTCTCATTTCTCACAGTTCAGATAATTCTACCTCAAAAAAATCCTTCCTCATAAGAACTGCATACTAATTAACCCCTGCTCTCTTCTCTTTGTCTCTTTCAATCCTTGCCTAATTACCTATGAAAATGTTGCTTCTGTTTTATTCATACTCTCCTGGGTTTCAGTGCCTACTCTTTGCCCACTCTTTTTTCTCACCCTTTTCCTCTTCCTCTTCCTTCATAGCTTCATTTCTTTTTTTCTTTTCTTCCAATCATTTTTTTTTAAATCATCTGTGTTAGTCCATTTAGCATTGCTGTAAAAAAATATCAGAGGCTGGGTAATTGATAAAGAAAAAAGTTTTATTTGTCTAGCTGGAAGATGGGACATCTGGTGAAAGCCTCAGGCTGCTTCCATTCATGCCAGAGGGTGAAGGGGAGCTGGTGTGCACAGAGATCGTGTGCCAAGAGAGGAAGAAACAGAGTAGGGGGAGAGGCCAGATTCTTTTAAACAACCAGTTTTTGAGGAAACTAACAGAGTAGGAATTCACTCACACTCCCACACCCAACCCCAACTGGAGGACATTAATCTATTCATGAGGGATCCACCCCTATGACCCAAATACCTCCACTAAGCTCCACCTTCAACGTTGGGGACCACATTTTTAAATGAGGTTTGGAGAGAAAAATATCCAAACAATAGCATCACCCTTTTATCTCTAGTGTTTCACGTTCCCTGGATGTTGAGTCGGGGGAGACTTGGCCCCCAAGGCTCACAGCTTCCTCTGCTCCCCTCCATGGTAAATGCCTCTCAAGGCAATCATGGAGGCCTGAGAGGTCCACAGCATGGGACTTGTTCTTTTTTGAGGGTTTTTGCTTTTGCCAGCTCCTGAACATTTGTTCATTGGGTTTTTGCTTTATTTGCCTTTCTAATGACTATCTATTAAAAATAACATATTTTAAAAGTGGGATAACTTCAAAAATCTCTTCTCCTTTCTCTCTATTAATTTTCCAAATGAATAATCTCTATTGAAACTTTTAATCATCAAAGAAATACTAGTGATAAATTCCTTCAAGGAAAAACAAAACCATAAATGTAGAAATTAATTAATAAACAACTACTGCCATCAAGTTCTAAAAGTCTTTTAAGTATCTAAATCTCATCCTTCCCCTGACACAACCCTCCCCACAAATAAAAATATTTCCTGCGTTTGCTACTCATTAGCTGTGAAGATTTCAAGATGTCATTCAGACATTTTCAAAAGCAGTAATATTTCATAATTCAAGTTAACTGAAATACTTCATTATTGAAATTATGTAAGCTCATGAGGCTTTTGCATATATTGTTCCATTTGCAATGAGAATCTTTCCATATTGCTATTTTCTAGTGATGCTGGTAACTATGCCTGATCCTTTTTAACTTCTGGCTCAATGTCCCACTCTCTGATACTAATCCTGTCATAATTCTTGGTGATTTCATTACCCACATACATTATTTCCCCAACTACCTTGGCCTCTCATTACTTTGAAGTCTTCTCCCCTTATGATTTCATCTTCTACCTAACACCAGCCATCAATTTTCACAGTCAACCTCAGACTTTGACATGAGTAAAAACTGGAAACTTTTCAAAATTTAATACATAAGCATCAGACTCAGGCTGCCACCTCAAATATTTCTTGTTTAATCTTTCCAGAATCCAAAATCATACAACCCTTTTACCCATCAGCATCTACAATACATACATAGGCTTTATCTCATCATCTCTGTCACTCAGTTTCATCCTGCCCTCACATCCTTATTCACCCAGCTTAAAAGATTCCATGACTGGTCATTAAAATCAGTAATATTTATTCACATTCAAACTCCCTGTACCTTTTTCCCATCATCTCACCCAGGGGGTAAAAATGTTCTAGTCAAATTTAGGTCTTTGATCACTCTTTTCCTGCAGAAGCAGAGCTGAAGGTAGCTGGAGGAAAATAACAAACATACTAGCTGGCCCTATTTGACATTCATAATTTCAGTTTATAAGCTTTCCCTTAGTGCTACCTAACAAATCCCCTGTAGGCCTCTAGTCCATTCCTCTCAATGAGAATTTTATTCCTTTCCTCTTTCTGCAACCCTGAAACATAGTCTCAGGTCATAAGACAACACTCAATAGTAATGCTGAGTATTTTATTTTATTTTATTTTATTTTATTTTATTTTATTTTATTTTATTTTATTTTATTTTTATTTTACTGAGAAAAGGGGAACATTCAGAATAAAATGTCCACATGCTCCCATCAATTATATTAACCAACTTTCATCTGAATCTCTATATTTCTTCTTTGCTTCCATAAGAAGGAGTAATGTATCTCATCTCCTTAAACCAAACTTTTCACCTGAGCACGATGTAGTATACATGGTGACTATCTGATCTCATTGCATAATAATCTGATCAAGTCTACCCTCTGATAAAGATCTTCCAATAACTTCCCATCTCAATAAAAATAAAAGCAAAGTACTTCCAACATTCCTAAGTTGCCTTGAGAAGATCTGGGCCATGGCCAGCAGAAGTTCTCATTTGTCCACTTCATCACACATGTTGGTTTCTTTGACATTCTTTAGATTTATCAAACACATTCCAAGTTCTGGTATTTGTATTTGCTGTTCTTTAGGGTATTTTACAGCTTCTTTCTTGGTGCATTTTACATCTTTCCACAGCTATCTCCTTCAAAGAAGCGCTTTTCTGATTAACCATAAAACGTGGATTCCAAACACACTAACTCATTCTTACTTCACTTTAATTTTCTGTGCAACATATCCATTTAACTTTTTATTTGTTTATTGGTTTCCTCCTCCTCTCTACCACTACTACATGCAAAATACTAGAATGTAAGCTGCATGAGGGCTGATGTCTCTCTCAAGCATTAACTTCTGTATTCTCAATATCTGGAATCCACACTGGGATTTTCAATGTGTTAAGTGACTGACTAAATGAAGGAATAAATTGTCAGAGAACCGAAGTGAAGTTCCCCAAAATATATTACTGTATTACTCATTTCAAATTTCCCAAAGTGCTGAATTTTAATGCCATTTTTAACCTATCTTTAACTTACTTAAATCTTAAACACTGAAGTTGAGACTAAATAATCTGTACTTTTCTGTTTTTTTCCTTTTTACATGTCTAGAAGATTTGTAGACAAATATGTTTTGTGAAGCATTTGTCTACAGGATTAAATCCAAATCTGATAGCCTAATGTAAACTGTTTTTTATGACCTAATCCTTGCTTACCTCTTTGTCAGCCTCATCCTCAATGATTCCTCATTAGATAACATGTTCTCCAAGCATACTGATCCGTTGGGTTGAATATCCACTTGACTTACCATATGTGATGATTTTCATCTACATTTCTATCTGTGCAAATCCTTAATGCATACTTGACTCTTCTTTATTCTTCAAATAAAATGTCCATATGCTCCCATCAATTATTTCTGAGAAAAAGAAGTCAATGAGGATGATTTTACATATCTTGCATGCTACCATTTGATAACCAAGATGAAGGAAGTGGATAGGGATTTTTGAGGGAGCTTAAGTATTTATATAAAGCCTGTGGGTGTGACTTATGCTCTAAGTTGATAAAATTGTCCATAAAACTGTGAAAACTTGTGTCAGCAGTCATATTGTGATATGCACACATTAGCTGGATTGTTAGGTATAAGTACTTATCTTTATTGAGATCATTTTAAACATTAAAGGAATTTATTGAAAGGATTTAGGCAATTCACAGCTTCCATAACAGCGGTGCACTTAGCTTGGAAAATCAGGCAGATATAGAACATGACTAAGAAAGTAGTCATGGAAAATCAGTACATCTGGTGAGAACTACTATTACCACTGCTGGATACCATGTACCATAGCTTGCATTGTAGACGCTGCCAGCACTTGGCAGCACCATTTGGAAAGTACCCTTGGAAACTCAGTATTGCTACCACTTCCATAGCTACCCGCTAAGATGAATTTTTTACTATCCTTGTTCTTGTATCACTAGATATTGAATATACATGCTAGATGGATGCATTTGATTGGCTAAGTCATGTGTTTTCACTATGTAGGAAGAATTGCCTGAATGAGCTATTACAGTAACAGATGAATTCTCCTCCCCAATAATACTTATTTACACAGTGGGGGGGATTTCAAAATGTGGGGGAGATTCAGCATTTAGATACTGGACAGGCAATTATATGACAATTGGCCAATATCATTTAAAAAAATTAAGTTTCCAGCCAGACGCGGTGGCTCACACCTATAATTCCAGCACTTTCAGAGGCCAAGGCGGGTGGATTATGAGGTCAGGAGTTCGAGACCAGCCTGGCCAATGTGGTGAAAGCCCATCTCTACTAAAAATACAAAAATTAGCCAGGTGTGGTGGTGGGCGCCTGTAATCCCAGCTACTCAGGAGGCTGAGGCAGGAGAATTGCTTGAACCCAGGAGGCAGAGGTTGCAGTCAGCTGAGATCATGCCACTTCACTCCAGCCTGGGTGACAGAGCAAGACTCCCTCTCTGAAAAAAAAAAAAAAGTTTCCGATTATGACTACATTTGAAGGTTCTGATTTATTTCCAAGGACTGAGGTATGGCAGATCTACCATTTTCTGGCTATGGAAATCATAAGACCTCATATGCTTCTCTCTGAGCTTTATTAAGCAGATATTACTTTGGTGCAAAAGTAATTGCGGGTTTTGCTATTGAAAATATGGCAAAAACCGCAACAACTTTTGCACCAATGTAATAGTTTCTTAGTTTTGGTGAGCTTCTAACATAAACAGGAGTTTCTGTAACATACCTACTTATCTGCCACCTCTGTGCATTTTCCCTGACTTTCCACTTTTCCTGCTAGTGTTCGGGATACATCTAACTTCTCTTTCCTTCTTACACCATCTGAGACTTTGCATTATTTGCAAGGCTTTTCATGATACCTAGAAGCTGACCAGCTGCACATAGCTCTCCACTCACAACATATCCATCATGCAACTTCCGTATAGCACTTACCACATAGTCTTAAATGTACTTTTATTATTGTGTGTCTTCCCCTGAAGAGTCCACAACTTGAAAACAGTGATATCTCCTTCATAATTGTATCCTCAGTACTGCAAACCGAGTCTGAAATATTTAGAGGCACTCTATAAAAAATGCTTATTGCATAAGTCAGAATTTGAAAGGGAAACATATCCTGTTGGATTGTCCTGGGTCTATATTTGTCACTGGTGAAGAAAAAATATACAATTATCAAGAGTGGGATGGGGATTGGGGAGAAACTCCTAAGCAAAATAATTGACAAGTTAGTACTTTTATGGGAAGCAGGTCAACTATATTCCAAATTGTTTCTTACCTGATTAAATTTTATTACTCTGCCTTTTTCTGTGTGTTTAAACTGAACTGAAATACCAGAGGAAAAATATTCAAAGGAAATAATTCAAACATAATTATTTGCCAGTAACTTTATGCTTGGAATTATTTTCCTATTGATCTATTATATGTTGTACGGGGAAGAGAAAGTTTGCCATGAGACAGTACATCATGCTGATTATTGATCTGTTGTGATGTACTGCCTCATCCACTCAAAGTGTTCATTTATGAAGGGTGCATTTCCACCAGCAGGGCCACTTTTGTGCTAAACTCCTAAAGCTTCATGAATCTCTTAAAAATCGCTTTCTTCAATGAACATATATTATGACTACACAGATGTGGCTCCTAATGGAATTTCCAGAAGCTGCACTTCAGAAATGCAGCTAGTACTAAAAAAAATGCACATAAAGATTTGAGAATGAAGTTTAAGAATCATAAACTTTGCAGACTATTTATTCTCTCTAATATGCTCAGATCATGCTTGATTATCTCTTGGAAACCAGGATAAATATCTCTTCAAATGAAATTAGTCTACATTTTGACTGTAAGTGATACGTGTCTAGAGCCTGTCCAAGGCTCATTTACATTGGTACATACATTTTCATTGAAAATAAATTAATGTGGCTCCCACATTGTGCCTTATAATTAGTAGATGATTATAAATGTTGTGTTTTGTATGGTTTGCATTAAATCTTAAGTCACATTTCAGGCAGAATTTTCAAAATAGCTATTTTCTCCTTCAGTTCAAAATTTAAAAAACAATAAATTTAGAGATATTTTAAAAAATTGTTTCAAGAAAAAGATACATATCAAGAGTTCATATACACTTGCCTATTAAATGTTGTGCTATGACATACTACACTGTGTGCATTTATGGCAGCATCACTTCTTTAGTACAGACATTGTATATCCTTCTATTTATAGTTCTAGTAATTTAAAGGTATAACCTACCATAGCACCCTGAAGAGTCTGTTCTAATCCACATGCTGCTCTATTACTGCAACAAAAAAATTACTTTGCCAAACAAACCAATACATTGCTTTCTCTGGTCTCAGGGTTTATTCTCCAAAAGACTACAGAAAACCTTATCATCTCAAATTCTCCTATCTGTGACACTGATGATTGTCACAATCCAAAGGTCCAGGGCATGTGAGATGGACAAAAAAGCCTAAAGCAACATCTAATTATGTTATTGTTTTTTCAACTACATATATATGTGTGTTTATATATATATGTGTGTGTGTGTATATATATATATGTGTGTATATATATGTGTGTATATATATATGTGTGTGTATATATATATGTGTGTGTGTATATATATATATATATATATATATATATATATATATAAAACCTCTTCATATTATAAAGAAGAATAAAAAAGCTGACTGCAATTTGTTTTCCTAGTTTAGGTTTCCAAATAGAATGTTAAAATGTATATAGCTGTGGGGAGGAGAGGTTACTCAGGAACATAAAAGTAAGTCAATGTACTAAAGAAAGAATATTATCCAGCCAAATTAAGACCTAAGTTACCCATCTGAAAGCCAGCTAGTGACACCAAAAATATGGGATGCCATGTATGCTCCAAGAAATAGCCAATAAAATACACCAACTTATAAAGGCCAACTGACTCTATTAATTATTTCATATAAACAGGTGTATATATATTTACTTGAAAACAGGAAACATTTATGACTAATTCATATCCAGATTGTTTAAATAATAGAAGATTTTACTCTACATTCTAAATTAAACTAAATTTCGATCATGGAAAAAATAGAAAAGTAAACTTTGCTAAATATTTGAGACGTCAATGCAAACTTTTAATATTATAAACCCACATATGTTGTAATATCACTAAATTGTCAGTGTAAACTGGATATAAAAATAATTCGAAAGCAATCTTGTGATGGCCTTTCTAAACATTGATGAAAAAGATTTTAAAAATTGGGTGCACACCCAATAAATTAACCTATTTCCAGAAAAATAGCCTTAATGAAACAAAAATGACAATTTGGGGAAAAATATTTTAGCATTAATGACAAATATATCAACATTAATCTGTCAGAGGACAAAAGTAAAATTAAATGCGTGTGCATGTGCATGCACACACACACACACACACACACACACAGGGAGATACAAGTCAGAATATCAAGGTAATAACATTATCAGAAAGATTTAAACCTGAGATCCACATCTGAAAGTCAATGAATATTATCAAAATATGAGGCATCCTCTTTTTCAAAACAATTAACTAATTAAAAAAAGCTGCTAAGATAAGAAGGATTTGTTGACCTGTTGGAATGTGTTAATGTATATGGACACACATAACTGCCTATGTATTACGTACATATGTACATATGTACAAACACACATATGTATATATATGCACAAATTTAGAAACATAAGTGTGTTTATGTGTGTGTTTATACTCACATACAAACATTCCCTAAAGTGAAAATAGCTAATGCAAATATTGAAATTTAAACTGTGGTGATCGTTGCACAACTCAGTGTGCTAAAAGCTAAAATACATTGATTTGGTTTGGTAAATAAATAATTTGCATACTATATGAATTACATTTCATTACAGTTTTTGTTTGTTTGTTTGTTTTTTGAGATGAAGTCTCGCTCTGTTGCCCAAGCTGGAGTGCATGGCACGATCTCACCTCACTGCAATCTCTGCTTCTTGGGTTCAAGAGATTCTCCTGCCTCAGCCTCCTGAGTAGTTGGGACTACAGGCACATGCCACCATGCCTGGCTAATGTTTTGTATTTTTGGTAGAGATAGGATTTCACCATGTTGGCCAGGCTGTTCTCGATCTCCTGATCTCAGGTGATCTGCCCACCTTGGTTTCCCAAAGTGCTGGGATTATAGGCCTGAGCCACCGCGCCCAGCCTCAATAAAGAAGTTGGTTTTTTTTGTTTTGTTTTGTTTTTTTGAGACAGAGTCTCACTCTGTCACCCAGGCTGGAGTGCAGTGGTGTGATCTCGGCTCACTGCAAGCTCCGCCTCCCAGGTTCAAGTGATTCCCCTACCTCAGCCTCTCAAGTAGCTGGGACTACAGGTGCCCACCACCATGCCCGGCTGATTTTTTGTACTTTTAGTAGAGACAGGGTTTCACCGTGTTAGCCAGGATGGTCTCGATCTCCTGACCTCGTGATCTGCCCACCTCGGCCTCCCAAAGTGCTGGGATTACAGGCATGAGCCACCGTGCCCAGACTTTTTTTGGTTTTTTAATAAAGAAAATGGTAACTCCTGAGTTTCCACTTCTTGAAATCTCAAAAAAGATAAGCATCCATAAGTGGTAAAAAGTTTACCATAAACCCTAAAGACAATAAATTGTGAGAATTTTAATAGGAAACTATTGGAATCTGGAAAGGAGGTGGAAGACAGAAAATTATTCAGTGGAGCTAAGGATGTTGAGTCAGAGCTAGCAGTAAGGAAAATCAAAAAGTAAACTGATTTACTCACAGAATCTTCAGGAATTGAAGGAATTGGGATACCCTAAAATGTCACAGAAATTTGTCTTACAAAGTAATGTTTTAGAGTTTAAGAGATAGTTGAGTACTCAGATCTCTTCCCATTGATCATTGCTAGGAAACGATTTCACTCACATCCGAGGAGATAACTGGAAACTTATTCTTTGAACAATGTCAAAGAAAAGATTTCTGAAATAAGGGACAAAAGGCATAGCTTGGGAGGATGTACTCAGACATCCAAGCCAGCCTTCCTCCCATTCTCAGCATTCAGAATAGAGATGATTTCACACACACAAAAAAATCTCATTAAGATTCTGGGGAAAATAAGTAAATACATCACATCTATGAAAAAGAATAGACACATACATCTTTCTGAGAAAAAATTAGACTTTGTGGAATTAAAATTACAATAGTGCAACTAAAAAATAATTCAACAGAAAAGTTAGCAGGTAAAATTGAAGGGAAAATAACTGAAAATAGAGCCAAATTTAAAAAGTGCAAAATATCAAATAAAATAACTATATTTGTCAGTGGAAATGCTTTTATTCAATTTTGTACATTATCAAAAGCGTTGATGTCTTAGTCACTTAAACTCATGCTCTAGACGCTGCATGCACACAAAAACAGGAGCTCAGGCCCGTCTACCTCTTCTCGACTTGTTCTTTCTCCAGCTTAGCATGTCCATCTCACTATGATTCCAGAGCCCACAAGTGTGTGTGTCCTATTTTCTCTCTGTTTCACCCACAGATCACATGAGTTCTACTGGAAGAGATTTTTCCCAAATGAATATTCATAAAGATGCCACAAGATGTTCCCATTAGACAACCTCTGAGTGTTTTGCTTTCTTAAAAAAAAGGAGGAGTTGAATAGCTCCTTTAAGCTTATTTTCCCTGTATTCTTAATTACATTAAATACCCAACAGCAAAGACTTGGAGCCAACCCAAATGCCCATCAGTGATAGACAGGATAAAGAAAATGTGGCACATACACACCATGGAATACTATGCAGCCATGAAAAAGGATGAGTTCATGTCCTTTGCAGGGACATGAATGAAGCTGAAACCATCATTCTCAGCAAACTAACACAAGAATAGAAAACCAAACACCACATGTTCTTGCCCATAAGTGGGAGTTGAACAATGAGAACACATGGACACAGGGAGGGGAACATCACATGCTGGGGCCCGTCGAGGGGTGGGGGTTAGGGGAGGGATAACATTAGGAGAAATACCTAACATAGATCATAGGTTGATGGGTGCAGCGAACCACTATGGCACATGTATACCTATGTAACAAACCTGCACGTTCTGCACTTGTACCCCAGAACTTAAAATATAATAAAATAACATTTAAAACAAAGTTTACACATGAAGATTTGGAGTTACAACATCTGAATATTAGGAATATATGCAAACACACCACATTATGACTTTTTAGAACATTGTAGACCCAAAGAACCTCTTTTGAGCTCCAGAGAAAGAGATAAAACAAAATGAAGCAAAATATTTGTAGAGTCAAGCATCAGAATGACATTTGAATTTTAGGTAGTAACATTCAGCAGAGGAAATACAACAATTTCATCCTTTAATGCTTGTAAACTTTCATTCACACAACTAGTAAAATTGTACCCTCCAGATGACTGTATAAATTTTTTTTAGGCTTCATTCTTTTAAAATAGGCAATGGTTGACAATGGTGGTCATTTCCTTCT
Organism: Homo sapiens; assembly: GCF_000001405.40. Taxonomy (NCBI): domain Eukaryota; kingdom Metazoa; phylum Chordata; class Mammalia; order Primates; family Hominidae; genus Homo; species Homo sapiens. The sequence continues at coordinate 31,750,103 of NC_000004.12, read as the reverse complement.
TACAATTCTTATCTTTCATCTACTTCTTCTTGAGGACATGTATCATTAAAATGGCTAAGTTTTGCTACAGGAACAATAACTAATATTTTATTGGCTTACAACAACAAAGGTTTATTTCTACTTTTGCTACACCTCTCCATGATTCAAATTTAGCTCTGTGTGATGTGATCACTCAGGAACCTGGTGATGGGGCCTCCTCTACATAGAATAAGAAATATGAAGGACAGCCTGGGCAACAAAACAAGGACCCATCTTTACAAAAAAAAAAAAAAAAAGGATAGCCTGGCAGGTTAACATGCATCTCCTGGTGGGTTAGCGTGCATCTGTAGTCCCAGGTAATCAGGAGGCTGAGGCAGGATGATCTCTAGAGCCCAGGAGTGTGAAGGGACAATGAACAATGATTGCACTACTGCACTCCAGCCTAGGTGAAAGAGTGAGACCCAGAGAAAAAAAGAAGAGAGAAAGAGAGAGAGAAAGAAAGAAAGAAAGAAAGAAAGAAAGAAAGAGAAAGAAAGAAAGAAAGAAAGAAAGAAAGAAAGAAAGAAAGAAAGAAAGAAAGACGGAAAGAAAGAAGGAATGAAAGAAAATGAAGGAGGGAAAGAAGGGGAGAGAGAAAGAAAGAAGAAAGAAAAGGAAGGAAGGAAGGACGGAAGAAAAAGAAAGAAAGAAAGAAAGAAAGAAAGAAAGAAAGAAAGAAAGAAAGAAAGAAAGAAAGAAAAAAGAAAAAGAGAAAGAAAGAAAGAGAAAGAAGAAAGTGGAGAGAGGGGCAGGAAGGCAGGAAGGGAGGGAGGGAGGGAGGGATGGAGGGACAGAGGGGAGGAGGGAGGGAGAGAAGGGAAAGAAAAGAAAATTGAAATTTGAAGTAGCACATACATGCCAGTTTGTAAAGCTTCCATCCAAGAGTACTATGTGGCACTTCTACACAAAGTTCACGGATTAAAGGAAGTCATGTCTGTGTTCAACATGGTGGGAATTTGTAATCCTCCCCCTTGGAGGAGCTTTAAATCTTTATAGACATTGGTAGTGTCTATTGGATTGACATATCTACTTCTCAATAAAAAGCCCTATTTCTATATAATTATGTTGTCTCAGACTCACCATATCAAAGAATTAACTTTTCAACTCTCTCTTTAAAACAAGTTTAAATTTTGCCACAAGGTCAATTTCAATCTTTATTATTTGTTAATGGCACATTATTTTAATCGTTCACACATTGATGAAGCCCGTTTTTTTTCAGTATTCTAAATTTCAGGACAATGTATGACTCCATTTATTCTACCTCTAAAATAACCATCATCTTTATATTTATAACCATTAAAACAAAAAGAAAAATAACTCCTAAAAATGAAGGAAAAATTCATGTTTCATTTTCTATGTGCCAGGTACACAATTTTTTAAACATTTTGATGGTAGCAGTGGCACATCTTGGAGCAGCCACTGCAGGGACACCAGCTGCAGTTGGAGAAGCATGGGCAGGGCTGTGTGCTCCACATTGCTGATGGGAGCCAGGAGCAGGCAGGAGCGCTGCCCCCTACTGAGTCATCTGGGAGGGAACCCTGTGCTCTTAGGCGCAGCTGCAGCTGCCCAGCCGTGGCTCCAGACCCTGGCATCCCTGAGCTCTCAGGGGCCCAGGAAGCCCTCCTACCTCCACAGACTTGGAAGTACCTGCTTCTGCTCCCTGGTCTCTCCCCACTCCTGGCACCTGCTCCCCAGTGGAGCAAAGATGTGGCCGAGCCCTGGTGCTGTTGCAACCCAGGCAGTGTGCATGCACTTGGTGCAGCGCTAACATGCCAGCAGCGCCCTGATGCCTTAGCTCACTCTGGGCACTGATGAGCATGTGAGGGAGGTGGGGGAGGGGGAGCTGAGGGCAGCTTAGCATGGGCCCGGAGGCATCCCTCAGTGAAAACAGCCTGGGCACCGTGGAGGCATGTTGAAAGTGGGAGGCAAAGAGGTTCCTGGGCAGAAAGAGGCAGGTCCCTGGTGAAACCTCACCCTCAAACAAGGGATGGCCTGCAGCCTGGTCCTGGGCTGCCAGTTCTGGCAGTTCTGAGCAGGAGTGAGAACTAACAATGTTTTTTTCCAGGCCTGCCCATGGCCAGTCATAGACTAATCAGCACACACTTTTGCTTTTCTGAGCCCACAAAAACCCCTGGACTCAGCCAGACTCAGATATATGGGACTACCAGCTACAGGAAGGAGCTACCCACTTTAGATCTCCTCCACTGTCAGGATGACACTCCTGAGGAAAGGAGCTGCCTAGTTCTGGTGCCTGAGGAAATGAGCTACCTACTGCAGGTCTCCTCTCCTCTGAGATCTGGACACTCACTGGGACGACCTGCTGGCGGAAAGGAGCTACCCACTTTGGGTCTCCTGAGAGCTGTTCTGTCACTCAATGAAGCTCCAAGGGCAGCCTGCTGGCCAAGTGGGCAGAAGGAGTCCAGCAGGTACAAGCAATACTCAGGCAGAAGGCTCCACTCGCCACAGAGGTTTCCAGCTGGTGAAGCGACACTCCAAGGATCCTGTGACAATTTTGTATAAAACATGTGATATGGTTGTCATAAAAACTAAAGTATTATTGTAATCTCCTTGTGACACAAGATGAACTGATAATTACTCCCTTCATTTATGGTATAACCACAAATTTGTGTCTGTCTTGTCTGTTTCTGTATGCACTCTTGAGAGCTGCCTCACAGCTCTCATAATTTGCAGTCTAACAAATGAATCCCCAAAACAAAAGAAACCAAAACACTGAGAGATGAATTCTCCAAAATACTATTTTCCCCTGATATCATATCCTACTCCAAATCCTTCATTGGCTTTCATACCCACCTGTGTTAGATATGAGCTTTACAATGCCACATTGAAGATCCTCCAAAATACGACTGTAAATTCAATTCCTTTCCATTTGTGTCTTATTACACTTCAACTTGCACTGACTTTCAACTGCTCTTTTCTAAACATATTGCCTACATCCTCAACATTGCTTAACATATTGCTCACTTAAAACATCTTTTCTTAATTGCCTCTGAAATCTCATTCATTAGAAATACTCATAATTGGAAGTTAAACTAGTAAATAAAAATAATAAAATCATGGTTTATATTTAAATTTTTATGCATATACGTGGTATAAACCATTATGTATTATTTCATTATCTTATTTATAGTTTTGCTTTTCAAAAATTTAGTGCCATTATGACATACTTCTTATATTTTATAGAAAGAAATAAAAATTAAAATGTTATTCATTTTTCAAAATTTTCTTTCAAAGGAACTGACTTTCAGACTTTTCAATTAATCACAGAAATGTTAGGGAATCAAAGATACTCTTTTTTGTTTTCTATTACTTAAATATTTGTTCCATTCTCTGTAAATGATCTCAAGATTCTTAAGAAAAAGGGATATTTTGCCTCTCTACCTAAACATTCTCTGTTTTTTAATGTAAGATATCATGTTAAGACGTGGGTCACAAAATATTGACAGAATATAACTTTAATGAATTCAATAAAATATAAGCAATTAATAAATATGAAATGATCAGATGGTTCATTTTGTAAGGACAAAGAAGAATAAATATATTTCTTCTTTAAGTGGAATATTGACTAGAATTGACAGAAATTAAGGAGTAAAATTAACAATTCAAAAAATGATATAATGTTGTATGTTGACATAAAGGGAGTTAAAAGTGATTAATTAGTTTAAATTAAAGTTATTTAAATAGACACATAAAAGTATTTAAATAAAAGCTAGGACATTCTTTTAAGACCAATTCAAATAAATGAAGTACCCAGTGTGTCAGTATTTTTAATGTGAACTTTTCTCTGTAATTGAAAAGGATTTGTTCATTTGAGAGAAATAAAAAAGAAAAATAAGCAGAATTGAAAGATTTTACAGAGCACCATGAAATAAACGACAGAAACAGTGATTCACATACACTCCCCATATGTTAATTTACATATGAGTAGCATGTGTTGCATATATCAAATTTTGTGACATTTATTTCAGGAAGCATTGTAAAACTTTCAACTCTGGTTACAGCATTCACTTTGAATTTTATCTCAATGATGGTGTCATTGCTCAATGGAGAAATCACACAGAAATTACTGCATATATTTTCTGTTCGTAACACATTAAGATTACATGAAGTTGTATATTTTTACATGTGACATTATCCCTTGTTAGTTGCATATCAAATATGATGACACTGAAACAAATGAAACAAATATGTGTAATGTTTCTTGCTACTTCATCAACTTTAAAGGTATATCTGCCATTAAAAAAAGTATTAAAGTATTGAGAGTTTTTTTTCTGGATGATAATATATTAAGTAGGGTGAAAAATATGCAATTAAGTCACATTCTGAAAATTATTTTAAAAATATTTAATAATTTATATATTTTACATTTTAAAATATAAGTATTTCCAAGTAAACTTTATAAAATCAGAGCTATTAAAATTTTATTTTTTCACATTAAATTTTATTTAAAACTAAATGTATTTCTGAGTTATTGAAAAGACCATATGCTATAAGGTATTAAATATTTAGTAATTTATTGTCATTAAATGACCAAAAACTTCGTTTTAGGACTTAATACCCCCAGCCTGCAAAAGGAGTAGAAAGTAATTATATATTTCTTATTAAAGTCCTTTTATGACCATTTTCAGCATTGTTTTTTAAAAATGTAGTTTTTAAGTTATATGCTATAGGGAAATCAGAGTTTAAAACAGAAATATTAACAGCTACACTAAAATCCGTTGTGGTGACATGACTAGAAATCTATAATTACCCAAATGCTTTATAATTATGCCTTCCAAGCCACTTGTTCAGTTTCGCTTTCTTTGAGCATAAAGTAGTATCCTGATTCAAAAGAAATGATATTTGGTACTATTCAAGGATTAGTAGGGGTTTAAATGTTAATACTCTGAAACACTATTTCTTCTGAAGAATTCTCATTTAAATTCTTACAGAGGCCCTCCGAGTATATGCTGTGCTTAAAAAGGGCATTTGTGGAAAAAATACTATCTTGGGAATGCAAAATGCAACACACCACAGTAATCTTTGAACATTACAGCACTCTGCCTTTTACAGTGTTCTGAATACAGCTAGCTCAGTAAATACTGCATAACTGATATATTTTGCTTGAGCAAATATTTAGCAGAAGGTAAAAATGTCTTTTTATTCCCTCCTTAATGATGTATATAAAAAAATTAAATATAATTTTAGAATTGGTAAAAGAAGAGGTCAACTTTCTTCATATTAAGATGTAAGATTAAAAAAGTTAAAATGAAATTCATTTTGAGCAAATGAAAAGTCAGTCTCTCTCTCTCCCTTTCTCTCTCTCTCTCTCTCTCTCTGTCTCTGTGTGTGTGTGTGTCTTTCCCTCCCTTCTTCCTTGTTTCCTCTGGCTTACTCCTTCCTTCATCTTTTCCTTCTTTTTCCTTTTATTATGTTTGGTTTTGTTGCTTGCAATATAAACAGAAGCATAGAAACTTGATTCAAGCAGAGGCATTCTCTGAAAGAGAAATGTTCATTTCACATGGATTAAAAAAAGTGACTACTTAATTTTCACTTAACTCTTTCTCATTTATAGTTCTCTGAAAATGTATTATAATTTTCAATTTTTGTGGGCCTTAGAAAGTGAACATTTATTGAGAAAATTAGTTCTTTTCTTAGTTCTTCAATAGTTTGTTTCATAATTTAGGTTTTGCTCTGCTCTGAGATTAATAAATTCTCCAAGCAGCATTCCAGGCAATGGCTACTCTGGGGACACTTTTGAGAATTTGGGGATCCTTGGATATGTTATACTGGAGACTTGTGTCTGGGCCTTTGCCTTTAACCATGGGCCAATTGGTATATATGACCAATTGATTTCTAGATAATCCACGGGTTTCAAAAGCCAATGCGTGCCTCTAAGCCCCAATTACGTTAGGTTGGTTGGTTAGTCAGTTTCAGTCCAGCCTGAAACAGACATGCCATATAGTTTTAGAGTTAAAAATGACACATTATGGCCAGGCACAGTGGCTCATGCCTGTAATCCCAGCACTCTAGGAGGCCGAGGCGGGCAGATCACTTGAGATCAGGAGTTTGAGACCAGCCTGGCCAACAAGGCAAAACAAGGCAAAACCCCGTCTCTACTAAAAATACAAGAATTAGCCCAGCACGGTGGTGCACGTCTGTAGTCTCAGCTACTGGGGAGGCTGAGACATGAGAATCACTTGAACCTGGGAGGCAGAGGTTGCAGTGAGCTGAGATCGCACCACTGCACTCCACATTGGGTGACAAAGACTCTGTCTCAAAAAAAAAAAGTAAATAAAATAAAAAAAATTAAATGATACATTGTATAGTTTCTTCTGTTTATACATAAGGGCACCGAAGTCCAGTTTTGTTAAAGAACACATCCAAGGTCACAAAGCTGGTTAATGACAGAGTTAGGTTAATAGTAAATGTCGTGACACCTAATTCATTGTACTTCTTTTTCCCACACTCTTAAAATCTTTTCCAGTTTCTACATTAAATGTAGAACTAAAGATTGGTCCATGAAAGCCAGTAGCTGAAAACTTTATACTGAAATAATTCTCATTCCTGGGACAGCATATATTTTAATAAGACAAGTGAAAGGGTCTTTAAATGTTAATCACCTACCTCAGCTCAGCAAGACTCAGCAGATCCATGGACTGTTAAGTAAAGTAACCACTTATTTGACCATCTGTAATGGTGGTTATCAGTTATAAAATTTGGTTTAGGAGAAACTGGCATATGCCAAGTTATTAACAGCAACTTTTATCCCTTATCTACAAGTAATAGCTTTTGTTTCCTTCTAAATTGTTCTGCACACTCCTGTCAAAGACAGCACAGTATTATCTTCTCATAGTGTAGAATCTCCCAGTCCTAGTATTTCTTATGTCCATGTTTTCATTGAGTCTGACAATTATCTCTTTGAAATTATCAGATGAGGGAGAGATATACTTCTTAACTTACTGTACTTACATATGGCTCATGAGAAAATAACATAATCATATATTCTAAATGACAATCTGGCTAAATCTTAAATGCAGACAATGAAAAATTTGGTTGATTCTTGAATCCAACTAGCCAAAATTGTATGGCTATGCTACCAATATCATCTAAATTACTTGCCAAAAAGAAAAACAGCAGCACAAAACAAGGCTAATACATGAAAGTACTCTTTGCCCTTTCTCACTATTTAGGATTTTTGACACCCTATGAAGAAACAAATTGAGACACTAGTACTAATCCCAAAAGGTAAGACAATCTCACTTGCAGAGTAATGCCTAGTGAGCAGTGTTCCAAAGGTAAGTGTAACAATGAAATATGGCTGTTGTCACTAGACAGCATGAAGACAATGAACCTAATGTTGATGAAGAACAAGTGTTCTGTGTCACTGAAATCTTGACCAAAGACTGTCTAAATAAAATACATGACCATTTTGCTCTACTCTTTTATTTTTGTTCCTCACCCACTTTCATAAATCAAACCTAATCAGAACATAAAGCATTCATGATTTAAATACAGTAACAATAATGAATCTGATTCTTCCACCTCAAGGTAAATTTGACAAAAATTATTGGGAGTTTTAGGGGATGTCGAGAAAAATATAATTCTTGGATTTCAAAGAACTGATGGTTACATTTTACACAATTCCCAGCATAATGCCTTAAACACAAGGAGATACACAAAACTATAAATATTTATTGAACAAGTTAATATGGATGTCGAACCTGTGTTCTAATGCTACTTATAACACCAAGTTTATCTTCAATTCGATATAAACACTCCTCTTCAGGACAAGTTGTTTATCGATACTTTTCTCCATACCTCTTTATTTTTTTCCACCTTTGTAATTTGGTTCTCTTTAATGTACTTGATTCTCTTAAGTATTCTGCCTATCTAAATCACAACACTTTTTTTTTTCAAAATTCAGCAAATCAAAATTATTCATTAAACCTTTCCTGTCTCTTCAAAATTGAAATCGCAGAAGAGTGCTGCCTCAACCAAGTTGTCAAAATATAAATAAATTCATCTTATGAGACACATACTCTTTGTGTGTTCCTCATTGCTTATATTATGTGTGTTCTGTAATAATTTCTTTTTATTTTTATTACAAGATATATAGGATATGTGTATATAGTGAGTTCCGTTAGCAAATACTAACCATTCATTAGATATTCATTGGATATTCATGCTTTGAAATATTTTGTGCCACTTGAGTATGCATGGGAAAGAAAGGGTCATTGCAGAGATTACCTGTGATGACCACATACGTAGAAACTTTACCTTGTCTGAGATAATGTCCTATTTGATATTTTAATTTTTGGACATTCATAAGTAGGTCTGCTATAAGAATCTTGGTGTCAAGAATTCTTAATTAAATAAACACACACAGATTAGAAAGACAAATTCACTAGTGGTGAAAAAGTGATAAGCATCTGGAAGCATCTGTTGCTACTCACTTGATACTGGATCACATTCCTTCAGTGGTGTCTCTTTGCAACTTTTGTTGTCACAGGTTTCTGGTGTGTCAACTTTGGAAGAAAACTGAAAGGGAATCTTGGTTCATCCACTTCCCTAGCATTTTGCAAACTTGTGCAAGAGAACACTTGTGACTCATGATCAAGTAATCCAAAAATATACTGTATGGACAACTAAGCTTAAAGAATTGTGTGCACCCATACCCCTGTTGAAGATTCATGATGTCTACACTGGCATCAAGGGTCCTGAGATGTATTTTTATTTTATAAAAACATGTAGAGCCTGACATGTTGGATACAGAAACTATTCTAAATCTTAATATTAATCCATTTAAACTTAGAACAAACCTGAGAGATAGCTGCTATTATTAATTCCATTGTGTATATGAGGGGATGAGAGGTTAAATAGATTTTTCAAGGTCAAAGTCTAGGATCCTAGGTAGAGCTGGGATCTGCAGCCAGGCCTCTTCTGGCTCTTACTGTCCAAATTTCTTCTCATCTAAACCAAACTGCAAATTAATGTAAACTCCTTCCACAGATTTATAGCCTGAACTGTCAATATCCTCTGTAAATGAGTTTTCCAATGTTGAAGCTAGTTTTCCATGCAAGTCAGATTTTTAAATAACAATTATTATTCAATTATCTCTTAACTGAATATTGAAGAAACTATAGAGATGACTACAGTTGTAGCTTATAGGTGACACCTAGCTAATTGTGGGTGTATGACTTTAAGAAAATCAGTCTTTGGTAGCATTGGTCCTACTTTGCCATAGGGAAACAATGAGCCAGGGAAAAGAATGTAAACTTTGGATTTTTTTTCATAGTACCTTTTAATCTTATATCTGGTTCTGCACCCATTTTTATGCATGTATATGTATGTACACGTGTACGTATGCACACACAGCTTACACGGTGTTTTAAAATTTTGAGTGAAAATTTACAAATCAGGAAATATCTATGTCTATATCTATATCTGTATCTATCTATCTATCTCCATCTCAATTTATCAACTACCCTTTCTTTAAAGCCCTCCCTGATCAGTTCAAAATAAAGTAAACTTTAGCAGGTAAACTGAAGTAGCTTTATGTCTGTTTTTGGCAATTTCACGTACATAATGATTCTGCATCCAGATTTTATGTTCAAGAAAGGGCAAAAGCATTACTTACCTGGTTGTTGTCAGCCCTTTAGCAGGCAAGTGCAATAGTGTACTTAATTAAGTTAATTAAGTAAATGATTTTATTTCTTTAAAATACATCTATCATAAACTACTTTGGGAAATTCTTAACTATATTGCAATAAAATGTCCCCATTTTTCTTTTGTTTAATCAATTTATTCCACCATTTTAAAATACTCAGTAGCTCCCTGGAATTGTTTATGGAAATGAATCTGTTGTTGTAAGCAAAATCACCTCTAATAAGCATGGTTTTGCATGCACACTCCAGAGAGAAAGATTAAAGCATAACACATTTATATTGTCAATATTGATATCATTCATCACTATTGATGAATTCACTTATCCAGATCAGCCTGCTCACAATAAATTAATTTAACATTGATTTTAATCATGTTCTCTGACTTAACTTTCTTAAAATACATAGATCCATAACTAGATAAAACTTAGACTTGAAAATATCTTTCTTCTGTGAGCAATAATGTTTTTACTTTCATAAAATAACTTTCAAAAAAGAGAGCTAATACAACTTACTGTAGTAGAGGCCAGCTTACTGCTACCATGGAATGACAGATTCCTGGTGCCATGAGACTCTCTGGGAAATGTAGCCTTGTCAAGTCTCTGGGTCACAGAACATCAAATAAAATGGCCCTTCAAGGTGAATCACTCAGCACATCAGTGGTAAGGCCTGGCATTCCAAGACTTTGCTCAGAAAAGTCTACTATCATGTAATTGCCTGCCACCATCTGTGACTATTTTGAAGAAATAGAAAATTATCAAATTTAAGGGGGGGTATGTAGAGATAGATAGTGTGCTATGCACAAAAACAGACAAAACTGGTATCTCTTGTTTGTAATCAGCAAACATCCCCTTATTATCAGGGCACTCAATTGACTTTTGCTATTTTTAAAGTCAAATATAATCAGAGGCAGGAAAAAGGAATTGCTTCTGAAAATGAATGCACCAGTCTCTAGCATTTTTAAACCAATTTATCTCTCCATATTTTAAGTGTTTGTCTAAAACAACATGGAAAAAATGGACACATTTATGTCATCAGCAAACTTACATTTACTGACTTATTGATTTAGCAAGCATTTGTGTGACAGGGAAGAGCACATTGGTTTTCCTGGCAGCTCTGGTAAGATAATTCTAAAAGAGTTAGACAACCAACACATTTCTTACTAAGTCAATTAGGATATGATTAATTGAAAAATGGTAGCTAGACAAAACTACTGCCTTTACTTTCGAAAGTCTGTTTTGGGGAATACAGTTCAGATTTAGTTCTAGTTACTATTTGGTATTACCCATCACTGAAGTAATTGACTGTTTATTGCATCTGTTCAAAAATTCAGTACATACAAGATGTAATAAAATAAACATTTGTGTAATTACGTTAACTCAGACTCTTTTACTTAGAGACAACCACCATCCATCACATTGTCCTTTAATTCCACAGTGTTTGTGTTGGAGATGTAGTATTCCAAAATAAATGCTGGGTGTTTTTAAAAAATATATATTGGGATATTCGAAGTGGAAATATGATAAAATCAACATTTATCACATTATAGAAACATTATAAGTAGGAAGTAAAGTTCCAGAAATACCCTAGCACTGAATGAAATGACTCAAGTATTATTAGCTGCAAAACAGGAAAATGAGATCACTTGTCACTACAATTTGTTTTAGTAGAGAAAATCCATGTAGTCAGGTGAATGAAAGTTGACACCTATAGACATAATTATAACCTAATATTCTCTTTGTTATAGTTAATTCTCAACTTAAAGCATAAAGCATCAAAATGTTCCATTAAGAGGCTAGCCCTTGAATCTTTGGGATCAAAGAAAAGATAAAATTCCATCATTTCCACTTGCTAGCTACATCACTTTGTTAATTAAACATCCTGAGTTTTAATTTCCTTCTTGATTTGTTGTATAAATTAAATTATATTTCATGATATGTGACACATATATATGTATGCTATCATTTGCAAGAAGTATTGGGAAATTACATATAATACATGTAATTATATATATTATCATTTTTTATAATATTTCACGTTACCAATTATTTTCCCGCCTTTCCTTCAAAAACAGATGGTAGAACATTAGTGATGACAGGGACTGGTTATTTTTAATGGATTGCATTATTGTAAAAATTTAGAAAGTAAGTAAAGTTTGTCTTCTTACTTCTTACATTTAAAACTTCACTCTTACTTCTAGCAATTCTCCTCATCCATGCACTATCCATCCATCCATTTATTCCACAGATAGTTTTGAGAACTTCTGATTATTAGGAATTCTGACATTGTGTCAATCTGTTCTTGAGTTGCCAACATGGAACTAGAATTGCAATAGACTTATTGAGGGAAATACTTATGGAAGACAGGACAGGGAGAAAGAGTTGGCAGGACAGAAAAGACCTTTAGACCATGGCACAGTTGACACCCATGTGAACAGAGAAAGAAGAAAGATTGGCAGAAAAAGCCTCATTCTGGGATGCAGCTCTTAGAGATTCTTCACAAGCCCAAACGGGAGCTTCAGCAAAAGGAGCGCCCATAGAGGAATCACAGTCGGCAGAAATGGTCAGGCTCCAGCATCCCCATTGTCGTCAGCCATTTCCTATAGGCTGCCTGGAAAAAGCATGAGTGGCCTCAGCTCAAATACTTTGTTAGAACTTGAAGGCCAGCAGGTGGACAATGTCAGCTAACTGCACTCCTCCCGGCTGATTGACAAGTTCTCTCTTGAAAGGATATTAGGCTGCTTATCTTAACAAATGCTGCAAAGAGGAACTGGAAGTACAACTGATCTGCTATGGCCTACAACGTAACCTTCTAATGAGGAAGTGGCCATTGTAAGCAAATAACTGAAAGTGAGTGAGAGGAGTACTAATACACGAATAATATTGAAATGTGTCCAATTGCCTAATTGTGGCTAGGGAAGCAAGCACCTAATGCCTTTCAGGGCAAACCTTATGGTAAATTTAATGAGAATGTAGCATGAGGGAGGAGGGTTATGAATTGACCAAATAGGACAGGCAACACTAGGGTCATCTATTGACTCCAGATAAAATAGTCTTAAAAACATACATTTAAATGATCCCTATTTCTTTACTCCTACTCAAACATTTTGCTCTGATCTTTATCATAAACATAGCAGAGAATTCATGTGTTTCTTCGTTAATTACACCTATGCAATATATTTCCCAAGTATGGTGAGACTTCTGAATATCTCTATTAAAGCAAATGATGAATACTATATTTTACTTTATGATTACCCTTGATTTGGCAAACGCTTGTCAAATTGCTCGACAGAGAAAAACAGAAAAAATTCCTTCTAAATGCTTACAGTTTTTCGGTCTCAATCTATTTCTAAAGAAATATAAGCCTCTTTATATTCAGCCATGCAAATTTGTATGCAATTCACCACCCAGTACTTGCTAGATTCTCCCTCGACCCTTTGAACATGATATTATTTCAAATCTAATTTTGTCCTACCCATATGAAATAAGCCATAATTCTTTATCTCATTCAAAATGCCATTTGAATAACTTTCTCCTAGAATAATCTTCCTAATGGTGATCATTCTCTGAAGCTAAATGTAAATAGAAATCCTTCAGGGCACAGTTCAAACGCTCCTTCTCCATGGAGCATTTACTTTTCTTCTTTAATGGGAAAGTGTTTGCCTCCCTGACTACCTCTACATTGCATTTTTACTAAGACTCTTTTGAAGCATGTCTTACTTTCTAATGTAATTATTTAAACACAAGCTCATATTAGCTCTTAAGTAAACAGACTGCCTCAATTTACAAGAAGCTTTTATATAAATCTCATTTTCTATCTACAATGACCCCATGAGGAACGGGTCATTTTTAGTTTTTAATACTATTTTTAAATTTAATTATATTAACAGTAATTGTTTTAATACTAACTCAAAGAATTGTTCAATTTGCTTAGATATCAAAATGAGTAATGAGCAAAACCAAAAAGGAAACTCTGATCTTTTAGTATCAAATTAAGTAAACTTTCTATAATTCTTTGATGACAGCTCTCTGAGGACAAGATTGATATTATGTCCAAATATCTATATAATCTTTATGCAATAATAAAGTTAAACATTTAAAGTAATAAATAGTATCCAAACTGCAGACATCATTTGAGTACGTATTCCACAAACAGCAAAGAGTTAAATTATTTCCTCCGTTTGACCATACTCTATTTGGCATTTGTTCATTATTTGCTTATGTCAGTGGTCCTAAGTAATTTTAGCATGTATATTTTTTGCCCCTCAAACTCTAGTGTATTCTTCCAGGGCAATACGTAGCTTTTTTGATGGTGTTTATTTATTTGTTTTGGCATCTGTGCTGTTACTTGAAAACACCCAGTGAGAGTGTGTGTAAATCTTTAGTCTCCCTTGGGAAAATGAAAGAATAGTCCTTAAAACCTGTACAATTATGTATCTTTTTAGAGAAATTTTACTTTTTGATTATTAATTGTACTATTCTACATCTTCGATTTTTTTTGGAAAATTTTCTAAAGGTAGCAAATCCTTACAGCATATTAATAGTAAAAATAATTCATTTTAATAAATACTTGTAAAGCTACAACTGAGAAATGCATTGCAACTTTCATTATTTATTGTTTGCTGACAATATCTAGTATATGTAAATCCACTTGGCAAATTTATTCTTATTAAAGTATTTTTGAAATTAAGTACATAAGGATACAAGGAATAGTTTACTTAAATTGTTTAAATATATAAGAAAAAGTCATTGCTTATAAATTATGGCTCATAACATTTAATTAATATACTTGGTCTTATCTTTTAGTCATTTTGAATTAGGATATTGATAATCAGCAAAATATGTTCATTTTATGAGGGAATATTAAAAAGTGTGATACTGTATTGTTCTACATGTGCCCTCATTATGCTCTTTATATAGGTCAAGAAAAAGAGTGCAAAGTTGAAAAAGTGCGATTTAACATTTTACTCTAGTACAGATGTGTTCTGACCATCTTTGACAGTGTATCTTACAGGAAATTTCCAGATCTTTAAGTAACACACACCTAGAGGATTTTTTTTTCACTTGAATAAAAGCTTTTTTTTCTCAAACAGTTTAAAAGGTTTTAGATGAGGAGGTACCAGATGTCAGCAGTCCCAGTCTTTTTATTACAACTATAATGGAGAACAGCTTAGTGATTACCGCTGTGGAATTTAACCTTCGGGTCACCGATTCAATCCTTTAGTGCTGCTGGCTTTTTGATAATGATAGGTCTACTCTTGGACACACACACACATACACACAGAGAGACATACATACACCACCTACATTCACAAAAGGATCAAGCAGTCAAGGCAATATATGAAATAATAGAAAGTAAAACTTTATCTTAAAATGAGTTATAAAGACCAAAAGGAAATGCCACTTAATATTTATTATACTAAAAACATTAATGGGTACATTGATATAAGGTTTAATAGCTTCAGTGATATTACTGTAAAATAATATTCTGGATTATATTTTAGATTTTGCATTTCTTGTATACTCTTCTACTAGGATTTAAGGAAGTTTATTATCACTGACTTATTGCCAATTAATTCACCTTAGTTATGATCCTAATCTGCAAAATGGTATGGAAGGCCAAAGTTAATCAGACTATGGAGTGTTCCAGAAAACAGCGTGGAGTTTCATTAGAAGTTGTCCTTCCTTTTAAGTCAGGATAAAATGATTATTTTGAAGCAAATTTTGATTGTGAATGGGTTGGTTTCTACCTCAGCAAGAAACCAGGCTATGCATTCAATGAAGCTAATGTAGAAAAACTATTGTGGTTATAAAAGAGTTACCATAGGATGCAGAGTAAATTTTAAGTCCCTTAGTAATAATATTTCAGCGTGAAAGACCTGATCAGAAAGACCTTTGCTTCTGAGCAATGTTTCAACAACCCATTTGAGCTAGGGAAAATAAATGAAGGAATGAAAATAAAAACAACAGTCATGATTGCAGCTTATTGACAATTTGTACGAACAGTGGCCCTGCTAAAGAAGTTAACGTCATTTCCAAATCCAGGACACATATTAAAACAGTCATTTTTGGCCGGGCGCGGTGGCTCACGCCTGTAATCCTAGCACTTTGGGAGGCCGAGGCAGACGGATCACGACGTCAGGAGATCGAGACCACGGTGAAACCCCGTCTCTACTAAAAATACAAAAAAGTTAGCCGGGCGTAGTGGCGGGCGCCTGTAGTCCCAGCTACTCGGGAGGCCGAGGCTGAGGCAGGAGAATGGCATGAACCCGGGAGGCAGAGCTTGCAGTGAGCCGAGATCGCGCCACTGCACTCCAGCCTGGGTGACAGGGCGAGACTCCGTCTCAAAAAAAAAAAAAAAAAAAAAAAAAAAAACCAAAAAAAAAACAGTCATTTTTTGGTAGAAGTAGTTAAATATCTTGCTAAGATAATACAGCCAATGAATACATAAATCCAAGGTAAAGGTTCAAATGATATTCATCTTAACCTAGACTATAGGAAGCACTCTTTTTTTTTTTTTGAGACTGAGTTTCATCCTTGTTGCCCAAGTAGAGTGCAATGGTGTGATCTCTGCTCACTGCAACCTCTGCCTCCCGGGTTCAAGTGATTCTCCTGCCGCAGCCTCCTGAGTAGCTGGGATTACAGGCGCGTGCCACCACACCTGGCTAATTTTTTTGTATCTTTAGTAGAGCCAGGGTTTCACCATATTGTCCAGGCTGGTCTCGAACTCCTGACCTCGTGATACACACCCCTTGGCCTCCCAAAGTGCTGGGATTACAGGCGTGAGCCAAGGCACCCAGCCAGGAGGCACTCTTAACCACATTGTGATATTGAAGATGTTCAGTAAAGATGAACTGAAGAAAAGTGACTTACAAGCTAGTCATACTGTGTCTAATGGGCGGCTAAAATGCTTCAGGAATGTTACTTACACAAAGAAAGGAAAAGAAAGCCTACAGGTCCAGATAGAGTCCTCTAATCTTGAACAAATCAGTGAACTGGAGATAAGCAAGATTTAGCCTTTAGTTTATCATTCAATTTTTTATAGCATTATTTTAGTCCAGTGACTTATGTTCCTCATTATGCTGGAAGTAGACACCACTCTTTTTCCTCCTTGACAATACATAAATCTGGGATTTTCTCAATCTGATTCATGATGTAATAAAAATGAATATCTATATATATAGATATGTATGTATGTGTGTGTGTATATATATTTATATAGCTTCTCCAGCTTCATTGTACAGATTCTATGATCTCTTTTTCTTTCTTTTTGCTTGTATTTGTTTGGCATAAGCATTAAACATAATTTTTTTAAAAATGAAATATTATCTTTAAAAGACGAAAAAGAAATAGTCTTAGATAATCAGTGTGTGTGTCTTTCCTTACTCAAAGATACAATCATCATTTGTGCTACCCACCACTCTACTTTAGAACAAACAGGATTATCTTTAATTCCATGCCTTTCTTTCACACAAACCCACTATTCTTATTCTGGAGTAATAATCCCTTAATAATCAACCTAGGTTCCCAATTTTCAAGTAAAACTCCTTACAGGAACCTATATTAGTTCATTTTCATGCTGTTGATAAAGACATACCTGAGACTGGGCAATTTACAAAACAAAGAGGTTTAATTGGACTCACAGTTCCACGTGGCTGGGGAGGCCTCAGAATCATGGTGGAAGTCAAGGAGTATCAAGTCAAGTCTTACATAGATGGCAGCAGGCAAAAAGAGAGCATGTGCAGGGAAACTTCCATTTTTAAAACCATCGGCACTCATGAGAGTCATTCACTATCACGAGAACAGTGCAGGAAAGATCTGCCCCATAACTCAATCACCTCCAACCAGGTTCTTCCCACCACATGTGGGAATTGTGCGACTTAAAATTCAAGATGAGGTTTGGGTGGGAACACAGCCAAACATATCATTCAAAATGATTGGTTTTTTTTGTTTTTTTTTTTTTTTTTTGAGATGAAATCTCACTCTGTAGCCCAGGCTGGAGTGCAGTGGTGTGATCACGGCTCACTGCAACCTCTGCTTCTGGGGTTCAGGAGATTCTCCTGCCTCAGTCTCCCGAGTAGCTGGGATTACAGGCATGCACCACTGCACCTGGCTAATTTTTTTTTTTTTTTGTATTTTTAGTACAGACTAAAAATACAAAACCATAGAACAACACCATCTTGGCCAGGCGGGTCTTGAACTCCCAACCTCAAGTAATCCGCCTACCTTGGCCTCCCAAAGTGCTAGGATTATAGGCGTGAGCCACCGCACCCAGCAGAAACTTAAATGTAATGTAAATATAACGTGAATTGAGCCCATGAAACTGTAGACCTCTGGCTCCGAGCAACACTAAGGCTCATCTTTCTCAGCAGTATTTACCTTCGTAAGACTCTGAGTGTTTGTGGGTGTAGGGGTGTGTATTTGTATGTACTTTAAAAAATATCTGATTTCTGTGGTGATTCTGACATCACTGAAGCAAAACTGCTACTATATCTAGTAATTCAGAGTGTAATCTCTTAGAGTAGAATTTACTCCTTACTAAATAAATAAATGACAGACAGTTTTAGAAAAGGAAGGAAGGAAGGAAGGAAGATGTAGGAAGGAAAAGAAAGGTAGATTAAAATAAAGTAAGCCTCATGGTTTTTTTGCTTAGAAAATTTTGAAAACTGTCCCATTTTGTTTAGGAAAATCGAGTGAGACTCACTGGGTCTTCATGTGATAATATCGCTTTCAGGAAAATAATTTATATAGATAAGAGCATTTTTGCTAAATCTCAAAGAATGGGTCCTTTTTTCATTTACTACATGGTTCATTACATAATTCAGCATCTTTTGCTTTTTCTGATGGAAAATGGAGCCATATTTCAAAGTGGAATAGGAATAACTACAGAACCTCAGGCAATTTTCACAAAAACAAACACAAAAATGATATACAGCCATTAAATTCTAGTGTTTTGGTCATATACCAGTTTGGGTAATATGTGGTTCTTGAAGTTTTAGCCAGCTAGAATGTTTTTTACAATATTCTATCAATTCATGTTGAATTGCTTTCTGCTCTGCTAAGCAAACTACAAATTTTATTTCACAACAGAAGCAGTGTATCCTAGCATAAAAAATAGGATGTATGCTATTATGTTCAAAACATTTGAGCTTATTATTGCCCATTCTCCTCTTCCTTATATTTTATATGATTACTTTTGCATTTATTACTATAATTACCATGCAAAGTTTTAAAATTGTAATATCTTTACAACATTGCTATGACACTATAGAGAGCAAATATGAGCTCGCTGATGAGCTTTGACATTCTGAAATTTGGCAGATGACCGCTAAAGATAATTGGCTAAAAATTTATGAAAGTATTATTTGAAAGCTATGAAATCCAGGTTTCTTTCTATATCACAACACATTGAAGCTTGCAATTCAGTGTAGCACAAGTCATCTTAGACCTGAAGAGTGAGAAAGAATTTGTAACTGGTCCCATAATATAAATACTATCTTTTAACATTGTCCTTTAGATCAATGAAGTCTTGGAACGTTTTACTAGATTTCCTTAAAAGAAAAACAAATTGGTTATTGCTAGCATTATATATTAAAATATATATCATTTTATCTAAATAGTTCATGAAGTTATTATTTAATTTTACAGCTATGTAATTGGCACCTATTTTGTGGCAGGCTCCAGAATGTTTTAGGAAATACAAAGACAAGTAAGGCATGATCTTTAACCACCAATATCATAACCTTGTGAAGAAAACCAGATTATTTAAAAAGGGAGCTATGATGGAAATATGTATTAAAGTTTTGGCTATATAAGATTTATTAAAATCCTAAATAATGGCTTATTTCATGGGTTGATAATACATATAATATCCAAACAGACAGGTAATGAAATATATCAACTTAATTACCTCATGGATCAATTATACCACACTGGAAAAAAGTTACTGGTAATTAATGATTCAAAACAGAGTAGATCACAGGCTGAACTGCCAGATATTACCATCTCCAGGAGTTGTACAAAGTTTAATATCACTTAATATTGAAAATGATAATTTGCATGATTGTGAAAAACACATTTCCATAATGACTATTATATTTAAAGCACGTGTCTATGTAGCAGAAATAATTGCTTCCATTTTATTAATAATAAAACTAGGCCCAAGGATACTACCCAGGTCAAATAAGTAGAAAGTGTATGATTGTTATTTTTGCCTGCATTTTTCTTTCACTTTGCTTTTGACTCCATATCTCAACTCTCAGACCTGTTATTTCCCTAGCAATTGTAAAAGACAGAGTTATTTCTATTCTTTTCAAATAGGTATGAAAAAATACATTCTACACAATTCCTTCACATATCTAGAAATGTTCTTCCATATAAGGTTGGGATTTCTCAAAGTTTCTGGTTATTTCTCTCACAAAATTAAAAATAAAGGGTCTTTCAATATTGTAAACATGTAAGGAAGAGAAATGCAAAATATTTTTAAGTAAATTGCACTGCATTTAAAAAATATGTTTTTCTTGTTTACATTAATGGCCATCAGCAGTCAAAAATGTTAATGTGGCATCAGGAATAAATATGAAAAATCATGTTTTCTAAATGAGACATCATTTTGAAGGCAATTCAGAGATTTTTTTTTTTTTTGAGGCGGAGTCTGGCTCCGTCGCCCAGGCTATAGTTCAGTGGCGCCATATTGGATCTGGATCACTGCAAGCTCCGCCTCCCAGGTTCACGCCATTCTCCTGCCTCAGGCTCGGGAGTAGCTGGGACTACAGGCGCCCGCCACCACGCCCGGCTAATTTTTTGTATTTTTAGTAGAGAGGGGGTTTCACCGTGTTAGCCAGGATGGTCTCCATCTCCTGACCTCGTGATCTGCCCGCCTCGGCCTCCCAAAGTGCTGGGATTACAGGCGTGAGCCACTGCGCCCTGCCAGGCAATTCAGAGATTTTTGCAATATTGCTGCGTGGCCATACAGGTTTAAAGAACTTTGTCTTCTTAGAGCATTCATTCATCATGACAAAGGTACTGACTATAAATTTGAAACCTTCAAAACTATAAACTATTAGTATTAAATAATTATACAGGAAAGACATATTAAATTGCAATTAGAGAAAAAAAAAGAGGAGATAACCCCTTAATCTCTCTGTTGCTTAGTTAGTAAAACAAGGAGTTTGTTAGATATATTGAAGCGCATTTTATTTCTAATGTTTTACTGGACTGAGTCAAATTTCCTTTAGATAATGAATCACATTTCAAATATCAATTAATACTTCAAAAGAATCAGCTCAATGCATTTCAGTAATTTAGTAGATGTCAAATTAAGACTAAAATATTTATCAGGTGAAGGGGTGCCACTCTGGAAAGAGAATGAATAAAATCACTATACATTATAGGATACAATTGTGTAAATTTTTATTTGTTCATTAAAAGACTTGAAATTAAGAAAGATCAAAAAATATTGGGCAGACAAGTTATTTAGACCCTCTTTCCAAATAGCCCCAAACTAAAAGCTAAAAAAATTAAATGATACCTACTTGCTGCTAATATTCTATAATAGTATTCATATAAATTCATAGCTACTATTGCAATAGTAACTAATAGCACATGTATGATATAATAAATTATGTCTCTTAATTGAAGCTTTGTATATTTTCCCTTAAGCTCAAGTAAAAGTGATTTTGAAAATAATATATTGTGGAATTTCAAAAATCACACATCAAACTCTATATAGATAAATTATTCCAGAAACATGGTAATAAAAACAATTATGGTCTGTTAGGGTGGTAACTGGCATCCACAGGTACATTTTATAAAACCTAACATTTCATAGTTATAAATGTTAAAAATAAAAAATCAACTCAAACGTGAAAAAGACCACCTGGTTAAGAGAAAATATCAGCTCAGACTCTAGGTGAAGATAATGGGATTTAAAAAAAGAACATATTGAGAATACATTAAAGATGTAAGTCATGTGATATATATATATTTAAAATCTGCAGTCCTTGGAACTTCAGTCTGGACAAAAATGAATTTCATATAGCCTCATTAAATATTTAGCAACATTTGACACAAAGCCAAGAAAAAACCCAAACTTAATTTATACTTTTATTATAAAAAATTATTAGACCAAGCAGTGTGTTTTACTCTGCAGCAAAGTAATTAAGGAAAGAAAAAGAGAGGAATGAAATGGAAATGAAATTGCAAGTTAGATTGTGGAATAACACTCACTGGAGACTCAGAAGGGTGGAAGGTTGAGAGGGGGATGAGGGATGAGTAATTACTTAATCAGTACAACATATATTAATCGGGTGATGGTTACAGTAAAAGCTCCAACTTCACCACTGAGCAATATATCCATGTAACAAAACTACACTCATACTCCATAAACTTATGTTAGCAATGTGAAAATTAAACAAACAAAACAAAAAACTGCAGGATGAGTTGGATGGACCAACAGCTAAAAAGGGAAGAAGAATGAGAAAATGAGCTAGCATTAGAAGCAAACTTAATGTACTAACATTTTAAAAAAATTATCACAAGAGCTAAAAGGTCTGAAGTTATTCCCTTTATTTTGACTCAAATATTGAAGCACAGAACACTTAAGTAATTCTAAATAAGAGGTAGAGCAAGAGCTCCAACTCAGATATCTTTGACTCCCAAACACCAATGTTTTGTACTACAAGTGTACTGCAAAAAAGTACAATTATGGATCCTTTGAGGCACCATTCAAATTGAATAATTTAATTGATCATTTTATATGTAATAATCAGCATAATTAAAAATAACTAGTAAGAATTACCCCTTGAGCATATTATATGCCAGACATTGCTAATTTTCTCCAAAAAAATCTTTCTTTGACGGTTTACTTCCACCCTGCTTTTAACGTTGTACACATTCATTTACTCTGTGAAGTAGAATACATGAACAATGAATAAATATGAGTGGAAGAAAGAAATATGTATTATTTTTATTAGTGATTATTGAGAACTATAATATTTATATGATTAGTTATTTAGCCATATGTATTTTCAGTTAGAGCATGATAGTGTATTATTGTTTTGTTTATCTTCCCAGCAAAGAGGACATTTCACTTTGCAATGAGGATCCAGACAGCTCCTCAGCCTTGTTTTCCAAGAAAGACTTCATATGATGTCTTTTATCAATCTTCTTTCTAAATGTGCATGACATTTTCTGAGTGAAAATGTTTTGTCATGTGTAGCTATGGAATGAAGACCATAATATGATATTCATTACATTGACACTATCTTACTGAAGAAATCTTGCTTTAGAATTTCAAGATTTTTGTGTAATCTGACTCTGACATTCAGCATTAAATCCTCAAATTCTTTAAATCTATTCAGTGTGACTTAGATTTGCTCCTCCCTATCTAACGTTTGTATTATACTGGTCTGAATGAGATTGAATTAAGAAAAACAAATAATGTCATCATGTAAGAAATTTATATTGATGACATTGGTTGGAGAAACCCTGAAATACTAATACAGACACACACACACACACACACACACACACACACACACACACACACACATCTTTCTTTTACATCAAAGGGCAAGCTTTACTATACAGGAAAACACTCTTAGGCAAATATTCATGTACAAATATAAAAAAAAATCAAAAGAATCCATCCAATGTCCTTGATGTACCTTTTAAAATTATACATTTTTAATACCTATCTTGGAATTTAGAGCATGCTATTACCTTAACAAAAAGAAGGCAATATAATGTGATACATACAGAAGTAGTGCTTATCTTAAGCCAAAAGAGTAAGATCTACTATTGAGGTTAAAACAAGTTGAAAAAAAATCACTATTTATGGTGAAACTATCTGAGCCAATGTACCACAGAAGCAAAGCCAAACAAGGAAATTAAAAATATTTTTATTCAAAATGAAAGATTTAATAGTCTATTTGGTGAACTGAGCATTCCAAATTATAGGGATGTTAGTGTTATTTAGGGGAAAATATTTTATTGACAAATAAGTTTAAGCAACGTTTTATTAAATGATGTTTAATTAGTTTCTTTACTGCTAAACTTATCAGAACCCTTAATATGTCAAAGCGTATTGTAGAATCCAAGAACAGAACATATGTGTCTTTTTTAAAAAATTCAGAACACCAGTCACTGTGCAGAGAGTTTTGCCTGATCAGCAATCCACAAAAGTCACTTTGAAACATATGTTTATCACCAATATTATATGCAAATATATATAATTAGCCTAAATCAAACTATGTAAAAAAATGCAAAATGTAATAACAGTACATATAAGAGTTCTTCATAGTGCACAAGTACACTTTCTCTCACAATTTCTATCTTAGTAGCTGTTAATACAGTATTTCTTTTTATAACTTTCAAGAATGTTGAATGTTTTTATATTTAACTATTCAAAAAATAAGATGTTAATGTTGTCAATATATGGGGCCTTTTTAATGACACACTAGATTGAAAAATTCAAAGATAAATGTTGTATTACAATTCGTTAGCTATATAACCTGCTATTTGATAACTTTGTATTTCATTTTCACTTTATCCTATGAATGCAATTCCATAATTTATCCAGTTACAATGCTCTGCAAAGTAAAATAAATGATGATGATGATACTAATAATGATATGTTTTAAAAGCATAACATTACAAAAGCAAATTTTGATGCATATATGTAAAAAAATATTGGTAGGTTTGAAAAAAAGTCGTTTTAAAACATACTGGACTTTCGCAGTAAGTTCTGTAATTCTAAATTCCTCTTAAAAATATGGCACTCTTGAAATCCCAATTGCAGTTATTAATTATCGCTTATTTGCCCCTAGAATTACAGCCTTTGTCTGCAATCATTAACCTTTTGCTACATAAGACATTGAATTAATCAACTTTTGTCATTTAAGGACTTTTTTTTTACTTTAGTATCCCACTTCTCTGTCATTACCTTCCCTACAACAATCAACACAAGGAAACACACATACATGTGAATACACACACATGCACATTCTCCAGCTGGCCTTATATTTCCTCTTACCTACTTAGAGTTATAGTTTAACATCATTTCTCCACCCCACATTGTTCTTAAACACACTATTTCAAATATTTTTGAATTCTATTTTCTCATTAAAATCAACTGGCAATTTTTTTCCTTCCTTAATAATTTCCTTAAAATGAAGGTAGCATTTACATTTTAGTAAGGCATACAAAATCTTAATCCAACATAATTATAAAGAAGACAGTTTATGCATCTCCAAGGAGACTGTAAGGGGATAAAAATGGTTGTACATGAGCAAATGCTATTATTCCCAAAAATAAAACTAAAACAGATTCTATAGTCATTTAGATTGTAATTTCAAAATTAGACATAGGGTTTTGTTTGATATGCAACTCTATTTGAAAGCTACTCATATATCGTACATCTTTGCATCAAGATGTCTTTAAGTAATATAAAAGTAATATAAATATAACTAAATTGACTAGAGCGATACAGGATTGATGGGCTCACTTTAAAATCTGGGCATAGAGTGGGCTTGAGGTAATGATCAGTAGGGTTCTGGTTTAGCTTTCTGTATTTTCTTCTCTGCCCTCTTCCATATGTTGACTTCATTCTTAGGCTGTCTTTTCTCAGGGTCACCAAATGGCTGCAGCACTATGAAGGGAATATCACACTTCGTTCATATCCATAAGAAGATAAGGTGTCCCTGTCCTGTCACAACCATTAATTGTGCTGATATATCTATTGATTGAAACTTCCTTCAGGAATACTTACCTTTAGATAATGTGACATGCAAATAAGCTTAAATTTAAATTACCTGAACCAATAACAGCAGCCAGAGGAAAGCACTTGTCACCTTCACTCCACTCAAACCACAGGGGAACTAGCCCAAAGGTAGAAGTGTGAAATAACTGCAGCAAAGCAAAGCAAATATCTAGTAAAGATAAAAAAAAATAATAATAATAAAGACTAATGGTTCGGATTAGTTGAATTTTTATTTTCTTTAAAAAATGAATTACGTGGAGTGTAAATCATGTTGATATTAAAATCTCTATTCTAATATTGACTACAGATTTCCTCATGCTTCAAACTTCAACTCAGTATGTCTGTTTTGAGCCACTAAGTTCTATGTAGCCTGAGGTCTAGATATTATAATACCCTTTACTTGTTCAGTCATAAATATCTTCTTGTAGGTCATCTTCACATTTTAGCCAATGACATGAAAAACATGTTGTCCATGATGTGTGTCCATGATATTTAGATGTGTGCCCATGATATTCCTGTATTCCTTCACACATCATAAAAAAAACAATGACAGCATACTGTTAGGAAGTCTTCCTTTTGAGAGTTAATGGCTTTAAAAAAATAATACTCAATTGTAACTCCAGAAAATATATAAATTAATATAAATAATTTATATATTTATTTTATTTATCTTATTTTTTATATTATTTATATATTTATATTAAATAAAATAAATAATATAAAACATGTTATTTCATTTAATATTAGTAACTATAGGTAAATAAGTCATAAAGACTTAAGATCTTTTCAATATAGACTTTCTAATAAGCTCCCCTTAGTGTTAAATTTATTAACAGTATTATTAACAGTAGTGAGAAAATATATGCATATTCCACATATATATGTATATATTGTATATGTATAAACAAACACACATAAATATATATATTTGTGGGTGTATTTATAGATGATGAGATTATTTTATTTTCCATTCACTAAATACAGAGAGACTCATCAAACCCTCCCTTTAATTCTGTTCTGGCAAACTCTTATTCATCAATCAGAATTAACTCAGACATCACTTCTCTTTGATTCCTTTCCCGAACAACTCAGCCAGAGTCAGTCATGCCCTACCCTAATGCCTCTGTACTTTATCCCCATTTCTATAGTTAGCTTCATTGCACTTCATTGTAATTATTTGTTTTCACAGCTCTGACCCACTACACCAGGGCTAGCAAACTTTCTCTGTATAGAGCCAGATAGTAAATATTTTAGGCTTTGAGGACTGTGTACCCTGAGTTGTAACACTCACACCTGTTCTGTAGCACAAAAGTAGCCAGAGACAATATATAAGGAAGGGCATGGCTATGTTCCAAAAAGACTGTATTTCCACAATCAGGTGACAGATTGTATTTGGCCCACAAGCTTTTGTCCATAAGACTGACTATGGAGTTCTTCAAAGGTAGAATCTGAAGTTTTCAATTCTTTGCACCTTTGTTCTACAGCTGTAAGCATAAGTTTAAGCATGCAAAGGAGGTTTGAGAAATGTATTTTAATTTTAATTTAGTTGAATCAAATCACAGCAACTCAAATTCCAGTAATTTCCAACTGCCAGAAGTCCGGTGCTTAAAAATCAAGATGCGTGCTGTCCACTATATAGCCACTAGTGTTGAGTGGCTGTTTAATCTTGTTAATTAAAATCAAATAAAATTAAAAATTCAATTCTTCAGTCACACTAACCAAATTTTAAGGGCTCAATAGCTACACGTAGTTAATGGATACTATATTTAAATAGCATAGATATAGAACATATCCATCATTACAGAAAGTTCTATCAAGTAGTGCTGGCTTAGACAATGGGAACACTAAGACAAGTAGATAGCCTCAAAGAGGAATTCTGATGGTGCATAAAGTATGGCTCATGTCAGGAACCTCAAATGCATTCTCTGGGCATAATTTTCAAAAACTGAACTTGTAATATGCACAACACATAAAAGAGTGTGAATTCATTTAATAGTCAAATTAATTAAAAACATTTATTGTACTCTTTGAAGCAGAATTACTCAGAGACCTTTATGTCTGTGGGTGTTTGGGTGTATATGTGTTAGAAAAATTCAAGGTTCACAGTAGATGTTATAAAATTTTAAAAAATAACGGTTCTTTTCATCAAGTGGTTTCAACCTTATTGGGGAAGTATTGGGGAAATACGCAGACTATAACTGGGCTATTTTTTGAGTATGTGTATTCTATTCTTTGTATATGTCTCTCTCTATATGTATATATAATGCACTTATTATATATACAATATTATAATATATACAATACATATATTGTTCTTTGAAATACATAGATATTTGTTCAACGAATAAGATACACATTCAAGAAATAGAGATATCTGAATATATATAGATATATATGTGTGTATATATACATACATGTTTAAATCATAGGATAAGTTAAACAACTGCCTTTTAACATTTTACCTTTAATCTTCTATTCTTCAAGTCTGTATTTGTATCTCCAGCTTGATTTTTCCATGACCTAATTACTTCTCACCTTAGTTGCACTGATAATCTTCTAATCTGTCTTCTTAGAAGATTGCTACCATTAATCTGTCTTTTACCTAGTCATTTATGTGATAGATTTAGAAGGAAAGGAGAGCTACGTCATGTCAATGTTTATGAATTTTTAGTGGCTTCTCTCTGACTACCAGATTAAGTTGAGGCATTAATGGTCCTGCTCATTGTGGATTCAGTTCAGCATTCCAAATTACTCCTTAACCTTTATATCTTATACTCTTAAATTACTGAACTACTTATATATCCTAAGCACACTGTATTTGTGATTTTAATAATGTTGTTCCATTTCTCTATATATACTTCCTTTTATCCTCCTTTCTCTTGATTATAACTTACACATCCTTTAAGATTTATCCATTTAATTTATAACACTGCAGAAAGCTGCATATTTCTATTAAGAGACAATACAGAAAAAATGCAATTTAAATAATAATCTAAGTGCTTTATCAGGGAGGAGCACATAAAACAATCTTCAAACCATGTTTAGTGTAGAATGGTAAGAAAAGGCCCTCACTAAGCATGAAATTGTGACTACAAGCATGAATAGAAGTCAGTCAGATAAAAAGGAGAAAAGGATGTTCCAGTCAATCACAAGGAATAGCATGTTCAAAGGCATGGTCTGTAGTCTAGAGAAAACAAACAACAAACAAACAAACAGATGTTCCTGGATCTGCAAGTAATTTAGTAGACTTGTAGCAAAATTTCTGAGTTCAGATGAGAAACATCTAATGATGAAACTGGAGATATAATCAAGACCCTATTGTTGAGAGTTTAAATCCCATTCCAAAGAGTTTGAATTTTACCCTGAGTTCAGAGTATGGAAGAGTTTTAGGATAAAAAATATAGCAATTAAATATATGCTTCTAGAATCAATCTACGGAGACAAAACTAGTTTGGAAGATTTTTGTCTAATTAACTCAAGTACGTTGGTTATTCCGATTGGGTAAATCAGAGGTTATTAAAGAGGTGAAAGTAAAAGTGTTTCATGATTGGTTGGACATGCTGTGTAAGTGGCAGAAGAGCAATCAAGGAGCAACACAGACCTCTGGCATTGGCTAGTATTTGAATGGTGTTTTTATTTCATTCACTGAAAACACTGACCACTGAAGAAGAGATTATGTGTGTGTGTGCACGCATGCACACGTGCGTGTGTGTTAGGTATGAGAAAGAAGTGATGATGAGTTCATTTAATATGTTGATATTCCTTTGCTCATTCAAATGGATATGGCAATGGAGAGTAAGCAGTTAGATTCATAAATTTGTAACACAAGAGCATATAGGAATAGAGACATAGATTTTAGATGCATCAAATTGTAGATGAGACAGTAGGCTTTAAGAATGATTGATGTTAAATATTTTAAGGGCAGGTCATAAAAAGAAGTGTCTGAAGACATATTTGAATGGGAAGGAGGAAAACTATAAAAATATGGTGTCAGAGGAACCAAAGAAATAGAAGATGCCAAGAAGGAAACTGTGGTAGGAAGAATTCTAATATGGCCTCCAAGATTCCTAATCAGTGGTGGAAATGTCCTTTGATCTCCTCCCCTTGAGTGTGGGCAGGACCTGTTAATATGATAAATGTTGTCTCCCTTGATTAGATTACTTTATATGGCAAAGGTAATGGTATAGTCACTCTCTTTACGATTATTATTATTTAAAATTTTACCATAACAAATTGAAGGGCGATTGTCTTATTGACTTTGAAGAAGAAAACTGCTATGTTGTGAATAAGCCCTTATGGCTAAAACGTATCTCCTAGAAGAAGACAAAGATCTCTGGCTTATAGCAAGCAAAAAAAAAAAAAAAAAAAAAAACTCAGCGACCTCTCTCCTCCAACTATAATGTGCTTAATTCAACCAGCAACCTGAATGATCTTGGAAAAGGACCCTGATCTCTGGATGGGAATGCAGCTCAGCCAACACTTTGATTCCAGCTGTGTGAAACCCTCAGCAAATAACCTTGAGTTGCCATGACCTACAGAACTGTAAGATAATAAATGGATGTTGTTTAAAGATGATAAATGTATGTTACTAAATGTTTGGTAGAGTGTTATGCAGCAGTATAAAATTAACACAGGGATATTTCCAAATACTGAAAAAACATGAAACTAAAAGGTTATAATGGATTGACCAACAAGTTTTTAGGTGATGCCAGTGGAAGCAGTTTCATTGGAAAAGTGGGTAGAACTCGTATTTTACTATATAAAACAGAAAAAGGAAGAGAAAGAATGAGGATATTGATTATAAACCCCCCTTAAATTCTTCACAATGTAAGGATCAGAAACCTAGAGTAATATGTAGAGAGTGATAATTTTTGCCTTTATTTGTAAAGATGGGAGTTTATTATCATTAATATTATTATTGTTATTTGAAAGCAATAATTGGAGAAGATCCAATGAAGGGAAAATTGAAGCTATAAAGAGAAAGTGGGTTATATAAAATAAAAGAATTTATGTAGTCATAAGGGGATAATACAATATTAGGTGCTTGTAGTAGTCCATTTTCATGCTTCTGATAAAGACTGGGCAATTTACAAAAGAAAGCGCTTTAATTGAACTTACAGTTCTACATGGCTCTGGAAGCTTCACAACATGGCAGAAGGCAAGGAGGAGCAAGTCATGTCTTACATGGATGGCAGCAGGCAAACAGAGAGCTTGTGCAGGAAAATGCCTCCCTATAATAACCATCAGATCTCATGAGACTTACTGTCACAAGAAAAGCACAGGAAAGAACTGACCCCATGATTCAACTACCTCCCACTGGGTTCCTCCCACAACACATGGGAATTCAAGATGATATTTGGGTGCGGACACAGCCAAACCATATCAGTGCTCATGTAGAATTTTGACAATATCAAGAGAAAATGAGAAACAGAGGAAAGAAAATGCATTTATAATGGAAATACAGAAAAGAAGACACTTCTCATCTAATAGATTCTCCACTCTCAGTAAAGAAGGGAGCAAGTTCTTTTCTGCTGTAGGGGGCATTTCAGATTATGAGGTTGGGAGTTCAAATCCAAGCTCCAACTATTATCCATTACAGAACCTTGACATACTCCTTATCACTCTCACCTTCTTCTGTTTATCACTCAGTAAAATAAAAATAATAAAACCACTTCATGGGTTATTGAGAGGATGAAATGAGGCAATATTTGTGGTGGGTTTAGTAGATTGTTCAAAACATCAAATACTCAGTAAATTGTAGTTATTCTATTACTGGGATTGAGATAGTTTAGAAGGATAAGGAATTTGAGAAGAGTGGAGACAGTTTGAAATGCCCTTGTGAATAAGAGAGGCAGTTAAGTGGGAAGATATAAAATAATTCTTAAAACGCTTTTAGGTCTCAGGTGAGATAGGAGACAATGAATTTCTTCTGACACCAACATCCAGTGTTCTGTGATTGTTTTGTGCTGGCTATATCAAAGTTCCTGATACAGGAGAGGATACTGGGAAGTGGATCATGTAAGCAAGAAGGTAACATGGGTGTTCAGGATTGAAAGTACCTACAACAAAGCCAGGAAGGAGTGATAGAAAGAATTAAGTAGAGAGGTCAAGGTACAGAAATTCCCATGATGCCAAAGATACCTATGATAGGAATAACACATAAGAAGAAAATGGAAGATTGCCATCACTGATGTCAATGCTTAAATTTACACTTTTGGTGGTAAAATAGATAAATATAGATTAAGAAAATAACAATCAAAAAAATCCTGAATGTTGTCTAGGATTATGGCAAGAATTGAGGTTATAAGGAAAACCTGAAGGCAGGTATCAAAGAGTTTTAGGCACACATAAAATTGAACATGCCAGTTGATAGAAGACAATGGCAAGAAATGATGGGGGTGATGTTGTCAAATGTTGTTTAACCTCAAAGTGATATTTATCCTATTCCTGTAGTTTTTAATTTTAAAAGTATTTAAACAAAATTGGCAATGATACACACATTATTTTATGTCTGAGATTGAAAACTTTAGTAAAAAATTAAAGTTTGCTTTGTTTTGTGTGTTTATTAGTAGTAGCATTAATATTTTTATTATGTTTTGTCAAAACAGAATAAATATATTATGGTGAATATTATTTTAAGAATGACAACACTAAGAAGCTGAAATGTTGCTATTACTGCAAATGTTCATGAACACAGTGGCAAAATGTGAATCAAAAAGAGGTACTTTCCGAATGTTTAAGATATTTGGGAATACAAAAATGTTAGGTTGTCCTACACTATTTGATGTCTAGAGAGTACTGAGGTACAAAATAAACCTGATTTTCAAGTATCGATACATGAGTAGCAGTTCCTCATATTGCTCAGTCAACAGAAAATAAATCAATATGTTAGATCTTATAAAATTTATGCTATAGATTCAACATCTTTAGAGACTAATTTTAAAAAGTCTTCATGATGTATATATTTTTCTCTTTTAAAATCTGGAGAGACTGGGTGGTGGGGGTGAGGACTCTTTGTAGTACACTTCCTTAGATTTATTTTTCAGAAATAACAGTCTGAAGTCTTTTTATTCAACTAAGATGGCACCTGCAACCTCTTCCAGGGAGAAGCAATCCCTGCAATAAAACAACAAGTCTTCAAAGAAATATGTGTACCAAGGTAGAGCTAGAGGCTTATAACACACATGTTACACCTGTGTAGATAGCATGCCGTTTCAGAGTAGTTTGCAGTTTCCATTTCATGTATATTTTGAATTCAAACTGCTGACTAGTATTTTTGTCAGAAAGTGTATTTTTCCCAAATTTTGAAATTTGATTGCTTTTTCTAATTAAGCTGCACCTTTCATAAATGGTTTAAAAAAGAATTCTCTGTATGTGGCATCTAATCACTCAGTTCTGTTACTTACAGTGTCTTAGTTATAATTGAGAACAGCTTTGATATTCAAACTTAATGACTTTTACAGGATCAAGGACCCCCTTAATTATCTTTGGTATGGCTCAACATTGGTTTATCCTGCATGCCAACATTGGAATGATCAAGGTACTGCTTTCAATTTCTGAAACTATTGTTTCTCTCTGGATTATTTTTTAAAAAATTAAAATTGGGAGGTGTGTTTTGCTTATTTCTTTTCTCTTGTACCATTTATAACATCACAATAACAAACTCATAAGTAAAGCTTTCACTTTAGGCCCATGATAACAGTAATGTCCTAAATTAACTGGGGAATACCCTGGCTATTGCTATTTGTATGGTACAGGGTAGCTTTTGATGTTTATATGGTACAAGGTACGGATTGAGGATCTTTTTATTGGGTATGACTATACAATTGTTTTAGCATCGTTTTTTGAAGACTATCTCCATTCAATTGTCTTTACCCCTTTATCAAAAATTAATGGACAAATTAATTGTTTAATTTAATAATTAACTGATTAATTATACAATTAATATAAGTAATTCGTTTAATAACATACTGATTAATGATGCATGAGTCTATTTTTGGACTCTCTATTCCTCTCCACTTGTCTATGTTTATGCTCCAGTACTGTGGTTTTATAGTAAGTGTTAAAATTAGATGACATAAGCCCTTCAACACTGATCATCTTTTGGAAAGTCATTTACATTTCTACACAAATTTTAGAATCTGCTTGTCAATTTTTACAAAAACACCTTGTAGAAATTTGTTTGTGATTGTATTGAACATATAAATCAATTTAGGAATTTTTAAGAGCAAAAATAAGATTTTAACTTTCACCTAAACGTATGTTTCTGAAGAGTAAACTAAATATCTTAACAACTCGGATTAGACTTAGTTGGAGCATGGTTTATTGATTGATAAGTATTACTGATTCTTATTTAACATGCATTATGCACCAGACATTGTGTTGTTGGGTATATTACAAATAAAAATTGTTAAATGATGCACATTTAGATTGTTTTCATTTTTTGCTCTAATATGCAATGTAAACATGGACACTTTTATATAAGCATGTATAAGCTTAAATATTAAAATTTTGATAGAATTATTAGAAGTAGAATTGCTAGATGGAAGTTATGTGCATTTGAAATATAGGTAATAATTAAAATTACTCTAAAATTAATCTTTCCCAAACAGAAAATATTCCCATCGATCCTTACCCTTGAAACCACTTGTTATTTTCATTGTTTTATTTTTACCCTTTAAAGAACAAAATAACTATTTTATTTCTTATGACACAAATATTACTAAGAGATAATCATCTTCAAAGTATTTTTCTGCTAATATTTCTACATATTTATTTTTAGCCATTATCCTATTTTGTTATTTTCAATAATGCAGGAGTTTTTTGAATTTTATAATATCAATCTTTTCATGTTGCATAGTTTTTCATAGGTTATCGTATTTTTATTTGATATTTATTTTACTTCATTAATGCTTTATATATTTATAAAGGCAATTTTTTCGTGTTTTTGTATGTTTTGTTTTTTTATTTTTTGGCCTAGAAAAGCATTCTTCACTCTGTAAATAAAACACTCACACATTTCTCTAATATTTCCTTTAATGTATTAAATCACTATCACAATAATAAAGCACTGTTGCAAAAGATGTCAAATCTCAGTTACATTAAACACACATTTATTTTTCCTGCTCATGGGGCTGTAAATCAGCTGGTGTTCTGCTAGACTAAGCTGTGATTCATTGGTTTCATTCCAGGTTGTAGATTAGGTTCAAAGATGTTCTAGATTTTTTTTTATTCTGATGTCAGTGGCACTCCAGAGAAGTCCTTGCCATTGGTGGATGGCAGAAGCATAAAAACAAGCCAAAACTGCACAACCACATGTAAAGTTCCTACACACGTTTTACCTACTCATTTTGCACTAGGCAAATTGAGATGAGTGTTCCAGCCCAAATGAAAAAGGAGAGGTAACTGCATCCTCCCAGCGCTAAAAGCAGGGCAAGGACAGTAGGAAAGGAAAACTTACAATTATGTAATACAGCTGCCCACACACATTTCAAATTTTCACTTAGAATTCATTTTCATTTTGCACTTTATAGCTTTATTGTTATATATGATATTATGTAAGATCTATTTTATCAATAATATTTTGTATGTGTGTGTATACATATATATAAAATTTTATATATATTGAATTATTCCAACATGATCTATTGAGTCATGAACAACTGGATCTCTTATCTGCTTTTTTGAAATGGTTCAAAAATGTGATATGGTCAATATATGACCATTTCAAAAATCCACTTTTTTGAAAAGGTCATATATTGAAACCTCATATATGTTAATTCTAACCTCCCAGTAGGTTATTTGTCTATTATACCTACAAGAATGGTATTATATTCAATATAAATTTAGACTGGATGAAAAAGGTACCACTATATTTTTATTCTTTCCTCAAAATATTTATGGCTATTCTGAGTGTTTTTCTCTTTATAAGATGTAATGGTTAATTATATGTGTCGATTTGCCTAGCCTATATTACCCGTTTACTTAACCAAAGAAGAATCTCAGTGTTGTTATAAAGCTATTTGGCAGATGTAGTTAATATCTACAATTAATTGACTTTAAGTAAAGGGGATTATACTCAATAATGTAGGTGGGCCTCATTCAGTCAGTTGGAAGCTTGGGGAGCATAAACTGAGGTTTTCCAGAGACAGAAACATTCTACTTCAACACTGCAGCATCAAATTCTGCCCAAGTTTCCAATCTTAGAACAACTACTGATAAACTGGCTATGTAGAATCAGCTGTCAAGTTTCACATGACAAACCTGTTGGAAATAGCTTGGGAACTGCATTTAAATATAGACTAGTTTGGAGATAATTGACATCTTCACAATATAGAATTTTCTTGGAAAAGAAAATGGGATGATATCATTTGATTTACTTTATAGACTCAATAAAATTTTATGTATTTCTGGCCCAAACTGGTAATAGAAATAAACGAGCCTCTTTATAGTAGCACAAATGCTGTATCTATTAATTAACAAGCTTAACTGATGGTTGGTATGAAATTAAGATTCTTATTTTTCTGTATCTTTAGTTTGTATCCACCCATATTTTCAATTTTTCCAATTAAATTCCAGCTGCATATTTTGGATATTTTTAATAGAAAGACTATTATTAGGGAAGATGTCTCTTTTTTTTTCACTAAGAATATGTCCTTAGATTTAGAAGTAGCTGTCCAAGAATTACACTCTTGGACTTCCTCTGGCCTCACATTCACTTATTTACAGGGGAAAGAAAATGTGAATCACAAATAAGCCTTGTTCTCCTGGAATGAAAAAAAAAAGTATAGTGAGCATCTCCCCTTAATTGCATTTGACTATTTGTTAAATGGGATGTAGGCCCAGTCCATGAGGAAGCCTTGTGGTGGCATCCAGCATAACTTTTGATAAAGTGTGTCATTTGATTTCTGAATTTCTATTATAAGAAAGACATTTGTTGCAATTATAACCACCATTTTTCAGTACTGGAAGGTAATAGATTTCTTCCTTGTCTTGTATGCTTCTGTTTGTTTCTCAGTGTTTCCAGAACTCAGGCAGTGAGATGAGTTATTAATTGAATTCCCTAGGTATCCACTGAAATAGAAAGCATCTATAATTAATGATATTATTTCTCTTATTTGTTTCTTATCTTTTGCATTAAATATGATTACTAGTAATATTGTAAGAAGGAGCTAAAATAGGAGGCTGTTTTATCTGATCTTGGGATGACCTGATTTTAAATCACAGAAAGGTTATATTTGCTATAAGATTCTGGTAGCTTGCATTTATCAATTTTGAAATACTTTCAGTAAATCTTGCTTATAAAATTGTGATTATATTGTTATGAATGTAATATATTTGCTCTATGATATTAAGGTGATTTTCTTTAATATATTGAAACTTCATTAAACAGTAAATTGTGTGGCTGTGCACAGACGTATGTACATGCAAAAGCAAAACATTGCAATGAGCTCTCTGACTCAGACAAATTTGTTAATATGTATTGCTAGTTTGGCTGTCACTTCATAAATTAATTGTCTTTTTAGGTAGACTGTAAGGATGTAGAGGTTTTTTTAAAAAAAATCGCATTAAAAAAATTATTTTCTAGCACTATGTCTCACCTCCATGTTCCTCCTTTTTACTTACGTGTGTTTTTAAAAAATGAGTGCTGCTTTGAATGTAAGTAGTTAGTACTTCACATAAATGTTAGTCATTTTCTGTTTTGTAAGCATCCAGTCTAACACTGGCCACCTTTTTCCTCAAACACACCAACAGCTTCTGTCTTAGGATGTCTGCCCTTGCTTGATTCTGGCTGGAAAGCTCCTCCGTTAGACTGAAGCACAATTACTCCGTCAACCCCTTTAGGTCTTTTCTTAAATGTCGCCTTCACTGACTGTATTAGTCTGTTTTCATACTGCTATAAGTAACTGCCCAAGACTGGGTAATCTATAAGGGAAAGAGGTTTAATTGGCTCACCGTTTCACATGGCTGGGGAGGCCTCAGGAAACTTACAATCATGGCGGAAGGTGAAAGGGAAGCAAGGCACCTTCTTCACAAGGTGGCGGGAAGAAGTGCTGAGTGAAGGGGAAAGAGCCCCTTTTAAACCATCAAATCTCATGAGAACTCAAGATCACGAGAACAGCATGAGGGAAACCACCCCCATGATACAATTACCTCCACCTGGTTCTGCCCTTGGTATGTGGGGATTATAGAGATTACAATCTGAGGTGAGATTTGAGTGGGGCACAACTTCTCTCCTTCCCTGGTTTATTTTTCTCCTAATCTCCTATTATGCTGTAACCTATGCTGATTTTAGCTACAGATGTCATTTACTTTCTATCTCTCCAACTAGAAAACGAGATATCCATGAAGGCAAAAATTTTTATTTATTTACTTTTCTGCTGTTTTATTATCACAATGAACAAGAACTTAATGGCTAATTTCTTACATATTTATTGTTTAAATGAATGAATGGAGAAATCAATAAATCTAGTTTGGTAAGAATTCAATTATCTCTTTTTAATTTAGAAATTATTAAGTATGACTGAAAGCTATTAGTACCTGTTCAATATTCTACTCCATAGAAAAACAAAACAACAAAACAAAATAAGCAATAAAATTTTTTTTGTCATCTTGATCTGTCTTTTCATAATTTAGCGATGATTTTAGATATGTTATCTTCTCATTAAAAATTGCTTAGAGATTACTAAAAATAGGAATAAATAATTTATCCCTGTAGTGCCGCTGAAAGCATAGAATACCACGGACACAGAGCAAAATGTATATTTAAATGTAATACAAATTACAAATTTATATTTAAAATCTTTCCATTTACAAAGTTTTATGTACCTGCACAATGGACACTTACATACATATCTCTGCATAATATGTACAATTTGTGTGCGAGGAAGCAAATCTGTTCCCATGAACTGTATTTTCTAGCAGGAGATATAGACAATAAACAATAGAAATTATTAAAATAACATATAGGACCTATTTTTCTGGAACAAAAGTAATGCAAATCATACTAAATCATAGATTTATATTTTTCTCCAAAAAGTGGAACAAATTTAGCAACAATTTTTCTTTTAACTAAGATTGCATTAATTTTGTAACATATGACACTGTTTATTAGCATACTGTGAAACATTACCATAGATGATTATAATTAAACTACACTTATCAAAATAATGAATAAAGCACATTTTGTGGTACAGCAGTGTTGATGTTTTCATATTTATTTGTTCACTAACTAATCTGCCAAATTCAGTAGTCTCTAGTGAGTCTCTCAGTTATTAGTGTAAATTACTGAGGGTCTAGTATAATAATAAATAATAGCAATTCTGGGAAACAAAGCATTAGCAGTGTAATGTCTAAACATTTTTGTAGAAAATATAAATTAAGAACACAAGGAAACGTTTTTCATTCAATTAGAGTATGTTTCCAGAGGGTTATAAGGCAATTTAAAAGGCTGTATATAATGGATATATCAAAGCCCCTGGATTTTAATATTGTGAAAAAGTATTTAAGATATTTTAAAGGAGAGGATTGGTTACAGAATGCATCATCCAAAAGGGAGGACACAACATGAAAACATCTCTAAATCTAAGATGCTAAAATGTCTTTCATTAGTTCATCCACTTTCTTAACACTCTTAAACTGGAAACTATTGTGCCTAAATTCTAGTACACAGGTGTCATGACTACTGACAAAATCCAGACAGTGTATTAATAAATAAATGTTTTTTAAAAAATTTAACAAACGTCACTTAAGCACCTGCTATGTGCTCAGCACTCTTCTAGACCATGGTGGTACAATACTGAATAAAACAAAACAAATTATCTGCATGTGTGTAGTTGAAGAGAAAAGTAAGATAGATAACTAAAAGAATACACAACCTTGACTGATATAGTGTTAGATGGTGTCAAATATTAAAGAGATAAAGCACATAAGAGGATAGAAATAATACAGTGAAGCATTTGCTTCTCTGCCACGTTTGGTTGCAGCCTTATGATACAATAAGGCTGCTCAGCCTCGTGCCTTCATGTCTGTCTTCCAGCCAACAAGAAAAAGGAAAGAAGTAAGGGAGCCTGTCTAAATTTAAAGGTTTGTGGTGATAATTAAATTGTAAAAAATAAAATATAAAAACTTTGCTGAGCTCATGTGAGACATCTGCTTACATATCTTTGAGTTGAATGCCCATTGCATGACCTCCCCTGTCTTGAAAAGAGACTGGGAAATACACTCTTTATTCTAGGTATCTGTTTACACACAGAAAAATCAGGACTTTTATTAGTAAGGATCAAGGGAAGATACTGTGGGCACAGGAACTCTTGATACAGAGCATTAGGTATAAAAGAACCCCAAGTGGAAGAGACTCTTTTAAACATGGATCTTGAAACTAACTTGAAAATTAACCAGGTCAAGAATAGTTGAAGGGAAGTATAATTGAGACAAAGGAAAAAGCACATAGGCATGAGTGAGCTTGGTACATTTAATAAACTCTCAGACCTCCTTTGTGGTACAGATGTTTGACAATGCTCAATAATAAATTAGGGCTCAGAAAATATAGAAGAGCTGAATAAATAGATTTGAGAATTATCCGCATATAGTTAATTTTGAAATGATGAATGCAATGAAATTACCAACTAGAATATGTAGAGAAAGATAGGGGTCATATGTAAGTGTTGCCTAAAAAAGAGAAGAGTGTAGAAAAGAAAAAGAGAAATCTGAGAGGAAATAAAATAATTACTATATGGAAAAGTTAGTATTAGCATACTTAATATTAGAAGAATCGTTAAGTGTTGCCTAAAAAAGAGAAGAGTGTAAAAAAGAAAAAGAGAAATCTGAGAGGAAAGAAAATACTTATTATATGGAAAAGTTAGTATTAGCATACTTAATATTAGAAGAATCATCAGAGACACATAATACTAAGAAGAAAAACTTGATAAAGAAAATGAGAAGTAGAGCTAGGATGAACAATGGGATAATGCCATTGAATTTATCTTTGGGGCATTCACTAGTAACTTTTGAAACTTTATTTTCTAAAGAGTGTTCATTTAAAAATAGATTAGAAGGCATTAAACAGCAGATGTGGGGTGCAACTTAATGTTAATATTGGTCCACAGGTCAGCCTCTAGAATCAGACTTTTGTCAGAATTTCAGCAACAGCACCAACAGAAAGTCAAATTTTTGAATAAGAAATTAACTTCTCCTTGCCCCCATTTTCAACACGTAGATTAACTATAATAGTACCAATTTCAAAATTTGTAATGAAGATACAAGGGAATGATATATGTAAAAGTTTTTAGAATTATGCCAGGTTCAAAGTTGTAGGACAAATGCAATGTTGCAGATAAATGAATAAGAAAAAAATACAATAACGGATATTGAATTGATCTTTAAAGAAACAAGAGGTGATAACTTCAAGGGCATGATTAGATGGTGGATTTTGTAGAATATGATTAAGTAGTCTTTTTGTCTGCAATAAAGAGAAACTGAGAAGAGATAGAAACTTTAAAGCAGAAGGAAAAATAATTAATGGGGTTTACAATGAAATCTTTTTAAAGGCCAGCAAGACTTGTTCATTCAACAAACAAATATGTACTCTGCTCCAGGCACTAGGAAAGGCAATGTGAATACGAGGCACTTGATGCCTCTAGAAAGTAATGGAGTAGGATGAAGTTGAAGGCCTAGGGATTTCAAAAAAATATTTGGGAAACAGGTACTATGGGTAGAAGGTGAAATAAAGTGTGTAAAGATTAGGAGAAAGCTGCAGAAGGAAGAGAATGAATGTATACTGGGCACACGCAGTGTGATTTGATTACTTTAGTCTAATAGTTTAAAATTTCTCCTCTGTTTTTACAGAGACATTCAAATCAAGTTAGTGAGGGGAAAAAGGATAGATAGAGGGAGAGATAGAGAAAGAAAATGAAATTTAAACAAGTGAAAAACTCTACCAAAGACTTCATAATTTATTCCAGCCCCTGTCCTTAGTCTCAGTTCCTCATATTACATTTTGAAGGCTTTTTTGATCTGGAGAATAATGAGGACATTCGCTAACCCTTGGTATGAGAAAGGCCTTTGGGTATTTTAAGAATGTGCTATTCTACTTTATTATAATGATAGCTTTTTCTAACAGCAAGGGGCCTTGACTGTATAATTTCCCATGTCTTTCTGTGGGTGACCTCCTGTTCAGACCAAGTCAGCTCATTTCATATTATACTCAATGATGACTGGGAAACTCTTGCAGCTGGGAGGTTACTCCTTAATTATAGACAGTGTATTATTCTTTAGAAGTATGCAGTCAATTTTTGGAAAGATCTCTAATGGCTTTTTAACTTTCTTAGGTCCTTGGTCTCGTACACATAAATAAATGTGATTCTGAAGAATGCCGTTGTTTTTTATTGTCTTTAAAAATAACCATTATTCATTCTCTGATCAGGATTCCTTCGTTATGATGCTACATTTCAATATAGTGAATATGACTCAATAATTTCAGATAATTCTATAAACATGTATATGGGTCACATGTATTCAGGCTTTGAGTCATATTCACTGTATTGAAATGTAGCATCAAGAAGAGGGAACCCATTCACACACATATATGGGTGTGTGTGTATATATACACACCCATGCTTTTATAAAGGGATGCACTTTTTACATATCTAAAAATAACAAAACAATAAAGAAAACCACCACAGTGTGCTTAGCCCTAAGAATAAATGACTAGAAAGTAATCAAAAACTGATAAATCACTGGAGATAATGTGATGAAGGCTCTGACACTATATATCAAAACCACATGAATTTGTACTTATATGTTCATACTTTCTTCACAATATTTCTCATATACTTTCATTTCAATCACAATGACAGTTCTTGAGGTTAGGTCTTTTTGTGTCATGCCTAAATTGTTCAAACAACCCTCTAATGTAATCTCCAAGACTTTGATCTCTTCCCATAAACCGAGTCTTGAACATTACCACCAGATTTATATTATTGATACAATTTTGATATTATGTCACTATTTTGGATAGTGTTTTTCAATAATGCATTCATTAGTTTAATCATTTGTTCAGTCTGCCATTTGTGATACAGAACTAAGTCTTAGTGTTTGATACTAAGAATGAGAAGTGATTTCCTTCAAGGAATGTACAAGTTAGTAGCTTGATGCTTTTCTGAGAACACATCCAAATTGCTTCACTTATGTTTATGCAAGCCCCCATTACTTAAATTTTAGCACCAACATGCTTACTTAAACTGATCATCTGCATTTCAGAAAGTCTGCCCTACACTCTGCCTCCTAATTCTTTCTGGCATTTCTTTTTCCTTGAATTCCCCCACTCTATGTACTAAAATATTTACCTTTAAAAAAATAGCTCAGGCACCACTTTTGCATTTAAACTTACCCTGATCATATTATTTTGAATTATTTCAAAATAAAATAATGCCAATAATAATACATAGTTCATAATTAGAAGTGTTTAGCATGTATACAGCACTGTGCTAAAAGCTTTACTTGGGTTATCTTTTTAATACTTGAAACAACTGATTTATTAATTCAACAAATATGTATTGGACACTTATAATGTTCTATAAACTGACCTGAAGCTGGGATGCAACATAGACATTGTAATGAACCAGTCAAAAGGACAATTATGCTATGGAGCTTACCTTCCCAATTGAGGATGCAAGCAAATAAATAGGTAGATAATTGCAGGTAGTGATAAAACTCTGAGGAAAATAGAAAGACCAAACTTCTTTAGGAATATTTAATGTGACTGTTATGTTTGTGTTCTAAACTCCAAAGGAATGTGTGTGTGTGTGTGTGTGTGTGTGTGTGTGTGTACTTTCTTTTAACCTAAAAATATTTATTTGCATTTTTAATCATACTCATTGACTGTTTTTTTCTAGATTTAAAGTCCTTATGATGAGGATTCACATGCGGAATATTAGTCATCTGTGTTTTTGTTGCATTACCTACACTAGTATCCTGTACTAAACAAACCTTAACTAAAGGAATGTATCCAAGTTTTCATATTAAATGCCACAGTTTAGGGTTGTTTCTAATAAATGAAGACATATTTTTAAAATCACTGAATTAAAAAATAAATGTAATGAACTAAAGAAGTACTTTTCAAACATATGCCAAAAACTTAATTGATAATTTTATTATATTTTTTCTATTTACCATTGTAATACCAAGGAACAAAACTGAAAGACACGTGGAAACCACAATTGAGAATATTCAGTCACCAACATTTTTTATGTTTGAAATTTATCAATGATTCCATTTTGCTTTATAGCAGGTTTACTTGCTAAGAAATACATTGTGAACATTTTTCCATGGCCATAAGATCATGATCATGATTGAAAACATCCCATGACACAGAAAAACAAAACACATTTCTTCCATTTTTATTTGTCCTAGGCCTTGTGATATGGTTTGGCTATGTGTCCCCACCCAAATCTCATCTTAAATTCTACTCCCATAATACCCACATTATGGGAGAAACCCAGTGGGAGGCAATATGAATCATGGGGATGGTTTCCCCCATACTGTAGTAGTATATAAGTAGTATATTCACTTATAGTGAATATACTTACAGTAGTATATTCACTTATAGTGAATATACTTACAGTAGTATATTCACTTATAGTGAATATACTTACAGTAGTATATTCACTTATAGTGAATAAGTCTCACAAGATCTGATGGTTTTATCAGAGGCTTCCGCTTATGCATACTTCTCATTTTCTCTTGCCGCTGCCATGTAATAAGTGACTTTAACCTCCCGCCATGATTCTGAGGTCCCCCGAGACATGGGGAACTAGAAGTTCAATTAAATCTCTTTTTCTTCCCAGTCTCAAGTATGTCTTTATCAGACGCATGAAAATGGACTAATACAGTAAATTGGTACCAGTAGAGGGAGGTGCTGCTGAAAAGATACCTGAAAATGTGGAAGTGACTTTGGAAATGGAAACAGGCAGAGGTTGAAACAGTTTGGAGGACTCAGAAGAAGACAGGAAAATGTGAGAAAGTTTGGAAGTTCCTAGCGATTTGTTGAACGGCTTTTCCCAAAATGAGGATAGCAATATGGACAATAAGATCCAGGCTGAGGTGGTCTCAGATGGAGTTGAGGAACTTGTTGGGAACTGGAGCAAAGGTGACTCTTCTTATGTTTTAGCAAAGAGACTGGTGGCATTTTTCCCCTGCCCTAGAGACTTGTGGAATTTTGAACTTTAGAGAGATGATTTAGGATATCTGGCAGAAGAAATTTCTAAGCAGCAAAGCATTCAAGAGGCGACTTGCGTGTTGTTATAGGCATTCAATTTTATAAGGAAAGCAGAGCCTAAAATTTCAGAAAATTTGCAGCCTGACAATGTGATAGAAAAGAAAACCTCATTTTCTCTGGAGAAATTCAAGCCAGCTGTAGAAATTTGCATAAGTAACAAGTAGCCGAATGTTAATCCCTAAGACAATGGGGAAAATGTCTCCAGGGCATGTCAGAGGTCTTCATGATAGCCCCTCCCATCAC
Source organism: Homo sapiens (assembly GCF_000001405.40). NCBI lineage: Eukaryota > Metazoa > Chordata > Mammalia > Primates > Hominidae > Homo > Homo sapiens. Next base: position 31,705,145 of record NC_000004.12, on the reverse strand, counting down.
AGGCCCAGAGGCCCAGGAGAAAATGGTTTCATGGGCAGGGCCCAGGGTCCCTGTGCTGTGTGAAGTCTAGGGACTTGGGACCCTATGTCCCAGCCACTCCAGCCTTGACTAAAAGGGGCCAAAGTACAGCTCAGGCTGTTGCTTCAGAGGATGAAAGCCCCAGGCCTTGGCAGCTTCCATGTGATATTGAGTCTGTGGGTGCACAGAAGTCAAAAATTGAGGTTTGGGAACTTCTGCCTAGATTTCAGAAAATGTATTGAAACGCCTGGATGTCCAGGCAGAAGTTTGCTGCAGGAGCAGCACCCTCATGGAGAACCTCTGCTAGGGCAGTTCAGAAGGGAAATGTGGGGTCAGAGCCCCCACACAGAGTCCTACTGGGGCACTGCCTCGTGGAGCTGTGAGAAGAGGGTCACAGTCCTCAAGACCCCAGGATAGTAGATACACTGACAGCTTGCACCTTGCACCTGGTATAGCCACAGACACTCAACGCCAGTACATGAAAGCAACCAGGAGTCCGTGAAAGCAACCAGGAGTCCATGAAAACAACCCTGCAAAGCCATAGGGGCCAAGCTGCCCAAGACCATGGGAACCCACCTCTTGCATCAGCATGACCTGGATGTGAGACATGGAGTCAAAGGAGATCAATTTAGAGCTGTAAAATTTGACTGCCCTGCTGGATTTCAGACATGCATGGGCCCTGCAACCCCTTTGTTTGGGCCAATTTCTCCCCTTTGGAATGACTGTATTTACCTAGTGCCTGTACCTGCACTGTATCTAGGAAGTAACTAGCTTACTTTTGATTTTTTTAGGCTGATAGGTGGAAGGGATTTGCCTTGTCTCAGATGAGACTTTGGACTGTGGACTTCTGGGTTAATGCTGAAATGAGTTAAGACTTTGTGGTACTGTTGGGAAGGCATGATTGGTTTTGAACTGTGAAGATAGAGGGGCCAGGGTGTGTCCCCACCCAAATCTCAGCTTAAATATCACTCTCATAATTCCCATATGTTGTGGGAGGGACCAGGTGGGAGATAATTTGAATTGTGGGGGCTTCCCCCGTACTATTTTCCTGGTAGTGAATAAGCGTCACGAGATCTGATGGGTTTATCAGGGGTTTTTGCTTTTGCATCCTTGTTTTCTCTTTCTGCTGCCATGTAAGAAGTGCCTTTTGCCTTCAGCCATGATTCTGAGGCCTCCCCAGCCATGTGGAACTGTAAGTCCAATTAAACCTCTTTTTCTTCCCAGTCTCGGGTATGTCTTTATCAGTAGTGTGAAAATGAACTAATACAAACTATATATTTGTAGCAAAAACTAAAATAGTGGTAAGTCTTCCACTTCCACTTCCATAGTCAATGTATGTGTGTCAAAATTTTAAAAGATAAATGGAGATTTTAAACAATTCATCATCAAGTAATGAGGAAAATTATTGAAATTCAATGCACATAAACTAAAGCACATTTTGTTACCACTAGAATGTACTCACATGAAGCTAAATTTAGATTTTAGTGTACACATTCATATTTACTCTCCACCTTCAGTAATACATGATTATGATTTAGCTTATAAAAATTATATTTGCTTAGCCACTTGCTGCTTCATTATTAAGATTTGCATGGAAATAGATTATAAACAAATTTTATTCATTAAAGTAAGTAAAAGTCTTCAATAATTTTCAAAGCAATTCAGGTTTTGTCTTCTCTCTCTCACTATTCTTTTTCTCCTATCTCTTCTAGTTAACTAGCAGTTTCCTAAGCATGAATTATCTTGATGTGCGAATGTCTATACTCACACTTGCTTTGTAAATTGTAAGTACATAGCAACAATATATTGAAATTAGAGATGCTGCAGTTGTATTCTTAAATTTAAATACCAGTGTTGTCGTTTAAAATGCAAGGCTCTTCTATTGTAATGTTTTAAAGGAATATAGCTGTTGGGCAGTGAGTTCAGAGTTTTAATGTTTCTTTATTTTTATTTATTTATTTATTGAGACAGAGTTTCACTCTGTCATCCAGGCTGGAGTGTAGTGGCACAATCTCGGCTCACTGCCACCTCCACCTCCCAAGTTAAAGCCATTCTTATGCCTCAACCTCCCCAGTATCTGGGATTACAGGTGTGTGCCACCACAGCCGTCTAATTTTTGTAATTTTGGTAAAGCTGGGGTTTCTCCATGTTGGCTAGGCAGGTCTCAAACTCCTGGCCTCAAATGATCCACTGGCCTCAGCCTCCCAAAGTGCTGGGATTACAGGCATGAGCCACCAAGCGCAGCCTAATGTTATTTTAATAACAGTCCTGCAGATACATAAAGGAAATTTCTTCCAACATTGGAAAAAAAATCATGATTTATTGTGTTCTCTTAAATTGTTGCATGGGTTATCATTCCTTTGTTTTTACTATTTAGTCTTTGTGACATTTTAAATTTTCAATCTGACTCTTCTAAATGATTTCTGAATGCACATACATAAGAATATCATAAAACATACCATTATGCTTTTTCTCCCTCCATACATAGATGGATATGTAGTTATCGTTATCTCCTGATTTCATAGTTACTTAATATTAAACTTGCCAGAGCACACAAATCTTCATGTCTGCAAGATCTGGCAAAAGATTTGAGTTCTCTGTGGTAATCATAGAAAGAATTCAAAGCACTAAGTTGGTTTTGCTGTGCTGTTTCTAATTTCTTTGACTTTGGAAATAGTGGGAGGAGATTATGAAATAATTTTATTTTAAAAAGTCAGACAGAAAAATGTTCCCGTTTTTTATGGCAAATGTTGAAGAAGCAATTCAAATACATTCAGTACATTCAAGATCCTCCACTTAAAATATTTTCTACGCAAAGAAAATGTTATCTGATATTCACAACAAATAAGCAGATCACTGGGGAAGAGCAAACAGGAGCAGCAGCAACAACAATAAGAATGGCCATTTATCGATGACTGACTCTTATCAGGCACTATGTTAAGAATTTTAAGGACATGTTTTAATTAATTCTTAACCATGAAGCAGCCATGGTTTTCTCTATTTTACAGATGAGACAATCATGGCTCAAGAAAAGTTAGATAGCTTGTCAAGTTCCACACAGCTAAGAGGTAAGTCCACACCTAATACTGAAACAGGAAAAATTTCCTTGTCCCCCTCGCAGGCCGTGTGTCAGGGGTGTGGCTCGCTTCTTCAGTTCCTGACTCTCAAAACCCCTAGGGAGAGTAGGCAGATGGGCACGTCCTGGGGAGCGTGGGCTCCGACCCCACGGCAGCGTCTAGGGGTGAATGTTTTTGCAGCTCCTGAAGCCCCAGTGGGTATGTGTTACAGTGTGCTCTTTTAGTTTTGCCATCTGTAGGTGGCTTGTGTTTATCCACTCAATTAGACCTTCTGCCTTATTGCAAGGACAGAGGGCTTTCTGTCCTGGGTTCTTGCCTTGGTGTATGGGAAAAATGAGATCACACATGGGCTTGGAGAATGAGTGCAAGTAAGGTGGAGGTAGCTCTCAGCAGATGGATGGGGAGCTGGGAAGGGAGTGGGAAGGTGGTTTTCCCCTGGAGTCCTGCCGCTTAGCGGCAGGACTCTCTTCCAGCCGCCCCGGGGAAACCACGTCATTCTGCTGGTTGATGGCCTGCCAGTGTCTGGCTGTGCCTGTCGGTGTGCTCCTATGCCCGTGCCTTCCTCTCGACGTCCAGCCCTCGTGTGCACGCCTGCTGCGGTCTCGGGGTTTTTATAGGTACAAGATGGGGGTGTGGTGGGCCAGGGTGGTCTTGGAAAATGCAGTCGTTGGGCAGGAAACCAGAAAGGCCTTTCTTCACCTAGGTCCATGCGCACAGGCCCGGGGGGTGGAGTTCTAGCCACAGACCACACCCTTCCCTTCCCAGCACTTCCCTGCCCCCCTCCCATATCAATAGCTAAACCTGTATGTTAAAAACTGAGCACACTCACTTATATATACTTCCAGCAACTGTACCCTTCCTTCCAATTTCTAGCTGCCTTATACTTTTCCCATTTGTGGAATTTCTGATTTCGATATCCAACTACGTCTCAGGTATATTACCCATGTAATTGAACTGGATATTACGTTTTAGTGGAACACGTTCTCTCATGTCAATCAAATGACTCTTTAGGTTTTGCGGATCCTCACCATGCTTGTCTTTGGTTTTAATTCAGAGTGGCCCCGTCATCAGGGCACTACCCCTCATTGCTGTATTCTGACTTTTGCTTTTCCTCAGAACCCTCTCCGGCTCCAAAAATCAGCCCTTCGTTAGCCTTACCTACTTGACTTCTGAGATGAGATGGTTTCTGCTTTGATTACAAATAGTTCCAAATCATTAACCCGCTCCTCCCAGTCAATGTGTCTATTCTACATTATGTTCCTGTTATATATAAACACAAAGCAGGACAAGCTTCCATTTCTGAACTTTCCTTTATTTGTGCAAAGTTTTTGAAAGTGTTTATTTAGTATTCTACTATCAAGCATTTATGGTCAGGAAAAAATGTCTACCATTTACTGTGTAACTTCTTTTCTCAAATTTTTATGAATAAGCTGAATGTTATCTTTCTTTATATCTTCTCTAGTACAAAACCTTGCATCTTTTTTGTTCACTCCCCAGAGAAACCCCACTTTGAAGAAGAGAATATTTATTTGGTTAATTAATTCTGTTGATTTATTTGGTACATAGAATGATGTATTCCATAACTTCAAGTGGTTGAGAGTTCAAAGGGTAAATTAGACACATTACACAAATGCAGTATAGGGAGGTTACTAGAGATAAATCCTAAACACTAGGGGAAAACCATGGGTGAATAAGCTTAAAGCTTAGAAGAGAAGGAAATGATACTGAAGCAATATCCAAATAAGATGTACGATTGAGAGTATGGATTCTGTTACATAGTAGCTCTGTTGCCTTCGTACTTCCTTTGTTCTTTGTTTTGTTCTTTGCCTGTTTCCTCAGCTATAAAACTGTGCTAGCAATTGACCCTATCTTATAGTATCGTCCTTGATAAACTTTAGCTATAATGATGAGGACTATTATTCAAGAAAGACAAAACTCCATATGCATAAGAATCCTTTCAGGGAAAACACAGGTATAAAGTTTGTAATGCACCCACGAAAATAGGAATTAACTCTGGTTGGCAAGAGTTTGAAAAAGAATAAAAAGAGATGAAACCAGAAAGATAAGCAAGAACCAACTAAATCAGTTTTCCACCACAACAAAAATGTGATGTAAAAAACTATTAGTTTCCACCATAATTTGTATCTCTTTTAAGATAATCAGTAGAGATATATTTGGAAAATGAATTTTTTTTCCTTGTGGTGGTTGAATTACTTGCGGGAAATCATAATAAGCTGGGATTTGGGAAACGTGCTTTTGAGGGCCTATCATGAGACAAATAAGCTTTATCTGCTTGTATTTTATTATCCATGCATTCAGAGAAGTTTGGTTCAAGGTCTAATCCAATTTAATATTCCAAGATTCCATGACATTAATGTACTCACCTAGTTAAAATGCCATGCACATTTTTATCAGTTGGTTTTGAACTTGAAGCAAGTAGTTGAAAGCACATCTGATTGACATTTCCCTTCTCTGATAGAAAACTCACTTAGACTGATTAACAGACATAAAAATAAATCATAGTGAATTGAGACTTGAGATGATGTATCCATTGAAACCAGTGATCGTTTTGCAGTTGCTATACAAGATGACTCTCATTATCATTTTAACCTGCTTAAATATTTTATCCAAGAAATATTTTACAAATAGTGTCTTATTTTTTTTAAAAAAGCACATCATGGTTTATTTTTGAATCCCTGAAACAGAGGAATCGATCCTGCTGTGCTTGCACATGTATTCATATGTAACAAACCTGCACGTTGTGCACATGTACCCTAAAACTTAAAGTATAATTAAAAAAAAGAATATAAATAAAATATTTCTAAGTGGCCCCTTCTGATAAAAAAAAAGTCGCAAAACATTTTTTTTTTAATCTTTCCTCAAACTGTAGTAGAAATCAAGGGTCCCTTCCTCATTAAAGACTTTGGCCCTTCAACTTGAAATTATCTGCTTCAAATTATAGTAAAAGTTTCTTGAGGGACATTTTACCTTTGGACCTTGAAAAAATATTTTGCTAGAGTGGGAGTGTGAAAGTGAAACAGCCTGGGAGAGAGAGAGAACAAAAATTAGTAAACTATGGAACTAAATAAAATAAATTAATTTTACCCTCATAATGTAATACATAGTAGGCTTGCAAATATTTAGTAAATGAATGCATTTTGATGATTTTAGATATATTTGCCAAATGTTATTATTTGTCCACAGATAATAGTGGGAATTTCTAATTAAATTCCATATTGACCTAAAAAAATCCCCTCACATAGTTGCCTAAACAATTTTTTAACAAAACAGCTGTTGGAAGTTTGTTTCTATCACTCGTTTATAAAATTTTAAAACATGGCCCACTGCAAAGACACAAACTAGATTGTGACTAGCAGGAAGCAATAAAACACATATTAAGAAGTATCAGAATTATGAAGGGAGTGTGTGTTTTCTACAGGACATATTACCAATATCTTTAAGAATGGAATATTGGCTTAGTAGAATATTGAACTTAGAGATTGAAACTTTGGGAACATTTCCTATTAGTCTTCAGTAAGGTATGGTATAATGTATCACAAGGGACCAGGGATCATAAGCTGATTTTCACCACCTGTATTCCTTTTTCCCTTTGTCCTTCACTGAATCTTAAGCTTCTTTTTTCTACCTCTGAAGTACCCCTTAGGGACTAGTTAAACCAAGATAGAACATTCACTTGCTACCGCTTCAGTCCTTGAGAAGAATGTGACAGGGTTAAGAAAGAGAGACAAAAAAGAGGAAAATTTAAAAAAAAAAGAAAAATCCAAATTTAAAAAAGAAAATCATAGGCTATTATCAATATAAACTTCAGCATGCATGATTTGAAAGCTAAGTGTGCAAATAAGTCAGCCATTAGAAAAGCGTGTTAGATTTATCATGTACATTTTTAATGTTATCATTAATTTGGAAAATGCTTCACAGGGTATGTGATCAATTTCCTTTTATATTCATTTCTTTTTAGCAAAACCTCTCTGAGATGATGTCAACAAAATCTCAGTGTTAGAGATATGGATGCTGCAGTGCAAAGAGTGACTGCTGGTCATGAATAAAAGTAAACCAAGTACCCTCTTCCAATTGATAATCAAAAGAATCTTAGTTGCATTTAGAATTTGTTCTGTGTCAATGTAATTATTACACAAAAAGAAAGGTAAGACAAAGTTGCTTAAGAGAATTCTCCAAGGTTATTTCACTGCTCTCCTGCTTTTGTCTGCTCCAGAGGCAGCAGAACCTTGACTTTAATATCATGTGGCGTCCACCCCATCCAGGTTGAAATAGATAGTTAGCTAGGTAGATACAATGCTAAGTTGTAAGGCTTTTTTTTTTTCCCTTTTCCTATTCAGAACTTTCAAAGACTGCTAAAGGAATGACTGGACTGACATTTCTAAGAGGAACTATGTCAAGCTAAGTTCAAATACTTTTTGTATACACAAAATATCAAGGTGCTAATTTCAGACACTGATTTTTCTCTCACAAAGTATTTAGGGATAACTGTCACAACTAAGGAAATAGTTCAGATCAAGTTGATATTATTTTCCTTGTTTTCCAGATCTTATGGCCTGATTTTTTATGAGCTTATTGCTTCAGCACTCCAATGACCCTATTTTAGTTTTGTTTATACACTTATTCAAATAATAGTTAATAACAGAGCATTTATTGATTCCTAAGAAATGCTTAATTTCCTCCAAAATGGTATAGTCATGCCTGAATCTCCAATACTTTCTTTCTAATTGGAGAACTCAGTAAATTTGTGTTTGTTTTAGTGGTTCTATTCTGTAAGCACCAGCAATCCTCTGTGCAGGAGACATAATTTTAAAACCTCTTTGGTGATAATTCACAATTTAACATTTTAGGGTTAATGTTTAAGTTCTGCTGTAGCTATTACAGGGAGACTTATAGGAGAACATGTTAGTATTGTTCCTCTTGAAAAGGGAAAACACATTCTTTGGAATAAAATAAAATGAGAAAATCTTAAAGTGGAGACTCAGTTGCACATGCCTGGCAATTATATTTCTTTCAGGTTTTTGATCTCTAGATTCTTGACTGTCTATAGCACTAGATACCAAAGACAACAGACAAAAAGGAATCCTATTTTTTTTAAAATATATTAAGTGATGAGCTTCTGGGTTCTAAATTCCAATCCTGTCACTTTTCACCATGTGTGAGCTTGAACAAATAATCTAATATTTCTAAGTCTGCTAGAAATCTACTAAAACAGAAGGAAAAAAATTAGGAAATATGAAAAGAAAGTTAAGTAATTGAGAATATGTAGAAAATAAAACAAACTAAGAAATAAAAAGTGCTAGAATAATATTTATCTGATGTGATGGGAAAACTGAGGTTTCAGACTTAATGAATTCATTGTTTGAGAATAGAATATTAATGATAAAATAGTCTTATAAGTTACAAAATGATGAAATGATGAAAACTTCCAAAGAAAGGGTAAAACCTATATGTAAAAAAATAAACCTTCCAACAGAATTTTTAATTGCACTATCTGATTAAAAATAACAGAGGAATGCCTTCAAATTTAGACCAAATATAGACAAAATTTAAGAATTTTATACCCAGCTTTCTATTTTAAGTATGTTATTAAATGATGAATTTTAAAGTTAAAAGTGTAGCTCTATAAATTTCACACATTTCAAAGATCTATTTATCTCATAGAACTGCCAAACATTCTAGCAATCCCATTTCTGGGTATATATGCAAAGGAAACAAAATCAGTATCTCCAGGAGATATCTACACCATATGTTTATTGCAGCATTATTCACAATAGCCAACATGGTCCAACATAAGTATCTCTGGACAGATAAATGGATAAACAGATATGAGATGTACACACACATTCACACAATGAAATATTATTCAGCCATAAAAAGAAGTACATCTTGCCCTCTGTGACAACAGAGACAAACCCTGGTAAGTGAAAAAAGCCAAACATGGATAGAGAGATATTTTAGGAACATATTATCATCTAAACTTAAAGTCATAGAAGAAGAGAGTAGAATAGCAGTTACTAGATAATGAGGGTTAAGAGAAATGGGGAGATGTTGAACAAAGAGTGCAAACCTCCTGTTATAACAGGAATTGTTGGGGGATCTAATGTTCAGCATGGTGACTGTAGTTCTTAATATTGTATTGTTTACTTGAAATTTGCTAGAAGAATAGATTGTTAGTGTCCTTAACATGCACACACACACACACACACACACACACACACACACACATTAACTATATGTGGGTGATAGAGGTGTTAATTAATTCCACTGTGATCATTTTTACAATATACACATCTATCAAATAATCATGTTGCATATTTTGCATATATACAATTTTTCTTTGTCAATTTTACCTCAATAAAGCTAGAAAAAATGTTTGTCTAGCTCATAATTAATGAAAAAGCCAGTAAAATGTAAAAACTGGCTCAAAGAGAATGCAAAAAGCAGATACATTTTTGGGCAATTAGGAAAGTCAAATAAATATGTTTATAAATGCAAAACTAGATGTTTTAAAAAAGGGAGGTTATCAATTGCACCTCTAACAGACAAATTCATTTGTATTTCTGTGGAAGAGAATAAATTACATTACTATTCATTTTCAACATCTTAGAGAGTAATAAAATAAGTCAAAGACAATGAAAGGCAGAGACTCCATACAATAATGTAACCCAGAATAGGTTATAGTTTTTCAATGAAAAGATACTTTTTAGTCTATTTCAAAGTATTTTACAGAGTTTAAATGACATGACATTTTTGTACATTTAAATACTGCGAATATTTTCTATGCGCATTTTTTGAAATACAACCAGTATAAAAGCAAAATATACAGAATGAAAGTGGAATTTTATACACAGATCTGATTTATGGCTTACTTAATATATTGTTTTGATAAGACAGAAGGAAATATCACAAATATGGTTTTCTCCCACAAGACTTTCTCCTACTTCATTTCTAGTAATGGCACCTCTATTGGCCTTTAGGGAAAATGTGTCTCTCAATAGTAGACAATGTTTTGATCATGGAATTAATAAATTTAGGCTTTGATTTAGTGTGTTAATTAGAAAAATGCAGTAAGTGAATACAGGAAATGAATACATTAGGTAAAATTAGACAATGTAATACTCATCTAGCAGAGGGAAAAAATAAGTCACAATGGTTGATAGAATATAAGTCATGGAGAAGATGAAAACAAGCAAAAAATAGTATGCAAAACAGAAATAATCCCAAATATAATAGAAACTAAAATATATGTACAAGCATACCTCAGAAAATTGTAGGTTCAGTTTCAGACCATAATAAAGCAAGAATGAAGCACATGAATTTGGGGGTTTGCATTGCATATAAAAGGCTTATTCTATACTGTTTATACTATACTGTAGTCCATTAAGTGTGCAATGGCATTATGTCCAAAAAAGTACCTATTTTACTTCAAAAAGACTTTGTTGCTAAAAACAGCTAATAGTTTTCTGAGATTTCAGTGAGTAATAATCTTTTTGCTGGTGGAGGGCCTTGCCTTGATGTTGGTGGCTGCTAACTGATCAGGGTGGTGGTTGCTGGAAGTTGAGGTGGCTGTGGCAATTTCTTAAAATAAGACAACAATATACTTTGCCCCATTATTTAACTCCTCCTTTCAGGAAAGATTTTTCTCTAGCATGTGATGTTGCTTGATAGCATTTTACCCACTAGAACGTCTTCCAAATTTGGAATTAATCCTCTCAAACACTGCAAATGCTTTATAAATTAAGTTTTCATGTGATATTCTAAATCCTCTGTTGTCATTTGTTGTCATTTCGACAATGTTCATAGTATTTTCACCAGGTGTAGATTATGTCTCAAGAAACCACTTTCTTTGCTCATCCATAAGAATCGACTCTTCATCTGTTCAAGTTTTATCATGAGATTGCAGCAATTCAGACACATCTTCCGACTCCACTTCTAATTCTAGCCTCTTGCTATTTTCACCTGCCATTTCCCTCTGTATTTATTTCCTCCATGAAGTCTTGAACCCCTCAAAGTCATCCATGAAGGTTGGAATCAACTTCTTCCAACTTCTGGTAATGATATTTTGACCTCCTTCCATGAATCATAAATTTACATAATGACATCTAGAATGATGACTTATTTTCAGAAGGTTTTCAGTTTACTTTGCCCAGATCCACCAGAGGAACCACTATCTATGACAGCCATAAACTTACAAAATGTATTTCTTAACTAATAAGACTTGAAAGTTGAAATTATCCCCTGATCTATGGGGTAAAAAATGGATATTGTGTTCAGAAGTATGAAAACAACATGAATCTCCTCATACATCTCCATGAGAGCTCTTGGGTGACCAGGTACATTGTTAATGAGCAGTACTATTTTGAATGGAATCTTTTTCTTCTGAGCAGTAAGTCTCAAAAGTGGGCTTAAAATATTCAGTAAACCGTGCTGTAAACAGATGTACTGTCATCCAGGTTTTGATATTCTATGCCAGAGCACTGGCAGAATAGATTTAGCATCATTCTTAAGGATCCAAGGATTTTTGGAATGGTAAATGAACATAAGCTTCCACTTAAAGTCACCAGTTGAATTAACCCCTAACAAAAGAATGAGCCTGTCCTTTGAAGTTTTGAAGCCACGGCCATGTATTGACTTTTCCCCTCCAGCCCTCAAAGTTACAGATGACATCTTCTTTCTTTTCTTTTCTTTTTTTTTTTAAGATGGAGTTTCACTCTTGTTGCCCAGGCTGGAGTGCAATGGTGCTATCTTGGCTCACCACAGCCTCCGACTCCTGGGTTCAAGTGATTCTCCTGCCACAGCCTCCCGAGTAGCTGGAATTACAAGCATACACCACCACACCGGGCTAATTTTGTATTTTTAGTAGAGACGAGGTTTCTCCATATTGGTCAGGCTGGTCTCAAATTCCCGACCTTGCCCGCCTTGGCCTCTGGAAGTGCTGGGATTACAGGCATGAGCCACCGCAGATGGCATATTCTTTCCATAAAAAGGTGGTTTTGTCTACATTGAAAATTTGTTGTTTAATGTAGCTACCTTCATCAATGATCTTAGCTAGATCTTCTGGATAACTTGCTGCAGTTTCTATATCAGCACTTGCTGATTCACCTTGTACTTTCATGTTACAGAGAGCTTCTTTTCTTAATCCTCATGACCCAACCTCTGTTTGAATTTTCTTCAAGAACATTTCCTTTGCATTCACAGCTTGGCTATTTGGCACAAGAGACCTAACTTTCGGCCTATCTTGGCTTTTGGCATGCTTTCCCCACTAAGCATAATCATGTCCAGCGTTTGATTTAGTGTGAGACAGATGCAATGCTTCCTTTCACTTGAACATTTAGAGGCCATTGTAAGGTTATTAATTGGCCTGATTTCAATTTTGTGTCTCAGGAATAGGGAGACCAGAGAAGAGGGAGAGAGATGGGGCAATGCCCGGTAGGTGGAGCACTCAGAACACACTCAGTGTTTATTGTTTCAGTTCAGTTTTATGTGGGCATAGTTTTTGGCACCCCAAAACAATTATGGTAATGAAATCAAAGTTCAATAATCACAGAAAACCATAACAGACATAATAATGAGGAAAATGTTCAAAGTATTTTGACAGTTAGAAAATATGACACAGAGACACGAAGTAAGTATGTTCTGTTGGAAAAATGGTGCCAATAGACTTTCCTGATACAGAGTTGTCACAGATCTTCACTTTGTAAAACACACAATATTTCCGAAATGCTATAAAGCAAAGTATAATATAAAAAGATATGCCTGTGCTTAGATTATACTTTTTTCTTTTTAAAAAGTGGTTCTAGATTAGACTATAGAAAAAAGCAAAATAATTATATGCTGTTACAAAAAAACCTAAAATATAATGGCACATAAAGTTTGAAAATAAAGAGGATAGAGTACATAAACTATAATTATATAGAATACATATAATATTCTACCTATAATATAGAATACATATAATTATACAAATATATATAATATAATTCAGTCATATAACAGATTATATTATACAATCTGCAAAAAGTAATGGGTCAACTTTGTAATACTGGGATACAAAAGGGTTTCTGTTATATACTGTTAAGTAAAAATCTCGAGGTATAGCACAGTCTATATAGTATGGTATCATTTGTGTTAAAAAATTAATGTGTATTTGTTTGCATATGTGTACTTATATACACATAGACTATCCTAGAATGATGGATAGGAAACTGACAACACTGGCTACCCCTGGAGAAGAAACTGTGTGGTTGAAGTTAGGAGTGAAAAAGAGAAGTACTAACAATTTGCAATTTTTAATTTTTATGTCTTGTACATGCAGTCAATACATTTTAAAATTTACAGTATTTTATGAGTCAACAAAAAAGTGCAAGAATGGCCAAAGGAATATGAGACAAATTGGTAAAGCAGAATGACTAAGAAGAAACAAAGAGAGGGATTTTTTTAAGGTAAAGGAAAGAATTCAAGGGAAAGATATTTTAGGCTTGAACCAAAGTAAATCTAACAAAATAGTCTAAATATATAAAACAGTTAAGTATATTAAGAGAAAATGTTTTAAAATACACAATTATAGGATATAATTTGTGGCAAATCCACCCTTCAATTTGCCTAGACATAAAAAAATGGAGATACCATTGACACACATATCTAATATAACTGAAAACACTATTAGCACTACTTCAAAATATACACAGAGTACAATCATTTCTCAACATTGTCCTACTATTTCCTGGATTCAAGCCACCATCATCTCTCAACTGAATGACTGCAACAGCCTTCTAAATGATTTCCATGAAAGCTGAGACTTATCTTTTCACATTAAAATCAGTTCATTGTGTTTGTCTCCTCCAAATTCTGCAATAGTTCTGCATTCCAGACAGGTATAGCCTTGGTAGTTCATCATAAGAATTTTGGCATTTTCTGATGGATTGTACATGTGTACTACAAAAGATTTCAAGCTTTTTGGGCATGAGCAATTGAAAGAATAGATTTTCTACCAGTATCCTCCTTATGACACATTGAAGTTTCTCAGTGAATAGTAATTAAATGTACTGAAGAATGACTGAGTAAATAAATCTTCTGATATGCTTTTCTTAGAAATAGAAAGACCAGGCAACTTAAAAGATACAAGATATAGTAAACATTCATAATGCTAGCACTAAAACTGATGTAACAGACATACAGAGTAACATTATTCCCCAAATTAGTGCATATTCTTTTCAAAAATATATAAAACTTTTGCAAGAAATAGTAGCATAATAATCCTTGAAGGAAGTAGTAAATATATTCCAAATAATCAATATCAAATATGCCACATTCTATGACAATAGTGCAGTAAATTTGATTTTAAAATGTCTTATTCCTTCAAGAAATAAGACATTCCACTCAGAAATAAACTAACATCTACCTAATTTATAGATAAAAAAGAAATAATGTTATAACACAATTATAAAATAAATTGCTAAATTTTGATACGAATAACAAATGCTAGTATTAAAAGTTATAAGATATACCCAAAAGACTTCTTAAAGATAATTATATACACATATATTATTTACATTATTTTTTAAAAAGCTACCAGAAATATAAACTAGAACTAGAGATTAGAAACTAAATACAGTAAAAGAAAGTAAAATATAAAAATAAGAATGAATTTAATAAAAGTCATACATTTAATGAATATCTCATTCTGAAAAAAGATGAATAAAATGAACAAATGTCTGACAAACTCATCTCAAACAAAACTGAGAATACAAATGCACACATATGTGCATTATTAGAAAAGACAAAATGCAAACAGTGCAAGATAAAACATAAGCTTTTAAATATCATAAAACAACACTATGATGAAAATGCATGGCAAAATAAAGCTTAAATGAAACATACAGTTTTTTTTAACAAAAAGTAGTAATTTTGTCTCAAGAAGGAATATTAAATCTGAATTATCAATATTCATTTGAATAGCAGAAACAGTAGAAATTTGCCCACACAAACTTAGTGTTTCAGGTTATGTTAATGGCAAAATGTATCAAACCTTTAAGCAAATGATGAGTCCTCTGTTATAAACACACGAAACCGTTTTACGATACTATTAACACTTTTTTACCAAAATGGGACAAGGACTGTTTAAGAAAAAAAATTATTAGCCAATTTCTCCTATGAACATTTCATGAAAAATTATTAAATTATTAACAAACTTTACTTAGCAATGTCTATTAAAAATAAGAATATGTCAAAACCAAAAAATATGAGTAAAATATATTTTATGTTTATGGTTATAAAAGAAGAGCTGAGTTAATGTTGATAATTTATTGTGTTTATTAACTATCATAAATAAATTTCTCCCTAATTAGTTATATAATAATTGTATAAATTCAAAGTAATTTTAATTGAAATCTAGTCAGTGATGTGTCCTAAATATTAAAACAAAAATATTATCTAGAATTATAAAAATAGCTCAAAACAGTGAAGAAAATGCTTTAAGAAGAAGAAACAAAGATGAAGAAAACAACCTACTTAATATCAAGATAAGTTTATCAAAATCTAAGTAATGTAGTTAATGAAATATTTTCTATAAAAGCAATAATATAAATGAAATGACCACAAAAAAATAAGGAATAGACAAATAAATTGTGATATTTGTACCAGTAAGGATAAGGCAGCCAACATGGCTGAATGAAATCTACATTCAAAATGTGGATACGTTTATAAAGGTAAATTGAAAGTGATAAATATATTACAATTTATGTAAACGTTTGAAACACAGAGAAGTACTAGTATTTATGGATACGCACGTTTACTTTTTAAAACATACATGAGAAAGATATAAAGTTACCAGAACAATACTGACATTTAGGCAAGAAGAGAAATAAATGAGACCATGAAGGTGGGGTGGGAGTGGGGACATCAAATGCATAATTAAAATGCTATTTTTTTAAAAAATGAAACAAGTAGAGCCATAAGTTAATTTTTAAAATATAGATGTTGGGTGCCTAGATGTGTATTTATTGTTCTACTCCAGTTTTCTATAGGATTGAAATAGTTCATAATTAAAAACAAAACTGATTTTAAGTAAAGAATTAAACTTTTGATAAGTTATATGTACAAAGAAACAGGTTTTAATGCCTGTTGCATTTCCTTTCTGAAAATTTATGGAAAGTCTCTTAATTTAGCTCCTATTTCTCCAACTGAGAGGAGGATCATACTGTCCAAGACTTCAAAAAAAAGAAAAGTTACAGGAATCAAAGAATCACATGAAATAACATATGTAGAGGTTTTTGTAACATGTATTTATCACAGTCCCAGATGTCAATTGCCATTATTATTCTGTTGTAAATAAAATTACTACAAGCAATATTTTATTGTATTTTTTAATCATTGCCAAGTTACTTAGAGATTAGATTCTAGCATAGGTGGAAACTGAAAAATCTGACATTCCGTGCAGTATATCTCTGGGATCATGGCCTATGTTTGTACATATTTTAGAAATGGAGATGGAGTTGGAGTTTTATAATTAATCTTCTAATATTAGTTCTGAATGTACTCAAGATTTCAAAATATGTATAGAATATACATTTTGCAAAAGATGTTGATGCAAAATCTTTATGAAACATTAGATTGACATGTGCATTGCATAAATCAAAATATTAAGAGAAGGAAAGGAGAGAATTTATGAAAAAGAAGGAAATCCCTGCAATGGGAATGGAGCAAATAATCAGCATTTTCTAAGTTGCAATAGAAGATCTCATGGAGAAATTAATTCTCTGTGGTAAATGTTTAAGGGCAGAGTGAACAAGCAATGCAATTATACATTGTAGTTTTCTGACTTACAAACCGGGAGCAAGAGGCCCCTGAGCTGGGTTGCACTGAATGGAAGGATGCTGGTCAAATAGCTTCTCTACTTGGCTTTCTAAATACTTTATGCCCATTGACTCTATGTGCTTTGTAATTGGGCCTGATAGTTCTGTAATTACTTTGTCTCAACAAACACTGAAATTGTGAATAGGTTTTATTTTTTCATTTGTGTTTTTCTTGCCAGTTCCTCCTTTGGGACCCTGTGGCTGTAGCAACTTGATGAGAATGCGTTTGTGTGAGAGGAATGTGTCCAGTGATTGTTTATCTTTCTTATTTCTGGTTTACTCAGCTTTGCTGCATAGGCGTTGTAGCTCACCCTCCAATTTCCCAGGATGACAGTAATGCCTTTACTGAATTTACCTTTGTTACCTAGCTATTGGAGATCAATGTTAGAGAGAAGTCTGAGGTCAACTCTGCTTGGGAAGAGAGGGGTTCAACCAAAAGGCAAAGAATGCCTTTAGAGACAAGACAAGGGCCTGACTTCCACTTGTTTGAAGCTTGTTAGATCAGCATGATTTATGTAACTGCTCAAGTTACACAGTTTTTCTGTGTATATATTTGTATGCCTTTGTGCAAACTAACTCATAATGATTCTGTACATTCCTAACCTGTCTTTCTGAATCCTTCAATAAAATACTACCCTCACATCACAGTTCTGCTTATAGCTAGAGAGGCTTAGTTCTCATAAACAGAGTCATCCCTTGTCTAGGCATTGGGGCATACATTAATGTATGATTTCAAAATTTACAAAAATAAAATCATAGTGTGAGACTGAAGGCTGATGTCAGTCATTTTTCGGGGATATGATTATTTGAACTTTGTTGATCCCAGAAAGTTCTATGACATGACCCAAGCCAGGTATAAATGTTTTCATTTCCTTTTCTCAGCATCTATATAATAATCTCCTATTTTGTATAACTGACATAAAAAACCCACAAAAATAATTGTTCCAAATGAAGCAGAATGTCTTGAAAATTCAGAATAGGTTTAATTACTGTAATTTGCACTTTATATTTTTTCTATAATATATAGTAGCAAACGAATAGACTTGGAGTCTGAAGGAAGTATTTGTTAGAATTTTTATATTTTATTATAGGGCTGTTGAATTTTTGCCAGCGTTGTCCTAGGCAATAGATAAAGAAATCATCTAGTGAGCTGGCTGAATCCAAATATTGATTCAGTCTAAATGTAATGGGATCAGACAATTTGCATTAAACAAATAAAATAAATCCTAATAATAAATCCTACCAACTTAATAAATACAAAAATTTAGGTATTTATTACCACAGGTGGTCTATGAATAATATCTCAATAAATAGAGGCAAAAAACCCTGTGCTTAGATAGAGATTCTCTTGATTTTAATATAAACCATCAACCAATGGCTGATGCTTGCTTTAGGCATAACTGTATGGAGAAAAACACAACAGTATTGAAAATGTAATCTGTGAAGTGTTCTAGTCCATTTTAACAGCATTCAATGACAGGCTCTCATTGATTATATTAAAAGCGTTAACAGCTCCTCAACAAACAAAAATATGTCTTAGTATTCACTGTTGGATTAGAGTAATGCAGAACACAGTTTTATCTGTCCTTATGCTGGTATTGCTTCTCTACAATTTAGTACTGTGCAGTTAGGCCACATTTATTAACACTTATCCAAAGATAGGCAAGACCTGATTAAGAACAATGGGACTACGGAATCTACCAGGGCTGACAGAAGAAAGAGAATCATCAGCCGGGATAGGGCAAGGCAGTTGGCTAAAGCAGCTTAGACAAAATTTAATCTAGCCCCCAGAAACCAGCAACCTGAAAAATTTGAACTGACCCTAGATAGAAAAGAGGCACCCTAATAGATGAACAGAGTTTAGCAGCAAGAGCTCCAAACGTAGTTATTATTTCTTATTCAAGTTTTTTATCAATAAACCCACAGATTTCAGGAATCAACATCAAAGTTGAATCTCAAAAGGCAACAAGTTCCCAGCTCCTAGGATGGTTGACCAGCTAATCAAGTCAGGCTCTAATGCCAGGAGTAAAACATGGAAATAGAACTTGAATGCAACAGCCTTCAAACCCATCACATTTTTTTAAAATTATACTTTAAGTTCTAGGGTACATGTGCACAACGTGCAGGCTTGTTACATATGTATACATGTGCCATGTCTGTGTGCTGTACCCATTAACTCATCATTTACGTTAGGTATATCTCCTAATGCTATCCCTCCCCACCTCTCCCCACCCCATGACAGGCTCCAATGTGTGATGTTCCTCTTCCTATGTCCAAGTGTTCTCATTTTCAGTTCCTACCTGAGTGAGAACATACGGTGTTTGGTTTTTTTGTCTTTGCAATAGTTTGCTGAGAATGATGGTTTCCAGCTTCATCCATGTCCCTACAAAGGACATTAACTCATCCTTTTTTATGGCTGCATAGTATTCCATGGTGTATATGTGCCACATTTTCTTAATCCAGTCTATCATTGATGGACATTTGGGTTGGTTCCAAGTCTTTGCTATTGTGAATAGTGCAGCAATAAACATACGTGTGCATGTGTCTTTATAGCAGCATGATTTATAATCCTTTGGGTATATACCCGGTAATGGGATTGCTGGGTCAAATGGTATTTCTAGTTCTAGATCCTTGAGGAATCACCACACTGTCTTCCACAATGGTTGAACTAGTTTACAGTCCCACCAACAGTGTAAAAGTGTTCCTATTTCTCCACATCCTCTCCAGCACCTGTTGTTTCCTGACTTTTTAATGATCGCCATTGTAACTGGTGTGAGATGGTATCTCATTGTGGTTTTGGTTTGCCTTTCTCTGATGGCCAGTGATGATGAGCATTTTTTCATGTGTCTGTTGGCTGCATAAATGTCTTCTTTTGAGAAGTGTCTGTTCATATCCTTCGCCCACTTGTTGATGGGGCTGTTTGTTTCTTTTCTTGTAAATTTGTTTGTGTTCTTTGTAGATTCTGGATATTAGCCCTTCATCAGATGAGTAGATTGCAAAAATTTTCTCCCATTCTGTAGGTTGCCTGTTCACTCTGATGGTAGTTTCTTTTGCTGTGCAGAAGCTCTTTATTTTAATTAGATCCCATTTGTCAATTTTGGCTTTTGTTGCCCTTGCTTTTGGTGTTTTAGACATGAAGTCCTTGCCCATGCCTATGTCCTGAATGGTATTGGCTAGGTTTTCTTCTAGAGTTTTTATAGTTTTAGGTCTAACATTTAAGTCTTTAATCCATCTTGAATTAATTTTTGTATAAGGTGTAAGGAAAGGATCCAGTTTCAGCTTTCTACATATGGCTAGCCAGTTTTCCCAGCACCATTTATTAAATAGGGAATCCTTTCCCCATTTCTTGTTTTTGTCAGGTCTGTCAAAGATCAGATAGTTGTAGATGTGTGGTATTATTTCTGAGGGCTCTGTTCTGTTCCATTGGTCTATATCTCTGTTTTGGTACCAGTACCATGCTGTTTTGGTTACTGTAGCCTTGTAGTATAATTTGAAGTCAGGTAGCTTGATGCCTCCAGCTTTGTTCTTTTGGCTTAGGATTGACTTGGCAATGCGGGCTCTTTTTTGGTTCCATATGAACTTTAAAGTAGTTTTTTCCAATTCTGTGAAGAAAGTCATTGGTAGCTTGATGGGGATGGCATTGAATCTACAAATTATCTTGGGCCGTATGGCCATTTTCATGATACCACAATACACCAATAACAGACAAACAGAGAGCCAAGTCATGAGTGAACTCCCATTCACAATTGCTTCAAAGAGAATAAAATACCTAGGAATCCAACTTACAAGGGATGTGAAGGACCTCTTCAAGGAGAACTACAAACCACTGCTCAACGAAATAAAATAGGACACAAACAAATGGAAGAACATTCCATGCTCATGGATGGGAACCATCACATTTTTTATTGTAAATCTCGGGCTATTTAAATACCCTCAAAGTCATAACCACGGTAGGGGGCATGTATCACAGAGAATAAGGCAGAACTTCAGTGCAGAGTGGAGACTGTTTTTCATGAAGGTATTAAGATACCAAAAGATGTACGTGTTTTAGTTAGGCCAAGCAACCACTTTTATAAAATCATTAATAGATAATTCTGAAAGGGAGGAAAGATATATAACAGTAGTCATTTTATGAAAATGCATTTTATGTAGTCAAAAGAACAGGGCTGTAAAATTGTTTAATTTTGGCTTCTGTAGTTAGATCAATTTGAACTTACAAATGAAGTCATATCTCTTTCAGGGGTGATTATATAAATTCAGTGCATAAATTAAATTTCAGATAAGTGCACTGTTAACCTTGAAAATTCCTTTTTATTTATTTTTTGACCTTTGTTGATGGATGCACTCTTTCTAAGTCTATTAACCAGTTTACCTCCAATACTATAAAAGATCATTGTTTTCCCCAGGTATGGCAGATGAAGGGGTTGCTTTGGTCATATTTAGTTGTGAAATTGTACCCAAAATTCATATTTTTAATTCTAGAACTTTAGTGTTGCAAGATACTTTCATCACGGGAGGGTCATAGAAACTGAAATGTGCTAAGAGAGAAGGACAAACAGATGTATCTCATTTCATCTTTATTTCAAGGACAGGCTCACTTTGAAGTATTTGTTCATACCATTTCTTCTCCCCATTGTCTATACTTGTAAATTAATGATAATAGCTAACCAACATGAATTCAGGAGTTAATATCAGTGTAAACTTCTCACGATAGTATTATGCCAATTTTACAAATAAGTCTGAGGAAGGAATAAATCATAAGACTTCTCATGATCACACTAGAAATCAGCAGAGCCAAGATGTAAAGACAGGTCCTCAGGTTCCAGAGTCCAGTGATAAGCAGAATTCTACAATGGCACCCTGTATAATCCTTGGAACTGTGCATTTAATAAATATTACTACTTTGATTAGGTTATGTTATATAGCACAGTTGACCTCAAATAGAAAGACAATTTGGCTGTGCCTTTTCTAATCACATGAACCTTTTAGAAGCAGAGATTCTTTTCTAGTTGGTCACAGAACAGAAGTCACAGAGATGAACTGTGCTCAGTCTGGAAGAAATCAGACATCCAACTCTTCTGAATTGCCAAGGGAGAGAGAGAGGCTCCAGCAGCTAAGAGCAGTCTTCATCCAACAGCAGTGAGGGAAAGGGGGGACCGGAGAATGGCAACCGCAGGGAACTGACTTCTGCTAACCACAGGAATGAACCTAGAAACAGGTTTTCCCCAGAACTTCAAGACAAAAGCTCAGCCTGAACAACGTCTTGATTTCAGGCTTATGATAACCCTGAGCAGAGAACTAAGCCATGTCATGCCAGACTTGTGACCTCTAGAATTGTGAGCTAATACATGGCTGTTGTTTAGTTTGTGGAAACTTGTTATGCAGCAATAGAAAATTAATACATCCCCTATGTTTACTGCCTTTATATGAGGGAACTGTATGCACCTTGTATTTCTACATGCTGGTCCTGATGAAAGGCTCCAAAGCTACAGAAATCAGTTTGGATTGTTTTATTGTCAGTGTGAATTAATTCACAGTTGGTTTCAAAGATAGTCAAGAGTAGTAAAACATAATTATTTTAGTAAATATATTTTTTACATGTTTTGAAGCAAAATATAAAATTTTTTTCAACATTTCTGATTCTACCTTTATCGCTATTTCTTCCGTTTAATCCTATGGTAAGAGTTTAACTATCTCATTATTGGCACCAACACTATAGAAGATCTCATTTTGTCTGTCAGTCATTCCAGAAATATCTGTGCTACCCTTAGGGAATGATCTAAATTTACCTTTGTCTTCTAATTTAGGGCTTTCCAAATTTCTTTCCACATCATCTGTCTATATTTATTCTTTAATTTTAAGAAAATTAGGAAACATATATAATTATCATCAGAGTATGAGACATCTTTATTTTGGCAAAATCTGGTTAAATTTTATTTTCAAACAAGTTAGTCGGAATGGTTTGTCTAATTAATAGTTTTGCTATGGCATATGTTCTAAACGTTTCCTTTTTATTTTTACTTGCATACACATTCTGACTAAACAGCTAATATCTACTGTAGTACAAGAGCTTAACCACTCTGTAAGAACTAAGGATGATTAGGTTGAAATATCTTACACTTAAGGATAACAGCTAGATTAAAATTGTTATTAATATTATGCAAATATAGGTAGATTTGTATGAAAATCATATTACATTTCAATTTCTTATGAGAAATTATGTAATTGATAATGAGTCATGAGCAAATCTGCTTTCCAGTAGGAAAACTAGCAGTATCACCATTAATACCAATATTCATATTGTAATTATTGCAAAAATTTCAATCGGAAACATCTCAAATAGAAAGATGTCTTTACTTATAGGAAACATAAATGAAGAAAACAAAATAAACTTAACTGACTGAACATCTTTCTTAAGGGATTTGAAACCTCATGAAGCCCATATGAATTCTAAATGGGAAAACACAATAAGCCCTAATTAAATATTGTACTATGGTTTATTGTGGTAGAAATATGAATATAAGCTCAATTATGACATTTAATGTGACATATGCATTCATTTAAATTGAAGGAGTCCTCATGCATAAATGAATAATTTTACTGTTGAAAAGAATCTGAAGGTCTTCTAAGATATCTCTCTTAGTCTAAAGACAGGGAAATAAGTCCATAGAGTCAACCAACCAACCACGAATGTGGGCCTCATACTTTTTAATGTTTGTACGGTGGATTTTCTACTCCATCATTCCAACTGCAGGAAAGTCAAAACTCCTTCTCCAAGAGATCTCTTTATCCATGACTCCCAAATCAGTATTTTTAGCCCTGACCTCATATATAACTTCCAGACCAATATTTTCTTCTGTCCCTACAATATCTCCATATATTTGTTTTTCCACTTCCTCAAGCTCATGATGTGTATAACTGAAATTTTTAAAACTATATATTCACATTTTATGGAACTTGGTGCACCACTGTGAATAAATAAGCACTTCGCAGTTGCAAGTTTGTTTGCATTACACAAAGCTAGTCACAATTTTGACTTATTTAAAGCAGAAATCTTGGTCACAAGTTCAATTCTGGAATCCAGGTCTGAAGAAATACAGTTGTCTTTATGGCATACCTACCAGCAATATTTTGGGAAAATGAAAGGACTTCCTTTATTTGTAGTCTGTACCTTTACTTCATTTGTTAAACGAATTTAGAGAGTAAGGTTCAAAGCAGCAGCTACTTCAGTGTTTCATTTTCTTTTTGAGTAGGCGACCAACTTTCTATAGTCTCAAACACTAACTGTTTTGAACCTTCAAAAACTATTCTCATGTCTGAGGCACATGTGAATTCTTTTTGGAAGTACTTCATATGTTGTTGTGTAACAATGGATCTGTGCTC
Source organism: Homo sapiens (assembly GCF_000001405.40). Classification (NCBI taxonomy): domain Eukaryota; kingdom Metazoa; phylum Chordata; class Mammalia; order Primates; family Hominidae; genus Homo; species Homo sapiens. Next base: position 31,680,793 of record NC_000004.12, on the reverse strand, counting down.
ACCACTTTATTAAGGCGTTTGGGATACTGTCTTTCTACCTAGCTCTATTATGTGCTCGTCACGGAAAAGGACTGAATTCTCACAAACACAGTGAAATACACCATAAATTATTATTGATTTAATTTTTTCTTGTAACATAATTTCTAAATAAGGAAAATAGTTTAAAATGACAACATATATGATTTTCATTTTACTCCTGTTTTCTCTGCATCACCTCCTTTTTTTTTTACTTTATGTACTCTTCATAACTTATACAATTGACTATACAGTATATTATACTATGGTAACATGTCTCCCAGTAATTCAGTGAATTTTGAAGGCACTAAAATGTGCAAATTCCTGTGACAGACACCGTGTGGTGAAGATGAATAAGATATGGTCTCTTCCCTGAAGAAGAAGACTACAGTCTAACATGAGGGTGGGCCAACTATAGAACATGAGGGTGGGCCAACTACAGTCTGTGGGCCAAATCAAACACACTACTTACTTTGGTAAATTAATTTTTATTGCAGTGCACCCATGACCATTTAGTTACACATTTCCTATGGCTGTTTGCCACCACCACAATGGCACAGTTGAACAGTTGTGTCAGAGACTGAATGGCCTGCAAAGCCTAATATGTTCACTATATGACCCTTTACAGAAAAAGTTTGTCAACTCGTGGCTTAGTAGATATTATAGACACTGAAATATAAAAGCAACGAAAATGTGAAACTGGGCTTGAAAATTTTAAGGAAGAGAATGCTTAATTACAGTTATGTAAATGGAGGACGATTTCATGAGCACAATTTATGTGGATGCTAGAAAACCAGTAGTCTTTCAACTGAAATAAATGAGCTGAAGAGAATATACTGGTTGCTGACAGTTTTGAAGTACTACCAAAGATAAAGCACATATTTCTATCAATTAATCCTTAATTATGACATAGCAGTGGTAGAAGACTTCCAAAGCAATAATAGGAAAGTCATGGCAACTTTTAAGCTCTATTACGGTTGCCAGTTATTTCTAGATGATGTTAATGTGATTATACAAATATATTCTTAGAAGCCACATCAAGCCGGGCGCGGGGGCTCATGTCTGTAATCCCAGCACTTTGGGAGTCCAGGGCAGGCGGATCACGAAGTCAGGAGTTCGAGATCAGCCTGACCACCATGGCATAAACCCCGTCTCTACTAAAAATACAAAAATTAGCCGGACATGGTGACAGGTGCCTGTAATCCCAGCTACTCAGGAGGCTGAGGCAGGAGAATCACTTGAACCCGGGAGGTGGAGGTTGCAGTGAACCGAAATTGCACCACCGCACTCCAGCCTGGGCAACAGAGCGAGACTCCTTCTCAAAACAAAAAGAAAAAAGAAAAAAGAATCCACATCAAATACACACTAGATCTTATTTATTATTAGAGATTACATCAATTACCAACATCATGATTTAAATTTTTATATACAAAAATAAGAGTTTGTGTTGGTAAATATATGTTTATACTTTTGAAATCTAATTGAAATGTATTTAAATAAACTATTTAAATAAATTTGCAGAAAATATCAAAGCACAGCTATTGGGGAGAAAGAAGAAATATATAATTAGTGAAATGTTTTGAGTAAGTAGACATTTTTAAGGATGGTAATAATAGGTAAATATTTATAATGGTGCAATGATCTAAATGTATTTGCTGGAATCATGTAGTGAAATTAGTATTTTTCACTTTTGCTTAATTACCTATTGTCATTGTTATTTTACTTAGCATGCCTCCTTCACTTTAAAATCTCACAAGATGGCCTTCAGATTAAGATTAAATATTTTAAGACAGTTTGTCTTCTAATTTGTCTCCTGATTTTCATTTGACATTTAATTTTATGTTCATTTGCTTCCCAATAACTAATGCTAAATTTTCACATATTATATTTTATTTATAGTTTGCACACTAATAATTTACATAGCATTTCTTTTCATCAGTAGTTTTAGAACAAGAATAGCATGCAATAATAGGCTGCTTGTAGTACTAAGTTCAAATATGTAGGCTTCATATATAAATCATAGTCCTCATAAATCGGGGATAATCTTGGAATATTGGATTTTTTGCTTCAATCCAAGCAGATAATATGAAAACAAACCTTTGATAAGAATGAAGCTATTATCCTGGCATTGAGCTCATTTAGGTTCATTGGGGACAACAAATAATGCTATCTAATTAATTAGAATGACAGGAAACTGCATGACACATTTCTTATGGCTGGCTGGTTTAACATTCTAAAACCCTCCTGTTGATTAGAACTTGCATGTTTTAAATAGAAAAGGATGTTAGACATCCCATCTGTTGTGTAGCAGAGCTTCAGGAAAAAAAATAAAAAAGGTACACTCAAGTCTTGATAAGTTCAAGTCAGCAGAACAAGAGAAATGTAACATGTTATCTGATACACAACATAACAGGGGACTAATTGTTTACAAAATTCTTTTGTCTTCCATCAAGATGTAATTAAGAAATCTAACTATTTAAAATTTTGGCAGTTTTACATTCAATTTACTCATGTAACAAACCTGCACATGTAAACCCTGAACCTAAAATAAAAGTATAAAAAATTAAATTAATTTAGATTTTTAAATAAAGACTGTCTGTCGTATTGTAGAACACCTGGCTAAAGTTCAGAATTTTTCCTCCATGTATATGTGTATGATGCAATTGAAGAAGCCCATTTGTTTACAGGGTTATACTCAGCACATCATGCTATAATATAGACTATTAGATCTTCATCTCCAATTATGTGCATAGTTTGAAAGAAGTTTGTTAGAAAACAGTATACTTAAAATATATAATACTATTTCATGACTAAAAACATTCATGGGAAATTCATGTAATTTTTTTTATATTTCATATACTTTTGACAAGTATACTGATGAAAAATGAATTGATATATTGAAGTCCATCTGAAGAAGGCTGAATATACATTTACTGTTTATTTGAGTGACATTATAGAATCATCTAAAAAATGTGAATGTGTAAGTATGCTATCTGCTACTTGGTTGGTCAAAACCAAAACTGAACCAAAATCCATATTTATTTACCAGCAAGATTAGCTGGTGCTCAGGGAGGATCATCTATAATGTCTGTAAAACTCCCATACTCATAAAACTATTCATGAAATATAACAATAAGCAAATTCTAAAAGTGAAATAAAAGCAGTCTTTATACTTTCTTTCATTTCAATTCCATTGAAAATAGTATTCTTCAGTTTGAAAATCGAAAGCACCCGTCATTCAATGTTAGATTTGGCAATCCATAGCTAATTTGTAGCTCATATGCAAAGCAGAACCTAGGACCAATACATAGATGAAGGACAGAAGCAAGGAAGGGATTTATCCTGGTATAAAATGAAAGAAAAATAATGGCAAGGAAGTGCCACTATCAAAATTCCAGCTACTTAAGGCAATCTTGTCAAATACTATACATATCTTGAGATGAGACAAAAATGACATATTATCTAACAGAAAATAGAGCTAGATTAGAGTACCAAGATGTACATCGTAAGTGTTCAAAAAAAGGATCTTCTTGAAAACAACCATAAAGTGTAGTAAAAAAAAAAATCAACTATAATCTAGGAAATAAATTAATGTGAAAGTAGTGGAAACAAAAGTACAATATATTTAGTCATAAATACTAGATAATTACTTCCTGCACACTACACCAGCAATGGGTAGATTCTTTTTAAAGAGATAATCAAAAGGAAGATGCCAATTTGGTGAAGTATTTTGTGTCTTATTTGGAGCTGTATTTTCCTAACTCTGTACTCTCTTCGAAATATATGTTCTAACTGGTGACTTTGTCCTGCTAAATATTTCTCAGATTTGTCTGTTTTCTTTTTCATTTCCACCAAGGAGACACTGAACTCCTCAGATACACTCATACCCCTCTATCATCTATTCTTTATTCTACACATAGAATGCAAACTTTAAAACAAAATCGGAATTGATCAGATCAATTAGTCTCCTATATTAATCTTGACAATGCCTTTTTTGTTTTCTTAGAATAAAGGCCACAATTATTAGTATAATCTACATGGGGCTTCCTTGTGCTTGTCCCTGGCCACTTCTTGGATATAAGTGCTTACAATGGAGAATAAAACAGTAAGAACTGTGGTTCAAGTTCCAGCTCTGTCACTTTGTACCTACATATCCCGAGCAATGTTCTCAACTCTTCTCTGAACCTCCATACAATTATCTCTAAAATTGAAAAAGATATCTGACTTGAAGTATGACTCTGATGATTAGATACTGTAAGTGCAAAATGCTTGGTTTGTAATAAAAAATAGCCCATCTCCATGCAGCACTTCTAAAAGAAGCTAAGTCTTAGAAGTTTTAATAACTTGATCAAAGCTACACAGTTAATAGATGATACAGATGGGAATATCACACATAAACACACACATACCCCCACACCCCCTCCCAACACACACACAGTTGTTTTTTTTTTGTTGTTGTTGTTGTTTTGTTTTGTTTTGTTTTTTTTTTTTTTCCTAGCATGGATTGAGACCACCAACAATGAAGCTTCTGGGAGATGGGGAAGGGATTCATATATAATAATTTAGTAAGTGACAACTACTAGCATTAGATTAATCTTCCTTCATTTCCTTTCCTTGAATATATTTCCTCTTTCTGTATTCACTTTCTAACTCTGCTGAACAAGATTTTAACATGGGCTTTGTAACTTTAATATGTTTTTGATGACCCTTAGAAATAAATGGTAAGTGACATGTGTACTGTATAGCCTTATAAAGGAAAAAAGGAAAAGTGTGTCTCCTTAGAAGTCAGTACCCTAGTTGACTTTTGATCACAAAGAACTCCGTAGACTGCATCTTGTTGCCAGTATTAGAAATACAATCTGAAGGAAGCTTTACATTGGTAAAAATATCGGTTAACTAAACTGATATCTACTAGCTATTTACATAATCAAGCTCTCTCTCTCTCACACACACACACACCATGCTTCATCTACAAAACTTCATGCCTGGGGTGCAAGCTAGTGATAACTGAAATCCAGAAATAAATTCTACATATTTGGAATTACAGCAGGAGGTTTTTGGTGTGTATTTGTTTGTGTTTTTACTTTTAAGTAACCTACAAAGAAGTCCTAAGAAGTAACCCTAAGTCAATAAGAAAGTGATGGATATGTCACACCCACTGAAGCTATTTTCAAGTGTTTTAGATTTCAAGAGTTGTAGGAATTCTATTTTGGTTTTTTGGATTTCACATAGATTCTATTTTGGACCCAAGCATTTCACAGGGTGCTATTTTGGATTAAAAAAAAAAAGCTTTACTTAGCTATTTAAAAATACACTAATTGAGCAAGGTAGGTGGATGTAAATTCAACCATGGCTTTTGTGTATAGCAGGGATCAAGACACTGTACATGCAAAATACAGTGTCTACACTTAGGATATGAACAGAGATGTCTTTAAAATAGGTTTTGAATAAAAAGATATTATATAATACAACACTTGCCTAAACATTTTTGATTTCTTTTTTCTTTCAGCTACTTAAATTATATTAACTCTTAAATGATATTCTAACATATAAACACGTTTTTCATTAATCAATTCTACCAAGAACATGTAATGTACATTTGAGTCAGCTCAATGTACGATAGCTAAATTTTCAGTTATATGGTATTGCACAGGCAAACATATCTAGTTTGGCTGCATTAAAATTTGACCCTTGCTGTAGCCTGAACAAAAGGGATACTCTAGAAATTACCCAGCAATTGAGAACAAAGGTTCTGAATTGTCTGTCTAAACAACAATTACCTGTAAGAGTAAACTCTGTGGGTTATCCCCAGTTTCCATTTCAAGAACCTATTCTCAATCCTCTGCCCTTCTCTGAGGTGGGGATGAAGGGTGGCTGATCTGATATGTTACATCACCAGATTCCATAACCAACTGGCTTTCAGCAATAACTTTTTTTTTCTTCTGAGAAGGGGTCTTGCTCTGTCGCCCAGGCTGGTGTACAGTGGTGCTATCTCTGCTCACTGCAACCTCCACCTCTTGGGTTCAAGTAATTCTTGTGCCTCAGCCTCCCCAGTAGCTGGGATTACAGGCCTGTGCCACCATGCTAATTTTTTGTATTTTAGTAGAGAAGGGGTTTCATCATGTTGCCCAGGCTGGCCTCAAAGTCCTGAACTCAGTCAATCCACCTGCCTCAGCCTCCCAGAATGCTGGGATTACAGGCAGGAGCTACTGTGCCCAGCCTCTTTTTTGACAATAATTGCATTCCTTCACAGCACCACAAGGTGGCCTTTCCTTTTGCTCCCAGTATCATTAATCTCTGGTAACATAATTTCAGTCCCAGTAGAAGTAATGCTTCCCCAGTCCTGATGATGTCTGAGATCCTCAGCATCCCTTACATGCTCCCTTAACTTTGTCCATGCCTCTGTTTGAAATTCCTAACATTTGAACCACCTGTGAATTTTGTTTGCTTTGGTGATACTGACTGATATGTTCAGTGTATCCAGTTGATGACAATAATTTCTGACCTGCTCTTTGAAATAATTATGCTGTAAACTAAAGAAAACTTAATCATACAAGAACAAGAATTCCACACTGGATTCCACACCATTTTTCTAAGTAATATATTGCTTAATATAGTCTAAGGACAGGCACTATCCTTGCAGACAATTATTTTTATACACACATACTCAGATCTTATGTACATAGATCACCATTTATTTTAAGGTGAGACTCTTGTTTTCAAAGTGCAATATGTAACTCATGCTCCTCTGCTTATCTTTTCCTTAGATACTAATAGGAGATTGTGGCCATCCTGTTATATCTTACTCTATAATTTCAGGGAGTTCACAGATAATGTCATATATGTTTTCTCCATGTCCAGCGACATTCCTTCATCTACCCTAGTCATGGTCAGTGCTGAAGTCTTGAGGACCTACACAGTGTAATGTGCATGGGAGGTCTCTCCTGTCTGCATGTGAATGACATTCTGACAACTACTGCCAACGGGCTAAAGCTCTCAATAGAACTCATATACGCACAGTAGTCTTCTGTCAATCAAAGCCATGCCTTACTGAGGAGACTGCTACTCTCCCTCACTTTGTGACTACTTTCTTATGTAACTAAAAAAGCAATATTGCTCAGGTTCCCAATCTATCACTAGAGTTCTAGTAAATATAGCTCTTCCAGACATCCCATCTCATTTGCTTGACATTTCATCAAAAATCAAGGAATTCAGGTCAAGGGCCCAATATACCAGATACATAGCACTGGTTGTTCTTACCTTGTTTTTGTTTTCTTAAGTGTGTGTGTTTCGTCACACCTGTTTTAACAAACCCTCATGCAAATTTTGACTCTGTAACTGAGCTGACAAGACACGCTTAGACCTAGCTGAAACCAAGGGATCCAGCTGAGACCACTTGACCTATACAAATTGAGGTAAAGGGGGTCAGAATCATGGAACCGGGTATTTAGGTGTTTTCTTCCTCATGTTGGGAGTATAAAGTCATATTTTGGAACACTCTTAGAATTCTGTATGTATTAATTACATTAGACTCACATGGGCAATGCCTAAATTAATAATGGTAGATAGTTGTTTCTTCTACCTGCGTCACACACATGAGCAGCATTTATCCAACTGATATTCATAATTTGTCCTTATTTTTGGTTATATTTATAACCAAAAATTCATTTTTAAATCTTAAATCCCACGACCTTTTTTTTCACAAATTATATTGAAATCCTATATAATTTCAGTGTACACCTTCATAAAATAGTGCTTATGTGGAATAATGTAGCTATTCAACTTTATCTCTCATGTTTTAGGCTAACAAAAGAGTTAGTTCCTTAAATATTTTCCAAACACCATGTAACAATTTTGATTTTCAGAAGCTTAGATAATGAAATGGAATACAAGATGATAAATGAAATAAATTAGAACCTATTTTTTGATTCAAATTCTGAAAGAAAATTTTAAGATCAAATAAGAAACAATTTTATATTTAAAGCTCCTTTTGCAGCTATTAATTTTAAAGTAAATTCTTTGTATAATCACTTAAGTTGTTTTATTGCAGGATGCTCCTTCAGTCACCTACTCATAACCGTGCAGTTTGCTTATTTTTATAAAATTGTTTTTTCTGGACAATAATTTAATTTACATTAAATCAAAAACTTTGTGGGATGGGATCTGGAGAATGTTAAGAAGAAGCACTGGTGACTCTAATGCTTTCTAAAGTTCCTGTAGTTTCTTCATAGATGGAGCTGGAAGCCACTATCCTTAGCAAACTAAGGCAAGAACAGAAAACCAAATACTGCATGTTCTCACTTATAAGTGGGAGCTCAGTAATGAGAAATAAAGGGAATAACAAACACTGGGGCCTCCTTGAGGGTGGAGGGTGGGAGGAGGGAGACAATCAGAAAAAATAACTATTGGGTACTAAGTTTAGTACCTGGGTGATGAAATAATCTATACACAAAACCCCTGTGACACATTTACCTGTATTGAAAAACTGCACGTTTCCCTGAACCTAAAATAAGAGTTAAAAAAGAAAGTTCAAGTAGTTTCTTTAAGCTGGAAACTATTTTACATTAGTCAAATAGAAACTATTTTACATTAATCCTTATATTGCCAATACCTACTGCAGCACCTAGAGCAAAAAAGGTAAATAAATATCACATAAACTAAATCCATGAGTTTGGTTAAATAAATAATGGTGTTGATTGATTTCTTTGCTCCCAGTTTCTCTTTGATGTGACTTTTATCCTACTCAACATGCTTTTTTTATTCTCTAACATCTGAGAAGTACATAAATTCTCTTCTCCCTTTGCTCCCATAACCCATGACTCTTGATTTTTATCCTACCCCATAGGCCAATTTTTTTTATTTTTATTTACTGGCTTTTCTTCTTACAAGGTTACTACTACCATTACTATACTTCTTGTAAGGTTACTATAAGTCAAAACGGTTAAATAAATTGTGAAAATATTAAATGATATGCTGCAAAGTGAGGATATAAACTAAAGTGGTGACTCACTTCTCCAACTTCTTTTGTGTTTGTTGTATTTTTGGACTTAGCCTTCATACTTACCTAACATCTTCTTTATGGAATGAATGAATGAATGAATGTATTTATTGAATAAATTTCTATAGTATAGTATTATTTGAATGAATTTATAGTATTTATTGAATGAATGAATGAATGCTTGAATGAGTGTGTAATATAGTCTCTCAGTTGAGACAACATTAGAGGTTGTCTAATCTACTTTCTTTTCTTTTTTTAATTATACTTTAAGTTTTAGGGTACATGTGGACAACGTGCAGGTTAGTTACATATGCATACATGTGCCATGTTGGTGTGCTAAACCCAGTAACTTGTCATTTAACATTAGGTATATCTCCAAATGCTATCCCTCCCCCCTCCCCCCACCCCACAACAGGCCCCGGTGTGTGATGTTCCCCTTCCTGTGTCCATGTGTTCTCATTGTTCAGTTCCCACCTGTGAGTGAGAACATGCGGCGTTTGGTTTTTTGTCCTTGCGATAGTTTTCTGAGGATGATGGTTTCCAGCTTCATCCATGTCCCTACAAAGGACATGAACTCATCGGTCTAATCTAATTTCTTAGTAGTTAAAATCACAAGTTTGGTCTATATGAGTGTGGTGTGTGTGTGTGTGTGTGTTCCGGATTGAACAATAAATGTGTCTATCACTGTAATTATTGAAGTCCAGAGAATGTAAGAAACTTGTCCATTAAAAGTCTACCCACGGCCGGGCGCGGTGGGCTCACGCCTGTACTCCCAGCACTTTGGGAGGCCGAGGCGGGTGGATCATGACGTCAGGAGATCGAGACCACCCTGGCTAACAAGGTGAAACCCCATCTCTACTAAAAATACAAAAAATTAGCCGGGCGCGGTGGTGGGCGCCTGTAGTCCCAGCTACTCGGGAGGCTGAGGCAGGAGAATGGCGTGAACCCGGGAAGCGGAGCTTGCAGTGAGCCGAGATTGCGCCACTGTGGTCCGCAGTCCGGCCTGGGCGACAGAGCAAGACTCCGTCTCAAAAAAAAAAAAAAAAAAAAAAGTCTACCCACATTGGGTTAAATGAGCTTCTGAGATGTTTCATTGTTCCAAAAGAGGAGGTCTATTCCCTTGACTTGACCTAAGAAAATTTCCATTATGTTAAGTAAAATAAGCCAGGCATAGGAAGACAAATATCACATGTTCTCACTCACATATGGGAGCTAACATAATTGAATTCATGGAGATAGAGAGTAGATTGATGGTTACTAGAGGCTGGGAAGGGTAGCGGGGAGTGGAGGCTAACATAGAAATGGCTAATGGATACAAAATTACAGATAGAATGAATAAGATCTGGTATTTGGCAGCACAATATAGAGTGACTATAGTTAACAATAATTTGCTAAATATTTTCAAATAGTTATACTTGAGATGATGGATACTCCAATTACCCTGATTTGATTATTACACATTGTATGCCTGTTTCCAAACATCCCATGTACCACATTAACATATACAACTATTATGTACCCACAATCATTGAAAAAAAATTTAAAAAGAAAATTCTCTGTCCATCAATGTTTTTTTCCCTAGGATCGATTTTCCTGGCAGGTCTGTTATGGACTAAACTACGGGCAGACAAATGGATAAGGCACCTTCACTCAGCTTTGCAGACATCAGAGATGTCAGCAGCACACTTAGCTAAAGAGCAATGTGACTGTTGGTAAAAAAAAAAAAAAAAAAAAAAAAAAAAACAATATAACATTCACATGTTCGCTGAAAGATTTGCTCATTTGAAAAAGGGAATTCTCTGAGTCCTGGAATAATTGGAAGAAAAGTAATTTATGGAACAAAAATTTAGAGGTCTCTTAGTAAGTGAAGACAAAATTCAGGAAAATGTAGATAATTACTCTGGTTATTATTCCATTTTTTCAATATCAAAAGAATAATGAGAATAAAACAATTATACATTTTCAAGCCACAGATTTAAACAGCAATACAATATTCCTATATTTCCTTTGAGAGATGCAAGCATCTCCAGATTTGAGTCTTTTGTTTGTACATTTATTCATTCAGCATATAATAAGCATTTACAGTGTAAACAATGGGTCAAGCACTGTGCAAGACATTTAAATGCAAAATCAAATAAAACATAATTCATTATTATTGAATTTGTGGTCTAGTGATGATACAGATATATAACTACATAATTATATTGAGATAAGTTTTAAAAGGGTACTATAAAATTAATTGTGACAACATAGAAGAGGAAGCAATAAATGTGCTATTTCATGGACAATTACAACCATTTTCTCTACTATTTCTCCCAGCCTAGATTTTTCTCTCAATGTTCATGTCACAAATCCTTTTTCAAAATGATGTGCCTTAATAAAAGAGCATTCATTTCAACATCTGGGACTTAATTAATTAAAATTCAATTTAACAACCAGAAACTGAATGCCTATTATGGAGACAGAGCGGTGCTAGTTATTATTTATACAACAACCCACACATAGAGGTGACCAGGAACTTGAACCATATCTAGAGAGAAATATTGTTCTCAAAGGACTTAAATATGAGACTAATTTTCTTAACAGCTTGCACACAGAAAATAGGAGTAGACAGGTTTTACTTAAACTAGAGAACATAGAAAAAAATTGTGTAATTATAAAACTGAAAGTGACCTGTGAGAACAGATTCAGTGTTGGCAGACACCTTAGAAGAGTGCCTTGGAGGGGAAAGATTTGTTCAAGCAAAGATAGAGTGATAAAGCACAGGACATGCTTACTTGATCAGTTACAGACAATTGAAGAGGTTGCACAAGTGGAAGAGAGTTTAACACAAGAAAAGTTAGGAAAATCTGATTTGGCTTGGATGATTAAACACTTTGGACAACTTTGCATTTTGTTCGCTGTGTAAATGGAGGGCAATGAAAGCTTTAATAAGTAGAATATCTTCTGCTTTAGGATGCCTTGAGAGGCGATGTATAGAGTAGCTTATAGAAGTATGGAAAGTAGATCATATGATTTAAAAATGTGCAAATGATTACAAACAAAATGTTGGAAAACATTTAATTGAAGGAATTAGATCCCAGAGAGTTAGGAAATAAACAGACCAAAGCATTTATGGCCATGTCTATATATCCAAGATTATGTTTTCATTCATCTATTATAGTTATCATCACTGGCAATGCTTACTAATAGCCTTAGACTAATTAAATAGCTTGTGATCTGCATTAATATTTAAATTCTTAAGGATAATTGAGTTAATTCTATTGAAATCAAATGTTCCGAACTGTTCGGAAATAAAATAGATTGGCATGTGTCATTTCATCTGCACTATTTTTTTTAATAGACAATATAAAGAAAATTTTGTGGGTTCCTATGAAAAATAAATCTGTAGTTCTGTCTTATAAAAAACATGAAAATAATACAAGATGGTGTGACAGCCCTTTGGTCTTTCTGCATGTAAACAAGTGGCTGTTGCCATTAGAAAATAAAGTGGACTAAAATCCTTACCACCTTCTATTAAATTCCTGAAAGCAGCATGGAGCCAATAATCATTTATCATCAGTCTTGTTGTAAAATATAAAGAAAATATTTATCAATAATCATGCCTCTATCAAATGTATAAACACTAAATATAGATCAAGGGGTATATAAATGGCAAGATAATTGGTACAAAATTTATTTCAGTACCTAGAACAACTCCTGGCATTATGTTTCAATAAATATGTATTTAATAAATGAATAAATGTATTTAAATAAATATGTATTGAATTAATGAATAAATTTATACTGCCTATGTGCTTTTATTAACTGCCTACATCACAGGAAGCAGTTGGATTTTTGGATCTCCGTCAAGGCTGTACTGTTTAGGTTCATTACAACTCAGCTTACATATTCCCAATAGGGAGTAAACAACCTGATGACTTCATAGGGTCATTGCAAGAACAATGGAATTTAAGAACTGGTGAAATATAACTGGAACTATTTTCTGCCTTTCACATTCAATAATGCTAATCATTCTTTCTTCTTGCTCCAGCACAAAACAATTTATACTAATCGAATGATTATTGACTCAATGTTGCCAGTCAAACAATAGCAAACAATAATTGCAATGTGAAAAATAAAAGGCTATATTGAAAATACATTCTCTATGATCATTTATATACTTGTACAAAAGATACTGTTAGAAATAGCATCAAATACCACATATGAAACAATCTAGTAGAAGCCAGAAAAATATGATTATGTTGGTTCATTCATCAGTTTGATAAATTTTTTTCCACTCCCATTCCCTGTTTTTACTGGAAATGTGTTGACTTTTAAACTGTGTTTTTGTTTATTGTTTTGTTTTTTCTGTGCTTAGGTCTGTTGTTACAGAAGAAAGTATCTTTCTGCCAAGATATAATCCTCTTGATTATTTTATTATTCACGTCCAGAAAAGTTGATTTCAGTACTTCATAAACCAGATGTTTATAGAAATGCTACCAACACTTTGATATGGAAATGGAATTGAATAGTGCTAGAAACTTGGAACAAATAAGCAGGCATTACAATCAGTACATTAGTGTAAAAAATAGCGTATAGTTGATGAGAAATTGAATATACAAATGACAATGGCCAGATAATATATAAAAACAGAGGTTTGACTCACAACCTCCAGAAATCCACCCAGGAAACCAACCCCTTACTATGAAAACCACCCGGAAAGCCAGCCTACTACAAATCAGACTTGCAGGAAGCCAGATTGCTACTTGTAGTGACAACAGATTAAACAATAATGTCTATAACAATCATCTCAACATAGCTAGAGCATGATTAATAATTGAAAGTTTCCTTAATTTTTGTTTCTGCTTCCAACTTGAGAAGAACCAGAGAAAGTTAGATACACACTCCTCACTGATTACATAAGGTGTCTCACCTCTAGTTAGTTCACCTACAGCCTTCCCATGTCAACAACCACCAATCAGGGCATAAATAAATCCTTTCCTTTTTCCAGTGTGAATGTTTATCACTTCTATGCCTTCATTTGAGTTTTGGGCAAAATGAAAGTGAAGGTGAATGACTCCCTTGCCACAACAAAATATGAATTAATACCCTTTGCTTTCCCCATTTGATTGGTCTTATTTTGTGTGTGTGTGTGTGTGTGTGTGTGTGTGTGTGTGTGTGTGTGTTTCCGCATTGAAGATATGAAAGAAAGTGTATAATTCAATGGGAGTAGACAGAAAGGAAAGAAGTACATTATATATCATGTAAAGTGTGGACAGTCTTCCTTCTGGAGTCCTTAGTTTTTCATCTGCATATGAAAAGTTCAAGTGAGACATTCATGAGTGGGCTTTTACTTATAGTATCTCATGAGGTGGCAGATAAAATAAAGTCCAGCATGGCTGTCATGTGAAGGCTTGACTAGAGATGAAGGATCCCCTACCAAGAGGGCTCAGTCACGTTGACCAAAGACGTTGGTTTCTTACTGGTTGTTGGCAGAATGCATCGTTTCCTTGTTGGGTGGGCTTCTCGGTAAGGCTGGTTGAATCCTCTGTGCAGCATAGGTGGCTTTCTCCAGAGTGAGTGATCCTAGGTAGAGAAACAAAAGGAAGCTACATGGCTTTGGTGACCTAATCTCCAAAGTCACACTCACCACTTTTGCTTTGCTCTATTTGTTAGAAGTGAGTTAAAATCTAACCCACACTCATGGGAAGTGAATTTACGTTCATTCCACTTTTTTCATGTCTGAAGATTTTGTGGATATATTTTAAACCACAATAAACTTTTGTTGTTGCTGGTTTCTATTGTTATTATTTTCTGGAGGGGAGACAGGGTCTCCCTCTGTCACTGTGCATGAGTGCAGTGGCACAATCATGGTTCACCATAGGCTTGACCTTCCTGGCTCAAGAAATCCTTGAGCCTCCCGAATAGCTGGGACTATAGGCATGACCCACCACACCCTGCTAATTTTTGTATTTTTCATAGAGACAAGGTTTCGCTATGTTGCCCAGGCTAGTCTCAAACTACTGGGTTTGAGTGATCCACCAGCCTCGGACTCCAAAATTGCTGGGACACGATAAAGTTTTTACTATAGTTATTTACTCACTTAATCTTTCCTAAAACTTCATAAGGTGGGCATAATTAATATCTCATTTCACAGATGAAGAAGGTGAAGCTGAAAAAGCCTAAATAATTTGTTCTCACAACTAATGCATTGCAGAGCTACAATTTGTATTTAGGCAATTTAGTTGGTGAGTCTATGCTTTTAATTTTTATGTAAAACTGTCTTTCTGTCAACAATCTACACATCTCATTTTATAACAGATCACTTTTGAGTTCTGAGAACTTCTTTTTCCAGATTCATATCACCAGAGATTCCTGCTTCTCAGTCTTCTTCTCTTGTAGTCCTTTCTCCTGTCTGCTGAAGCAGCACCCTTCCCTTGAAAGGTAAAAAGAATTCCCAGTTTCTTTTTAGAACTTCGATCTCATTGCTTACTGGAGGAATTACCTTGCTCAGCCAATAAAATATTTTCTCTTCTGATCATGTTCCCGTCTCTTGCCTGCTTGGGGTAGAAAGAACTGAGCTCACGCCTCTGTGAGGCAGGATCGGATGATCACATTTAGAGATCCAAAACACTGAAGAGATTATTGCCTAAAGAACATGATGAGATAGGCAGGAATGTTGGTTATTCAAATTAAAAACAATTTTTAATGTTAAGCTATAGTAATGCAAGGAAATACATAGCACTTTTTTTTCTTTTCCATTTTGACTTCCATCAGTGTTTCTTTTTGAAATAGCAAATAGCAAATAATTTCCTGTTGTTTTCATGGCTCCATTTTGTAAGTGCTCTAAGCACACATTTGTCCTGACTCTTAGGTAAATCTAACACTGGAAAGAGACTTATATTCCAAAGCGATACAGGCTCAGAACACTGTCATTCTAATTTCTAAAGACCCACACCAGCAACATATATTACATCAATCGTATTGTGGGTTAATTAGGCAATTACTGATAATATTCCCTCAATGAGGGAAACACATTTTATAATCTAAACAGCTGACATAAAACAATTGAGAACAAAATGGATATGAATAGTATTTCAATGTAAAATTCCTCCTATATTTATAAAAAGTATTTCAATCTGTGCAGAGATCCAATATTGTAACATTGTTACATTCAGCAAGGATAATTCTTTTCTTTTTAAGACGTTTCTGAAATACTTTGTGTGCTACAAGCTTTTTTTAATTTCAAGAAAAAATAAAAGAAGCAGCTACTGCTATAATATACTGGGAAATCAGAGTTGGAAATCAACCCTATAGATGTCTTAAAATAAAAATTACTAGGGAAAAGTTTTAAACAGTACTGGTTTCAACGTGTTTTCTGTCTCTGTATATTAGAACATACACACATCCTTCCAAAGTAGCAACACTAAGACAAATGCATAATTTCAATATGTTTATGTTCTTCATTGCTATTATTTTTAACAGTTTTCCAGTGTCTACTTGATGTCTGCTTGACAACAAGATTTCTCTTCCCTCCAGTGATTTAAGTGAAACCTTCTTGTAGAGTTGTTCAGATTTAGTTTTTTAAAAAATCTCATATACACTAATGCATCAGACACTATCACACTCATAATTTTGACCAGTTTGTCCTATTTTAATTGCTTTTGTGCCTTCTTTTCTAGTACATGGAATAATTTGAACAGTGTGGGAAATCTCATAAGGAAGATTAGGCTAGGACCCTGAAGGCAGCTCATGTTAGCATTAATATCAGTTTTACACGTGGCCTAGAGATATCTCAGTCCAAACAGAGTGCTAGTTGAAGTTGGGTGAGATTTTCTTTTTTCTTCAAAAACATATTTATGTATAACATAGGAATTAAGATACCTTTTTAAGCTAATATTAAATTGGGCATGCATAGTCTCTGTCTTCTATAAACCCAAAGAGTCGCAAATCTCACCTATTTAAATTTGTGGCTTCCATTTCAGTGAAGATGGCACACCTGTGGTTAAATGTGGTGACATTATTTATCTGGATACCCGAACTCCATGACCTTTGATCATCTTTTAGTTTATTAGTAAAGATGAGATGGCTGTATTTGAAAGAAAGAATGGAGGGAGATTGAATGAAGACTGCAGGCCTAATATGTATGTCATCTCTTCCTTTATCTTAATTCCTTAGAAATGGCAGAGAACAGGGAGGGGAACATCACACACCAGGGCCTGTCGGGGGATGGGGCCAAGCAGAGGGAGATCATTAGGACAAATACCTAATACATGTGGGGCTTAAAACCTAGATGACGGGGTGATGGGTGCAGCAAACCACCATGGCACATGCATAGGTATATAACAAACCTGCACGTTTTGCACATGTATCCCAGAACTTAAAATAAAATTAAAAAATAAAAAAGAAAAAAAGAAATGGCAGAGAATGTTTTTAAGAAATATATCGAGAATGGGGCCAGAAAGTAAGAACTGTTACCATCAATGGGCCGCTTTTTTTTTTTTTGAGAAATTCCTAAAGGATAGAAAGCAGATGGGAGCAGACAAATGGAGTAGAAAATCCATGAAATATTTGCAGCTGACAAACTGGGTAGGCCTGCTGGGAAGAAGGAAGTGGTCAGGGGGAGTCCTGGGGCAATTGACAAAGTGATGAATAGATGAACTGTCCTAGGCTCTGCTGGGTTTCTAACCACAGTGCTCTCCACCTTCCCTTGGATTCACTAAAGATCTCACTGCAGCAACATCTGCCTCCCTGACAATCAAGTAGTTATGGATGTTGGGGTCCAAGAGGCACAAAGAGGTCACGGATGGTGAGCATTCCTAGGGAAGATAGAAACATCACAGCAAAAAGTGAGCTATGTGTCCCTGAGTGTAGAATATTTCATTCTTACCCCATAACAGCAGAGACTACCCTTATAATGAAAATGTTTTCCTATGGATACTTTTTCAATGTTTGGAAAATTTATAATGGGAACATAATCCTTTGTAACTTATGTAATTAAAAATGTTTCAATTCCTGTGATTCTGGCTGGTATATTCTAATCTCAGCTCTCTTTCTTCCCTTCTCAGTCCTATGGCTTTGTTCACCAAAGTCCTGCTCCTTTCTGATAATGTATACTTTCCCAAACTGGATTGTGCTAAACCACCAATATTTGAACACTCTGCAGGGCCCTAGTCTGTGTAAAGATGGGTCCTTATCTTTTCTGGTTATAAATTTTAAATTACTTTTTACTTCAAG
Source organism: Homo sapiens (assembly GCF_000001405.40). Taxonomy (NCBI): domain Eukaryota; kingdom Metazoa; phylum Chordata; class Mammalia; order Primates; family Hominidae; genus Homo; species Homo sapiens. Next base: position 31,662,561 of record NC_000004.12, on the reverse strand, counting down.
AAAGTACGTCTGTGAAGAGAGATTAAGAACTTCAGCCTAGGAGGCCATCTAAGTGCTAAAGGGAGAAGAAGACCAGAGAGATTAGAGGTTCAGCTTACAAACAAACTGCTTTCAGCTCTAGGTCCTTAAGTCCTGATTTTCTATTTCTTCTCTACTTTTGCTGGCTAGACCTGGTACATCATATGTTTATGTCTTGGATCACAACATGTTCATTTCAGACTGCCAACTTCCATGGCAGAGGCTCTGCTTAATGTTGGTGATTGAACTGCTCATGTGTCATGAGGGCCTGAATTGAAACACAGTGACACAGAATAAATTCAGCCATTTCTAGAACTTTCATTAGCAGTGGGAGTGCCACACTTTGAAACACCAATACAATCCAACAGTGCAGAGCTGCTCCTCTTTACTGTGCGAGTTCCCTGCTGTTGTGTTATTTCTATACTCCGCATTCACAGCTTTGTTTTCCTTTTGAGACCACATTGTATTTCCCTTGAATTTCCCATTCTTCAGTCCTATTTTAGAAAATTTTAAAATCAGTGTAACTAGCATACCTATGACATCCAAAACAACATTAGAAGGAGCAACACTTCTTTAAATGAAATCTTATGTGAAAGTCCAATGTGAGAAATGTTTAGAAGTAGTAGTTCCCTTGCTGATGGAAAAGTGGAAACACAAACTCTCTACTCTCTTCTGCCACTCAGCCTTTCTGAGTAACTTCATGGAGCCCTCCCATCCAGGGGCACTGATCTCCCCCATCTTCAGTAAAGCCTATACACAGTGCAGGTCCCCAAGGGACCACTAGTTATTTCTTGGGGAATCAAAGTTAAATCTTGTCATTGTGAGTGACAAGTGTCATTGTGAGTGACAATTTGAGTATTTTACATTTAAAAAACCCCTCAGGTATAGGCTACAACTTAAAAAGGAATTAATAATACAATTGAGTTTATATGTACATTTCTTTATTCCTTTAAGATTTAATTCACCCATCAAACAAATCTTTTGAAGTATCTACTTTTGTCAGACAGTGTTGTAGACACTAGGCAGAGAAAAAAAAATGCTGAAGTTTTCTGTGCCTGAAGCACTTACATCTATTATATTGTGCCTACAATGGACCGAGATTGAGCAGGCAGTTTACATGTGAACCCTGCTTTGACCATGCCCTTTAAGAAATAAGTATAAAAAGAGCTTCTCCTACCTTTACACACAGACACCCTCTACCAAAGAGTTAACATTTGTATCCTCAAAAGTAATGGCAATGAATTATTTTCCATTCAAACTTACATAGCAGAATGGTGTGCACCCTTGTGTCTGAGAGTGCCCCTGTCTGGCAGCAGAGAATGGAGGTCAATAGCATTAAGACATACTCTGGTTAGTGAAGGAAGCCTCAACACAAGGCTGAGAGCCAAGTAGCAAACTACAAGGCATTCTAATTTTAAAACTATGAACTGCACTCTTAATTATTTGTTGCAGCCTGATAAAAAAAGACGAGACTTCAGCTGACTCTGCTTTTTTGTCAGGTGCAGCTTGGATTTGTAGAACTTAGATTCCTGATATAGCTTTTTAGTCAGACTATGACACCTTTTTGTGTGTAAAGTAAGTAATTTTTCATTTGCTTGTAAGCTCAGAAATACCATGTCTCTTGAATTCAGAAGGCATGTAGATTTACAATTTCATTTATTTCCATACTTGACTGTTAATGCAAAATATAAATAATTCTTTAGATTATTTAAAGTCTTTAAAACACATCTTCAGTGTTTCAATAGCATCTTTAAAATTTCTGCAGACCAATAGAAAAAATAAAGTAGAATTATTTCCTTCTATTTTTAGGTAATTTTTTTTCATCTTACAAGATAAATATAAAGGATCAAAGGAAAAAGGAGATGTGGTTAGAATCTATTTCTGAATCTCTACATGTGTTTCTTCCATATGACTATCTCATGCTCAACTATGCAATGACATTGTCAGCAGTTATCTTTCTGCTCCCTTACCAGCTTGTAAAATTCAGAATCGTGAATTTGTCTTTGACTATATGCATAGCATCATGTCAAAATTAACCTAATGCAGATAAAATCCCAAGTATATGAGGGCTCCAGTGATGTTCCTCAAGGTTTAATGCAGTACACGCGGCGGCATGAAATGGGAGAGGGGCTCTGGAAATTCAAATAGGAACTACAAATTTGACTTGCTTGCTTATAGCAAACTAAGGAGTGGTCTTCCCGCTAACAATATCTTTTGTAATAAGCCTTAGATTTGAGAGAAAAGCAGGGCTAGTGATAAGGTTGACAATAACAACAGCAATAGCCACAAAGCATGATTAATAAGGAATGATCAATTTACAGTGTTACATCTCCTTGGTGCGATTAAAGTGCATGTTGTGAATTTATATTAAAGGCACTGTTGGGAATATTTCCGTCAGAATGCTTTAACCTTGGGATCAGGTTTGAAGAAGTATCAGGTATAAGGTGACATAAGCAACAAAAACTAACTCCACATAGGCCCAGTAGGAAAGCTCTATAGAGCCATAAAGAAAAGCACAGCTGGCGTGGTAGTATTGTAAAATCACAAAGAAAAGTATCCATCTTCCTGACTCCTTGCCCCAGTCACTCTCCAGCTTTTCTCATCTCCCGTTGTAAAGATTAAGCACATATCTCCCACCTCCCTATTCCTCCCTTCATGTTGTGTTCTGACCATTCAAAGAACCCTGTCATCAATCTGAAATACCTGGCTTCCAAATTCAATCCATTCCATTTCTATTCCTTCATTAATTCCTATTTTCCAGCACAGGCAAATCTCATGCAGTCCTCTGGAAAAAGAAATATGAACCGATGAACTGAACTTAAAGTTGTTACACAGAAAAACCAGCTTGAATAATTCCATTTATCACAAAATACATTTGTTAGTTCTCTATGTCCCAAGCTGTGTAGAACAAGGTCCCGGCCTTTGAGAGATTAGTATCTTAATTTTACATATAATGTTTGTTTGAATTTTATAAAAGGACAAATGCATCTATAAGTAGAGGGATTGCTCAGAATATCAGCAGACTGAAGAAGCTGACTGAGTTTTGGAGAAGGATACCTTTCAAACAACAGTAAAACCACATCTCGGAACAAGAAATGGTTGCCTTGGGAAGGGTGGGGTGGGGCACACGTCATCTTCTTCTGGGGGAGAGAAAAAATTACTTCCCCTTATTTATTCATATCCCAAAATATGGTTTCCTTGTAAGGAATCTCAAGCCTCATTACATATTTTTATTTTGACGTATTTATAGAATACTTTGTGTTGAAACTCTGAATGCCAGTCACTAACAGGCAAACACAGGTAATTATGACTTAAATACAGAGGCAAAAAACTCAGAGGAAAAGAGTAGAAAGTTCTAGAAACTTCCTCTTCTGGCCTCCCAACACCACCTCATGGGGGCATCTGAGAGCCAGAGGCAATGAATTGAAAAGACCCAACCCTTCTGTCCTCCTGGCTAACAAAACAGGTTGACTAAGACAAACCTTGCTCTCCAGGTCAATTTTGTGTCTTGTGGCCTGGAGATTCCTGGAGTGCCCTCAGATACAGGGCTGCATTCTCCACTCCTGCCCATAACCAGTGCTCTCCCTATCCCAGGGGCTCTCTGATTCACTGACATATTATCGCTCTAAATTTTTCTACACTTTTTTCCTGTGGTTTGGAGAGGATGAACCAGGAATTAAGTATTAAGTATTGGCCTCTGGGTCCTAAAGTGTGAACTAAATTGAATTCTGCTCCTCAACAAAATATGCTCAGGCTCTCTAGTTTGTAGTTTATCATTTCACAGAACAATGCCAACTGCTCAAAACTTGACAGAAGAGAGGAAATGAGAGAGAGAGAAAGAGAGAGAGAAAATATTAATGACAGTCCTAAAAACAGTTTTGGTTCACAAGTTTAATAATACCCAAGAGTTTAGACTTTTTCCAAAGGAAATTTAATTTCTTGGTTAATGAAAAGACCTATTTTAGGAAACTTACCTGATATCCTCTTAGGTCTCCATGATTGTGTTTGCTTTGCGGGTAACTATAATACTTGCAGGAAGTTGCCTGCATTCTCTCAGGCTAGTTATACATGAAGGAAGGGAGGAGATGGCAAATTAAGGGATGCTACTGCATAGGAAATGTTGGTACAAGCTCATACAAACTGTTTTGGGAGATAATTTGCAAGACTCAAATTGCAAAGGCTCAAATATACATGGTCAGAATTATGTAAAAGCCATCTGTTCTTTCGTTATACTATCTAATTATATTTTGTTAGACTTACTATTGACCTAAATGCTGCTATACTGTCATGTGTAACTTACTATTTTTATAAATATATTCTTGCATCCAAAGTAATTACTATCTTTACCAAAACTTATGAGGGAGATACAAGGACAGAGAGGAAAAACTGTCTTCCCTACCCTTTAGTTTTATAGATGCAGAAATAGTAGATATCGTCTTATGTGAATCATCATGATTTCAAGAAGTTGCTTGCAGTCTCCTGACATTTCCTCTGACTAATTTTAATACATTGCTCACCTATTTCAAAATGGAGCAATGAGTAAGAATGCTAATCCTGAACGCTCTCTTTTTTCAGTAATAGAGTAACCATTTTTGAGAAAATAATATCTTGATTTCAGTGAGCGGATGGGCCTCACAGACATTTCATTAAAGCACACAACCTGTGACTAAAATACAAGATACTGTTATTACTTTAAATTTCCAGGTGGAAAAGTGAGAGATAGAGTTTAGTTACTTCTGTAGGGGTACCCAGCAGATGACTGTTAATCTGACCTGATAGACTCCATTCTTTACCATTCCCCCAGAATCCAGATCTTTTTGAGTTTGCCTTCCTGATACACTATACACCATCACGTTGAAAGCCTACAGTTTATGTACTGCCAGACAAGTATTTACTTCTCAAATGTTTTGTGCATTACAGTTTAAGATGACTGTTTGGCTCACAATATTTCCTCCAGTGACTGTTTCCTGTCAAGTCCTCAAAGATGGATAACAATAAAAAAAACACTCCTGGATTAAATATTAAAATAAGCCTATCAGGTCGGGTGTGGTGGCTCACGCCTGTAATCCCAGCACTTTGGGAGGCCGAGGTGGGTGGATCACGAGGTCAAGAAATCGAGACCATCCTGGCTAACACGGTGAAACCTTGTCTCTACCAAAAATATAAAAAAAAAAAAAAAAAAAAAAATTAGCCAGGCATGATGTCAGGCGCCTGTAGTCCCAGCTACTCAGGAGGCTGAGGCAGGAGAATGGTGCAAACCCGGGAGGCGGAGCTTGCAGAGAGCCGAGATCATGCCACTGCACTCCAGCCTGGGCGACAGAGAGAGACTTCGTCTCAAGGAAAAAAAGAAAAAAGAAAAAAAAAAAAAAGCCTATCAGATTCTATATCTCCTGGTAATTTGAAATGTGAACAAAAATACATATGCTTTAAAATTATGCTGAAATGACTCATAAATGATAGCACTCTAGACAGAAAGAAGGTAGACATGCTTGTAGAGCCAAGAACCTGGGGACTCCCTGGGTTGTAGTCTTACGCTTTGTTGTTCATCTCTTAACTTGATTCTACGATCTAACATAATGCCCACGCACCAAAGAGACATATAACCAAAAGAAAACTATAACTCAAATAGTTTGTGTCTCTCTTTTTATAAAAACTATTCTATTTATTCACACCCTACGTAAATTTTTTTAAATCCCCTGACCAAAATAGTCATATTACTAAATGATAGCTCTGCTATCATCAGAAAACCTTCTCAGCTGTGTGCTTCTTCGTGTTCTCACAGTTTTATCTTCTTCCATTAAATCTAAATATGTTGCCTTTCATCTATTTCATCATCTATGCAACTATATACTGAAAAGTCCCTGTTTTAAAATCCCGTATTGGTTTGAACACATCCACCTATTTATTGATTTGTCAGCAATAGTAAATAAATGAAAAACTAGATAAATATCTTATAAATACAAAATTTAAGTACCACCCAATTTCCATGAATAACTTTTAACATTAAAAATGTATAACTGTTAATAATTTACAAATTTGTTTTATAAAAATAAATAAATAATTTGGGTAAAATAAATATATTTTTCTCAAAATGCCTTTAAAAAGCATAGAGTAATACACGAAGAATAAAATAATGATGTAAGTGGTCTTGATTAAATATGCGAGTGTGTCATTAAATATTGCCATTATTCTTGCTTCTGTAGAACACACACGGATTACTGTGTGAAAAAGAACAATGAGAGGTTATAGAAGAAGAGGTGAAAAGAGACCTCTAGATGAACTCTAAGTCCTTAAGTTCATAGCATTTTTATGAATGTTTTGAAAGACTACAAGGACATCTATGAATCTAACCTTTGTATTTAACATAGCGACAGATAATAATGTTGATAAATATTTTTAACATGTAGATATTATAATTATTATGTATTATCGTTACTATTTTCAAGTGCAGTTATAAAAAAATTTTTTAAAAATCACAAAGTATAAAATCACTAACTGCTAAAATGATTAATTGGAAAAGATACAACTGATATTACATATGTAAAAAAGAAACTACAAGTAAAAAATTACATTACATGCACATACTAACATACATGCACATAAATATATAAATAACAGATAGATGAATACACATGAGGTTATGACCATGAATGTTTTGAAAATCCTTCTGTGATGTCATTATTTTTCCAATCTATTGTATTTTGATGGGAGTCAGCAAAATTAGTGGATATGCTAAAATTAATTGTGTTACAATGCATAGATATAGAGAGTTTTGACCCAGGCTTTGAAACCTTTTTGATTGAGCTCAAATCCAGGCTCTGCTGCTTACTAGTGTCTTCAAATTTAATTTTTTTTAGTAAAAGGGAAAATAATATTCAATGTCACAGTGTTGATGCAAAAATGAAGTAAGATAAGTGCATACTGGGCATTGCACAATTTCAATCTTATGTATCATCACTGATCATGTGGAAAATTCTCCCACCACAACATCCAATTTAGGGGGAAGGGAGTGACAGCATTAGCATACCAGAGGAAAGACAAGTATTCAGGGTATGCCAACTGTATATAATATCCAATATGTCCTTAGGCTTAATGTATTGTTGTAAAGGGACTAACTCAAAATCATGCATAGTGTGTTGGTTGGAGTCAGTAAGAAGAATCTGCCTAGAAACTTTGACTGAAATATATATAATGAGACTGAATATATTTAAAAATCTACTACATTGAAGTATGAACGGTCACAAATGACTTAAGTTGCTTAACATTATCTATGATTATTCCATTTATTAAGAAGTAACATTATTACTTTTCACAATAAAATATTTATATGACAAAAAATTCATTGCAGTAATTAGTGGAAAAAATATAAAATATTCATTTTGTTTTCATTGTCCTTTTGAAAGGAAAAAGAAATCTTGTTAAAGAAGAATACATGATTAATATTTAAATGATAAAATATATTATTATTATTTTAGCTTTATTCATCTGTATATTTTTTTAATTTCAAATTTATTTTAGATACAGGTGGTACACTTGCAGATTTGTTACATGGGGATGTTGTGTGATGTTGAGGTCTGGAAGGAGTATGGATCCTGTCTCCCCGGTAGTCAGCATCAGGGTAGTTTTTTAACCCACCTTCTCTCCTTTGACACTCTAGTAATTCAGTGTCTATTGTTCCTGTATTTATGTCCATCTGTGCTCAATGCTTAGCTCCAGCTTATAAGTGAGACCGTGTGGCATTTGGTTTTCTGTTCCTGCATTGATTTGCTTAGGATTATAGCCTGTAGCTCCATTCATGTTGGTGCAAAGGATATTATTTGATACTTTTGATAAAATATATTACTTTTATTGAAATCAATTTGTATTAAACAGCTATGTTAAATGTCATTTTTAGCTTTGGTAATTTTTAAAGTATTTTGATAAAATATTATAGCTGCTTTTTGATTTTTTTGTCTTTCTGTATCTCCTATTTTAGTCCACATCTTTGATGCAGAGTATTACTGAATACTGGTATCAAACCAAGAGAAAGAGAAAATGACTACATCTCAATGCTTGTGAACATATAGTGACCCTATATAACTTCTAGTTTCCAATATACAGTTGCATGGGTCAGGCTGTGCACTGACATGTGAACTAACCATTTCCATAAGATATATAAAAACAGAAGACGTATCGATTTATTCAAACATATATTGGCCAATATTTCTCTTAAATACTGTTGCCAGTACACCATTCCAGTTACAGTAGAAAAGAAGCACGTTTTATTTTTAATTTTTAAACAGTAAACTACATCTCAAACCTTTCCTTCTAATAGAAAAATACAGAAAGAGTACACAACTACTATCACACTGGCTGACATAGATTTAAAAATTTTATAAGATTATGAATTTCTAACAATTAATTAACAGGCTATTGTTGAATGCATATTGTATATATATGCAATATAAAGTATTAAGAGGGGGGAAAATAAAATAGACAATTGCTCCACAGTTTCAAGGGTTTGCATTTTAAGTCCAAACTTTAAAGATTAATATTGCTAAAGATATTGGACTTGAGAACATGTACCTATAAGTTTGCCTAACATGTTTGACAAATTTGTTATATGACCTTAAATGAATTGTTAATTTTTTTAATGTCAGATTCTTCATCTGTAAAATGGTGATGATGACAGTGATGACTATAGAGATGTATATTTCACGGTTTTATCAAGAGGGGTTAGTAACATTGCATACGTGGTTTAGCATATGGCTCAGTGCATACCAAGTGTTCAATAAAAAGTGAGGTATTTTTATTATAAAATCTTAGGAGTTGCTCTGTGGTATATACTTTAATAAATAGACACTATGTAAGTGGCTATTTCTCTTGATATGCTGAACTTGAAATACCCACAATGAAATATGTGGAAAATCAAAGGTCATGACCATATATTTAATCACATAATATTCTTTAGTTGCAGAGAAACTTTTTTCTTTCATTTTATAGAAACTTTAATTAATATTCTATAATGACATATTCCCTTCAAAACATCCTTTTTTCTGCCTTGCTATCAATGAACTTCTTACATGGGCTTAACTTATAGAAACTTAAATATTACACTTATAGGAAATATTTGCATGAAAAAACAAACTATTGATTCAAGTGAATGGCACATAGTTTTGTTTTATAGACTGAGCAATAGCGGTCCCAACATACAACATAGAAAGCTGCCTACTCTCGTTCTTTTTAAGACTTGCTTGGATTGGTACAGAAACATGTAATTTATTTTCCACTGTGCCTTACAGAAGCCTGACAGAAATAAGGCTATAATATTCATTTATGTCAGTGGCCACAGAAGTGAGCACATGTAATTCTGTCTTCCTCAGTAAAGTCCACAATTTTTGTTTCCTCTTGCCTTCAAATTCTTGGAATAAAAGGTGCCAAAATTATGGCCCAACAGGAATTTACTTACAGCTTTTAGAAGAAAGATAGGGCCTTTGTTCTTTCTTTGGAAGAATTCTGTAACTGCCCAACAGGTTCTTCTTGCTCATTGCACAGATAGAGACAATTTACTGAGACAGAATTATTGCAATAGAGAAAGATTTTAACAAATGCAGAGCTGGCTAAATGGAAGAATGGAATTTTATTAGTCAAATCAGTCTCCCGAAAAGTTTGGATACTAGGGTTTTTTAAGGATAATAGAACAGATAGAGGACCCGTGATTGGGGAATGCTGATTCGTTGGGTCAGCAATAAAATCAGGGGGTTGAAGCAGGTTATTCTTTTTGTCTTCATTCCCGGATTGGATCACAGAACTAGTTGAGCCAGCTTACCAGTCTGGGTGGCACCAGCTAGTTCATCAGAACACAGACTCCGAAAAATATCTTGAACACCAGTCTTTGGTTTTACAATAGTGATGTTATCCATAGGAGCAATTGGGAAGGCAGGCTAGGAATCTTGTGGGCTCTGGCTGCATGACTCCTGAGCCATAGTTTGTAATCTTGTGGTTAATTTGTTAGTTTTAGAAAAGCAGTCTGGTCCCCAGGCAAGGTGGCAGTTTTGGGGGGAAGAGCTGTTACCATCCTTGCTTCAAAATTAAACTATACACTAAATTCCTCCTATAGCTAGTTCGGCCTACACCCAGGCATGAACAAGAGCAACTTGGAAGTTAAAAGCAAGATGGAGTCAATTAAGTCAGATTTTTTTCACTGTCGTAATTTTTCACATAGAAAAATTTGACATACAAATTTTTCTCATTGTCATAATTTTTGCAAAGGCAGTTTCAACTCTGCTATGGCTTGGATGTGTTCCCTCCAAAATTCATGTTGGAACTTAATCCTCAGTGTGGTGGTGGTAAGAGTTGAGGCCTTTCAGAAAGTGATTAAAGAGTACTGGATTGTGTGTCATTAAAGGGCTGCAGAGAATTAGTTTAAACCTATTTTTTCCCTTCCTTCTGCCTTCTGCCTTCTGCCATGAGAGGAGGGCCTCACAGCAAGAGGGCCCCTATCAGACACTAAACCTGCTGGCACCTTGGTCTTGGATATCCCAGCTTACAGAACTGTGAGAAATAAATTTCCCTTATTTATAAGTTACCCAGTCTCAGGAACTTCGTTATAGCAATACAAATGGATTAAGACAAACTCCAAGGGTAAAGGGAAAATAAAATGGCTTGGATTTACTTTATAATATGAAGACTATAAATTCAATCATGAATCACTTATATAGGCACTTTCTCTCCCTTTCTCTCTCTCACTGTGTCATAAACACACAAAATCACACACACACACACACACACACACACAAACACACTATATTTATCATAGTAGTTAGAACTTAGGTATCTTTGTTCCTGTGTAGTGCAACAAGAATTCCTTTGTTTCCTTACTTGTCTACTGTGTTAACTTGTGATTAATGCTTTCCAAAGCATGACAACTAAAAAAGATTAGCTTGGGGTTTGAGATTATTTTAATCTAATTCCTCATTTAGTGATTTCTATTAAAAATCGAATTGACACACAGTTCAAAAGTACCATAATCATCATATTTAAATGCCTTTATGATGAACTATGAACGTTCACCAATTAATCTCCTCAATGTTTCCAATCAATTAATTTTCCAATGCTTGAAAAGAAGGGAACGACACAGAGAGCTCATTTCCCAGTTGATGGGCATGTGTTTTAACTATGAACAGTACTATGAGAATAAATTATTTGGTATTGAAATATTTATCCCTGTTGTTCATAAGGTTTTAATTGTAATCCTATCCTTTTGATTAGAGATTAGAAGGTTAAAACTTGACATATTGTAATGTGAGAGAGGCTTGGTGATTCATGTTTTTCAATTTCAAGTAATGCATAGACATGACTCGTTTGAAATTTTGAAAAGACACAACGTGAAAGAAAAAACCCTGTAATCAGTCAACTTCAGTACATACCCTTTTTTATTTTGCTTCTGTATGTTTGTTTTTTTTTTTGTTTGTTTTGAAAGCTTTATCAAAACATTCACTCTTTGGTGAAAAGGGTAGATATGCTATTCCTGTTATATATAGTCATTAAAAAATAATATGTATTGAATTTCTTTGTGAAAAAAATTGATCTCATTTTAAGTTAAAATGGGTAGATTTTTGCTATCTTTTGTCTATAAAGATTTAACAGGCTTCCTTAGAAACAATATGATGTTTATTTTTAAGTTTTTTAAAGTTTAATTCATAGATAAAAGTAGTAATACAACTAGTGACAACAAGTAAAAGCATGCAGTAGTAAATTGTAAGGGTGGATAAGCAAAAAAGCAAACATGAACTCAAAGAAAATTACCTATAAGGGTTTTCTCTCACTATTAATAGATTCATGATTATGATGTGTGGGGCCATTTTGTTATTTTGTTTTTTTATCTTTAACTAACCACTTCATTTTTTTTTCAGTAATAATGCTTCCAGTTAAGATAATCTGGTACATAGAGACCATAAAAATATAAATGATAATAACAGAAATGATAAAATATTTATTTAGTGCCTGCTCTTTTTCAAGTATTATCTTAATGAAGTCAGATTATAAGATAGGTCTATTTATGAAATTCATTTTATAAATTAAGAAACCGAGGCAGAAGATTCCTAAGTAGATCAAGGCCACAGAACTAAAAAAAGAAGGAACCAGGATTTTAGACCAGGGTTCCCTGATTCTACACCTCATGAACTTACATATTGGTTATATTATTTTTGTTACTGTCTAAAAGGTCGGTTTTTTTGAGTGATAATTATATTATCTGTGATTAGAAATCAGCATATTATTCACAACATTTTTCTTTTGGAACTAATACCAAATTTCTTGATTTAACTTATAAGTTTGAAGAAAATTTCCATAACGTTTTGTTATAATAAGTGCATTTATTATAATTAATGCATTATGATATACATTAAATTTGGAGCAAAATTTAGAGAAATACAAATACTTAGTTGCAGCCTGTGCAAGCATGAATACAAATTAATTCATAATTATTAATAATCAATAATTCATAACAATTAATTAATAATTAATATTAAGATACAATTATGAATCAATAATTCATAATAATCAATAGGTTACAAAATGGAAATATCTGCCACAAATAACTTTTAGTTGTAAGAATAAAAATGTATGTGAAATAATTATTAAAATATTTATCACATTTGTAAATGCATTATATAGAGAATGGTGAGCTCTACCTGTAATGGGCCAGTTAGTAAATATTTGGGGCTTTGCAGGCCAGACCGACTCTGTCACAACAATTCAACTCTGCCGTTGTATTATGAAAGCAGCAATAGAAAATACATGAACAAATGAGTATGGCTGTATTCCAACACAAACCTTTAAAAAGTGAGCAGAGAGCCCCAAATTATATTATCATTTTATACAATAATTTTACATTATGTTAATATAATTAATAGTCAACACTGTTATGTGGAACATGAATAAGTAAATTCAGCTACAGAGAATTCCAGCCATCAGAAGGGCAAAAATTAAGTACTTATATACTCAGGTGAAAATCAACACTGCCCTTAATTGTGATCTAAGTGATGTGATGTAGATACTTTTGTATTCAAGAAGAGAGAGTGATCAATGAAGATTTGAGTAGTAGAGGTAATTAGCCAGGATATAAAATTTATTCAGATGTTGAGTAAAGAGAAGGACAGGACTGGCTTCTGCACAATTTTATTTCTTCTTTGATCTCAGTGCTTTCTTATATTTGCTACTCTCTATAGTTCAACTAATTGAATTACTATTCTCCCAACTTCTGGAATGTTTCTTTGTCCCCTTGCCTTTGATTCTATTCCTCATAATTGGGTCCATCTCTATGTAATGACATAGTTTCGATTTCTCAATTCCAGTATCAACATATTGTTGTATATATTGTATATGTAGAAAGCATTTTCTGATTCCTTCAACATATTCCTCCTTGCTCAATAACCTGGCTATTTTGCAGCACTCACATTCTAGATATTAATATCTCTTTGTCTATGTTTCTCCCCACTCCCACAGTAGTTGTTTAATTACTTGAGAGTCTTATTTATTTGAGTAGTTTAATAGTGGCTCGCCATTAGAATGAAAATGTAGAGACATGGAGTAATATCTATTGAACTGAATTAAATGCCTCTGGATTAAACTAAAACAAATAAGTAAGCTCCTATGCTATGGAAACCAACAAGTGTTTTAAACATAGTGCTAACAACAACTGAATAATCTATGGCTTAGAGCTGTATCCAATCTTTTTAAGTTAACTGCGTTGCCATCAGCCTAAAATAACATCATGTTTATAGTATCTGTCTTGACCAAAACTCTTACGCATTCTTGCCTACTGAGTAGAGATGGCAAAGTGTTAATTTTGTGGAAAATATTGCTATTCAGTTGATAGAAGGGTTTTCTAAGTTACCTAATGTGTAACTACTTCAATCTACTGAAGCATGGACTTCTATCTCCACAGGAATCTTTTAACTTGTCATCTGACTGCAAATATTTTACAAATTTGGAAACATATTCTCTGTTTTCCTAGCTTATGCTTTCTGGATTGGAGAACTTTCAGCGTCAAACAAATGTTTTCCATGTACTATCTATGTTGCCCATATTGCACTGATATTTTTAAAATCCTATGTGTGATATTTGCATTCATGACCATCGCAGATAGCATATATAGTAGACGTTAGTGCTGCTCATCGTTTTCAGTTCTTCTACTTTCTTGGTTCAGAATAAGGATTCATGGCCTGCCTCATTTGAAAATGGATGAGGCCTTTTGACTAGATTTAATCAAAATCTTGTGAACATGAATGAGATATATCATTCTTCTGAAAAGCATTTAATTGCCAGTGAGACCTTCCAGAGCTCTATTTTCACTCTGCTGTGGTGACTAGCAACATTCAACATGTTTGCCATCTGTCACTCTTGGTTTAAAAGTAAATAGAGTTGCTGACCTATGATGAACATACAGAATGAGCAAAATATAAACATTTATTGTTTGAACCTCCAAGATTTAGGATTGACTGTTATCATAGCATCACCTGATCTATCCTGAATGATGCAGAAATCAGAATCAGAAGAGGAATGCTCCTGTAACAAAACAAACAAACCTAAACATGTGGCAGCATCTTATGGATGAATCATTTCAGGGTGAGGAAACTGAACAATAAAGATCTATGTTATTCAGTGGCAGAAACATTTGGTTAAAGAATCACCCGAGATACTTTGGAACTCAGAATATAAAGCTGAGACTGTTGCAATGCTCAGATAATAGGTTGGACATTAGAATTATAGTAGCCAATGTTGGATTCTATTAGCTGCATTTGACAAGCTATTACAATTAAGAAATAGCCTCAGTAAATAATTAGGCCTCGTAAAAGCAGAGATAAAAGGATAGACAATCCACAAATAGAGAAGTTTTTAAGTTGGAAAAGGCTGCTTCTTCTTCACCCTAAAGAGATTAAGATAAAAATGAGAAATGTTATAAGCAAAAATACCAATTGAAATTTATTTTGCAGGAGGATTAAATCAAATAGAGGACCATTATAGACTGATCGTTAAAACGTCTGAAAGAATTATTGTGGTTCCCAAAAAATCTCTTTTGTTGACAGAATTGTTCAGGAAAGGCCTCATGGTGTAACATGCCCATTAAAATCTGATAAGCTCAAGTTATCTGTGATTAAGAAAGAAGAATGTATTATATCAAACAGAACTGTGGTTACTATTATTGTTGCATAAAACTAACTGCATGCAAATTGTTAAGAAGCTGAAAAAGTTATTGAGAGACTTCTATGGCCAAAAAAACCTGCAACCTTGACTAAAAGATAAAGTGACAGCCAAGGTTTGTAATGAATTTATCTGGAAAGCAATCAGGCTGAGCATACTATTCAATGGTCAAGGGTAATATATTCTTCCAATTTGAACTTAAGGCATGGACAATAAGGAAAACAAAGAGGGTAAATTCTCTCAGAGAGGTGCAAAGAACCACAAAAAATGTTAGACTATGGGAATTATCTTCCAGGACAGAATCAGAGAATATTCAAGGAACATTTCTTACCACCAGAATAGGAGTACATCAAAAAGATTTCCCAGAATTGCTGCAAATTGCTATGTATGTGTCTTGTATCTTCTGCTTTTTAAATGTGAGTACTGATTGCAGTTTTAAGGCATCTATTGTACCATTATATGTCAGGTTGTGGGGACACATAACAACTAGATCAGTGATCCCCAACCTTTTTGGCACCAGAGGCAGGTTTCGTGAAAGACACATTTTGTACGAACAAGCGTGAGGATGGATGGTGTCAGGATGAAACTTTTTCACCTCAGATCATCATCTGGCATTAGATTCTCATAAGGAGCACACAACCTAGATCATTCGCAGGCGCAGTTGACAGTACGGTTCGCACTCCTCTGAGATCAAATGCCTTGGCTGATGCGACAGGAAGCAGAGCTCAGGCGGTAAAGCTCCCTTGCCCACTGATAGTTCCTGCTGTGCGTCCTGTTAGGAACAGGCCACAGACTGGTATGGGTCCAACATCCCCGTGTTGGGGACCCCTGATGCAGATCAAGAAAAGCCATTTCTGGTCCTGGTGTGGGGAATTTAATGTATCACCTTCTTATACAAAGACTACCATTCATCATCCAAGTAATCTCAATCTTTAGATTAATATTGTGAATAGTGAAGGATTAATGTGTTGTTTACTTTGAGGTCCAAGTAAGTATATATTATACAAAGAAAAGACAGAGAATCAGATAGTCCTGGTCCATTTGGGCTGCTATAACAAAATACCATAATCTACTGTGTGGCTTAGAAACAACAGAAATTTGGCCAGGTGCGGTGGCTCACATCTATAACCCCAGCACTTTGGGAGGCCGAGGCAGGCGGATCACTTGAGGTCAGGAGTTTGAGACCATCCTGGCCAACATGTTGAAACTCTGTCTCTACTAAAAATACAAAAATTAGCTGGGTGTGGTGGCGGGCCTGTAATCCCAGCTACTCAGTAGACTGAGGCAGGAGCATTACTTGAACCTGTGAGGCGGAGGTTTCAGTGGGTCGAGATCGCACCACTGCACTTGAGCCTGGGCCACAGAGCAAGACTCCATCTCAAAAAAAAAAAACAAAAACAAAAACAAAAAACTCACAGTTCTGGAGGCTGAGAAATCCAAGATCAAGACACTGGCAGACTCTGTGCCTGGTGAGGGCCTGCTCTCTCGTAGATTGTGCCTTCTGCTGCCGCTTCACTTGATGGAAATGGCAAAGCAGTTCTCTGGAACCTGTTTCATAAGGGCACTAATTCTATTCATGAAGTCTCTGCCTTCTGGAAGGCCTTTCAAAAAGCCCCTCTTCTAATACCTTCACCCTGGTTGTTAGGATTTTAACATATGGATTTGGGAGGAACGTAAACGTTCAGACCACAACACACATATTTGATGATTAGAATAGTGAAATGTGCTAATCCTCAGTGCATTCAGCAAATGTTTCTGGTTCTTCCCCTCTTAGGTATTTGGTAGGATGTATTTTTTGGCCCCCTTCTAAGTGGATGTAGACAAATGACTAGATATGGCCTTTGAGTTATGAGCATAAGTGCTGATGCATAACCTCCTTTGTCTTTAGAGTCGTAGACAGCAAAATTTGAGCTAATGGCTCTAAGTCATAGATGACTAGGAAAAGCAAGGTGGCTTGCCAAACATCAATGGACATGAAGGACAGCAAGAAATGAAACTCTGTGGTTTTCAAGGCCTTGAGGTTTTTTAGCCGGGGAGGGGTGTTTGTAATTTGGCGTATGCTGACGGATTCAGCATGCTTTCTAAAAATCAGCAGGATGAGCTGTTTCTTTAATAAATAAGCATACTTTTTCTAGAAAGAACTAAAAATATATTCTATGCATAACAACAAAATATTTTAAAGACCTGACATTAGGAAAAGAAAAGCATGTTTTTACCAAGCCAATACAAAATTGTTACATAAAATGACAATACTACATTTCAATCCAATTTACATATGAGTGTATCTATTATTAATACCGCATATTCCAGAACACTTGAGTATAGACCACAAATAATGATATTCACAAAATAAGTTGTCACATTTAACTTAGAAAGGAAGTCAGTGTACTGTAAGAAGGAGACTTAGGATGACTTCCACTGTGCTTAAAGTTTAGGAAATAACCTGTTAGTCTGAAATTTGAAACAGTGCATTTTTTAAAATACATATCTAAAGCATGTTACTGTTTTTCCATTGCCAGGCTGACAAAGAATACTAGCTCTGAAAGACTGTTACTTAACCAATTTCTCTTCAAAAGTAAGGAAAATATTATATAAACTGCCCAAAATTTCTCCAGTGTCTCAATACAGCTAAAAGCTGTACCGTTAATAGGGCCAGTTGTCAAAAGAAAATTTTCGTATCAAGATAAATTATTTAGCACTGAATCATCCCTAGTAATAATTGAACTCACGGCCTTCAAACACAGAGGCATTTCACAATAGCAATTTTTGCTCCCAGTTGTTGATGTAGCTCTTTCCACTGTGTTCCCAAAGACAAAAAAACAAAACAAAACAAAAAAAAAACATTATGAAGGCAGGATTTTGAAAATATTTTACACCTATTCAAGTGAATGTGTGGCTTCAAAATTAATTTATAAAGTATTATAAGGAAAAGTGGTGGAAAAGAAGTACCAAGAGCTTCTGAAAAAAAAATGCAAATGTGTTATGCACAGACATGGAGCTTCAAGGAGTGAAGACAGCAGGCCATTGAGTACATTGACTAGATACATTTTGGTGTGTATACCCATACTAATAATGTAAAATCATCGTTAAATTATCCTAAATAGTTACTTTTTTTCTTTATACTTTATTCCTGTCTTTCTCCTTCAGACCTACTACGAATACAAAAATAAGGTTTTGATCATTTGGTATTTAAATAAAATAATGCATCTGTGTCAGAAATGACCCGCTTGCCTCTCCTGAGATGGACAGGGTGCCTCTAGAATTGACATAAAGTCCAAGAATGCTAAGAATTTACTCAGCCTAAATGTGAATCCTACCTATGATGGAGAAACAGAAACATTTTAGTGAGATGAGTTTATTAGCGACTCCTTTTTCTGTTGATCTGTTGCTTAAAGTGCTTCCATAACTAATGTCAGCAACACAGTAATCAACAAAAATACAAAGAAAAAGAAATGTGATGGTCTTTCTGGCCCTTGTCAATATATCCACAATTCTGTTCCACCACATGTGTCACACCCTCCTTGAGCATGCCAGGTTTTCCCACCAGGAAAATCTTTATTATTTTTTAGTAGTTTTACTTTATATTCCAAATTTAAATCTATATACCCTTCCTTCACCCTGCATCTGCACGCACACACACACACACACACACACACACTTACTTTCAAAAGCTGACCTGTTAATATGATCTTGGCTCATCATACAAAATCTGAGTTGGTCAGCTCCTTTTTTCCATTTCCATACTGAAAAATATATATATGAAACATCACATATATCAGGCTCTTAAATGGGCTCCTCAGCCTTTCCTTGCCTGCATCTCAGAAATGCACGATTCCTCTTTCCAAATATAGCAATGCGAAAACATGATTTCTGTTTTGACATACCTTTAGCCCACTTCTTTATTCCCTAAAATTACAGTCTGATTTAATTCTAACTTAGCTCAAATAACTCAATCTTCAGTATTCTATGATTGCATAATAAAATTATAGTTTATCTTCTGCATACATTATGATTATACAAGACTACACTGGAATAAATTCCCCCAGATTAGACCTCTGCCATTTATTGCTTGCTATTTCTGGAACATTTCAAAGCGTATTTTAGATGCTCACTAAATGAGTCCATCAGATCCAATCACCTTGATGTTATGTGTACTGTTCTCCTGCTCCAGATCCCAATAGTCTGCATGTACTATTTAAAAAAAAAACACATGGATAATCCTCACCAGTACTATGTTTTTGAATCAGAAATTCAATATCATGGCAAATGAAATGTCTTTAAATGATTGCCAAATTGTTGAAGGATTCTGACAGAGGTAAAAAAATATATATATAGTTCTCACCTGTTCTGTACCTACCCCATATTATATCATAGGACCAAAAGCTTCATTGCTTTTGCCCTGAATCTAAACTGTAAAGATTTATCATTCCTGGTGTAAAAGTCTTTTGAAAATTCAGTAAGAAAGGACTTTTTGTACTTCTTAGTGAACATATATTCTACTTAACATAGGAAATAAACATGATTCCAATAAGTTCACATTTTTATAATTGCCTTATAATTTTCCCTATTTTTCTACCACTCAGGTTTAGAAATTTTTTAAAAAAATCCTATTGAATCATATTAACTTATGAAAATAAAAAAATTAAAAGATGGAAATATGAAAATTTCCACAATTATAGTTGACTCAATAAATAATTGGTTAACTTTCTGATGAAATAGCTAAAAATGCTGGATTTTTATATAGTTTTAAAATCTTATTTTTTTTTATGATCAGGAAAATGAAATCTTAAGACCAAAATCTACATTTACTCACAGAGCTAAGTAAACCATAAAACCAGTTTTCAACACAAGGCTTTTTGCCCAACTATGATCTTTAGCTTCAGGTTTTACATCCTTTTGGGAGAAAGGACACAGGTGATAAAACCTAGGCTTCTAATAAGCTATAATCCCTAAGGTGCTATATTACTTGCCTTAGAGTAGAAAAGAAAAAAATCTTACCATTTACCAATTCCCTTACCCTGGGAGTAAAGGGTAAGAAGAGAAAAATTTTCCCGTCTTGGGCATTTATGTTAGTGGTAGAAAAGAATAAATAAAAAAAAAAAACCTTCACATTTGATTTCATATCCGTAAGCCACATTTGCAATAAAATTCACACTAGGGAAATTATATGGAAGAAAAATAGAAATCAAACAAAATTCTATTTGAAAGTATCCTGGGTTGTCAGTGTCCCCAATCCTGGAAATAGGAAATATACATAATCCCGAGAAGTACATAAAGCTACTTCACAACCAAATCTGAAATAATTCTCCCTGGTAAAATTCCAGTGAATATCAGCTCACAACAAACGCAAAGACTGTCAACCCAGAATTTTATAACTAGCAGAAAATAAACACACACACAAACACACAAAAGAGAAAGCAAACTTTCAAAATGGGGAAGAAATGAGGGTGAAAGTCAAGATGCTTTCAGACAGGAAAAACGCAAGAGTCACGACAAACAGGTTTTTATCAATAGGAAATTCTATGGTGTATAATTCATGCATGATTACATTAATTTTAATGAAAGGTCTAAACAGTAAGATGATGAGTAAGAATAATGGTAAGCATATGAGCATTTTAATAAACTGCATCACGTGATGATTATAAAGTTTGGAAGTTTAAAAAACATAACTAATAACAATACAATTTTATAAATTAGAGGGAGAGTTTCAATTGTTCTAACATTCCTGCAACACTAGAAGGTGGATAGAATTTTTGATAAACATTAAAGTTTGGTATTTTAAATTGGCAGATGAAAATTTCTAGAGTAACCACTAAAAGAAAAGAAGTAAAGTGTACGACTTCTCAACAAGTAGAGGGAAAAAAATAGAATGAAAGAAAAAAAAAGAAAATTTATAAAACAAAGCAAAACAACAACGACTAAGGAAGCAAGTCAAGGAAGACAAAAAGTACAGAAGAGATGAACCTCATGCTCAGTGAAGTTAAACAACAAGACAGAATGAGCACTGTTTCACAAACACTAGATCGCCAAAAATTAAAACTAAAGTACTGCAATAATAATATACTATAAAGGATATAAAGCAATAAGATCATTTAGCAATTATATACAGGAGCATCAACTAGTACAATCACTTTATGAAATAATTTGGCATTAACTGATAAAATTGAGCATGCAAATATTTTTTAAATAAGTAAATCATACCTAGGTTTGCACCGATAGTAGCTCCTCTGTGTACAGATCCAAAGACCTATAAGAACATCCAAGCTCACGGTTTAGATGGAAACAATCTTAAATAACCTTAAAGAATGAAACGGATAAATTAAGAGTAATACAGTTAATCAAAAGAACTCTGTATGTCTGAAAAACTGATTAATTAATGTTGCATTCAACCACATGGATGAACATCAGAAAATTGTTTGAAATGTTTTAAATGTTAAACTTTTTAACAATACAAACCAATAATGTAGTAAAACTCTTAAAATAGAAAGTAAAAATGATAAACCTAAAATTTAGTTAATAGTTAATCCTGAAGAGGAAAGAGATTGGGATGTGTATACAAAGTGATTTTAAGATACTATTCTCTCTTTTAAACTGGATAGCAGTACATGGATGTCCAACTTACTTTATCTTTAAAATTCACTCCTATTTTAGTAATATGGTTTCATATCTCTCTAATATTGAAGGAAAATGACAAGTAAGGTTTAATTATTTCAGATGTCATGGGAAAGTTGTTCTTACTGGCCTTACTGGTAGCATCCAGGCCCCTATTTATTCAGCCTCCCCAGAAGGTGCTGTAAGTGTTTTTATATTAATCCAGTACTCCATCCTATGGTCGTGCTAAGCTTCCTTTTATTTTCCTCTTTGTCGTTATGTCTTTTATGCATTTAACTATATATATATTTATTGATATTAATAGATATTCCAAGAATTTTAAGGCGTATCCTAAAACGCGTTTTAGTTTTTTTGAAATATTTTAACAAGAAATTGCAATTTTTCCCATAAGATGCCAAAGGGGCAGTAGCATCACAATATTTGTGTAATTCCATGTTCACATTGATTATTGATTTTACATGGATTGTTTTGTCCATAAAGTTTTGATTCAGTGCTGGTTATATAATTAAAACCCAAGCATAGTCTACTGGCTTTCAGCTTTTTGCACGACAATTTTTCTCCCCACACTATTAGTTTTGAGAGTCAGAGGATTAGGACTCCACATGCATTAAATGTGCTGTAAAGTTTAAAGGGTCGTCTGTTTTGAGACTTTTTTTTTCTAAATGTATTCTGTGGTTTTTCAAACAGTGCATGTATTTCAACTTTTGTCTTCATTAGCATTTTATACTGCATCATCTAACATTTAGCTGTTTACATTTTTTCTTATCCTTTCTGATGGGCAAAAAACTGTGTAAACATTCCACAAGAAACCTTTAGGGTTTATATTATCTCTTTTGGCAAGTAAAGTAGTTGAAAGAAAACTACAGCAAATTCAAAACGGCACCCTTAGGTCAATGTGGAGCAAGTATAAAATGATTAATATCTGAATGTAGATGTTTTTCAAGCCAGATACTCTTTTGTTTTGTTGACCTTTAGACTAAGCAAAAATAAAGCATTCAAGCAGAATGTAATCTTTACACTCTGGATGTCAATGCTTTGTTGGCAGAGTAGTTCTTCATGCCCTGGCTATTTTTGCAAAACCTCCAAGAAAGTGATATATCTTGGTTTTCTATTTTATAAAAGTCCTCTTCTCTTCATCACTTGAGATGCATAAGTAGTTTTAAAATCCATTTGGTGAAGATATTGTGGAAAGTATTAGTCTGCTACAGTCAATTAGTCTTCATCAAAAAATTAAAGGGGGTACTTCTCTTTTAAAATAAAACAGGAGTGATTGAGAACTCAGTATTAAGCTGAACTCACTCTAATTCTGGGGCACAGAGGCTCTTGGTATGACAAAAAGCCACTGAGGTCTCAAAAGTGCACGTAAGCATTAGTTTGCAGAAGAGTATAGTCCAACATGACAAACACTTCACACTTCCCCAATGAAAGAGGGAAGAAAACACATTCACCCAATAGAATAACTTAAAATGATTAAAGAACATTAATGTAATCCTCTAAAAAAGGATTTTCAAACACAGGCTTAGAAAGACAAAGGAAGAAATTACCTCTCCAAAACAATAAATGCAGAGTATGACACACAAAACATTATGACAAAAGAAAAAGAAATAATAAGGTAATCTGTAAAGAGTTTTTGAAAATTAAGTACAACCTTTGAAATAATTTTAATATCTAAGACAAATCAGCTAAATGGATACCACAAATGAGAGAATTTGTGACTAAATGATCAAGCTGAGGAACTCTCTCAGGATGCAACACAGATATATGTACAGATAAAGTCAGAGATGCCTGGTGAGGTACTGTTACAATATTCATCTAATAAGAACTTCAGAATGAAACACTAAAAATTATGTGAGGAGAAAGCAATAGTTAGAATTTTTTAGAACTGAAAGTAAGATTTCTCATATGAGAACAATCAGCAAGTGTTGAGCAGGAAATTGAGGAGAGGAAAAAAAGCAAATACATTAACACACTGTGATGATTCCGCACAACATTAAGACTAACAAAATTCTAAAAGCTTCAACGAGTGAAAGACAAAACACCAGTAATGGAACGAAAATGAGACTATTTGCATCTTGTCTCTTTCCGTACTATTCAATACAAAGAGAAATAAGAAAATGTCTTCAAAGGGCTACATATAAAAACTTTATATAAAATTCATATATAAAAAAATTATTACTCAAGCTTGAAAGTGAAATACAAACATTTGAAAATAATAAATTTAGCTTATGTATAAGCAAAATCTTCCTTTAATAAAATCTATTTGAAAAGAACTACTATGGTAAAAAGAAAGTAAAACATAAAATATAATAAAGGTGAAAATAAATAAAATACATTTTAACTCTAAATGTTAATAATAAATTATATCTAGAATTATATATGTATAAATTACCATTAATATCAACAAATATTGATAGGTAACAGTGAGATTAAAAGTTATTGAAAATCTATTGATTTTCTAGGACAAAAAAATATCAAATTTGATTAATTCTTAGTTTAAGAATAAAAGTTAAGTGTATATATTTAAATTATCAACAAACATTTGGAAGGATAGATGTGGAATCTAGAACTTTCAAGTAAAACAAAAACAATAGAGAAAAGGAAAAAAACGAAATAATTGTTTTCATGGAAAGCTGCCCAAAATAAAATTAACCAGCCATAAAGTGAGGGGAGTTGGTGTCCTCCAGTACTTCAAACAGTCCAAATCATATGCAAAAAAAATTCTATTTTTATAAAAATCATACAATGTTAGTGACTCAAGGTGATGAATAATCTGCTTTACCGTATTATTTTACTAATTCACAATTGAAGGGCAATTGTACACTTTATTTGATGCTTAACACAATCCCAAGTTGTTCATTTGACACATGGAAAATTAGAAAGCTAAAAACCTTGGATATGGTCGTTACTCTACAGCAGATGTATGATAAAATTTTAAAATAAAATATTTAGAAACTAATAGTAAAATGTAGAACTTTAAAAAGTATTTATTATGAAAATTAGAATTATTATTGTTTAAAAGATACTGCATGCAAACTTCCCGTACACTTTATTGCAACAATATGGCCCATGGGTTGTGCATACCTAAAAATCCCATGGTATGGATTTCCAATGTGAAATCTTGGGACAACTCAATCTGGGCAAACACAACAAATTGAACTACAATTAGGTCATGAAGAACTTCAGAAGAATAAGATGTTCTATTTTAAAACCTACACTACTTCATTCAGTCTAAAATCCTGCATCGAAGTTGGTATTTATCATTCTGCTTATAATTAACATAACCACCTACTGTAGTGCCATTTAATCTATTTTTTCTTACTTAGAGTGACAAGACCACTGATTATTTGGTAATTACCATTTTTATGCCATGTTATATAAAAAGTGTATTCCCAATCAAAATCTTCATATCAAATCTGAGATATAATTTGGTGATGTGCACAGGGCAAAGTCAGTGCTTCATTCATTCATCCAAACACACTACTTAACTTTCCTGAGAGATAATTCACATACTATGCAATCCACCCATTTATATTGTACCATAAAGTGGTTTTAGTCCATTCATGAAGTTGTGAATCCATTATCAAAATCAATTTAGAACATTTTCATTACCCCAAAAAGAAATTTTACTCCACTTAGCCATCATTCCCCAACGCTTGACAACCATTAATTTACTTTTTCTATCTATAGATTTTCCTTTCTGCATATGTCATATAAATAGAATAATACAATATGTGGTCCTTAGTGACTATTTTTTTCACTAAGAATAATGTTTTCAGTTTAATCTTTATTGTACCATGTATCAATATTTAATTTTCTTTTATTGGCAAATAATATTCCATTGCAGAGATACTCCACTTTTATTTAAACTTTCATTGGTTGATAGATACTTGGTTTGTTTCGACTTTCTGACTTATAAATAATGCTGCTATGCATACCTTGTGCAAATTTTTGCTTGAATATATGTTTTCTATTTATTTTGTTTGTATGCCCGGGAGTGGAATTTCTAGGTCATACAGTTTAACCATTTGAGGACTGCCAGAATGTCTTCCAACATGGCAGTCCCAACTGGGATGAGGTATGCAGGTTCCAATTTCTCCACATACTTGCCAACAAATGTAATTATCAGTTTTTTATTATTAAAGCCATCCTTGTGGGCGTAAAGAACCTCATTGGGGTTTCCAATAAGGTTTCCCTGACTGCTAATGATATCGAGCACCTTTTCATGTGTCTTTTTAGACACTTGTGTGTCTTCTTTAGGAAAATATCTATTCTGATTTTTGCTGATTTTTATAGAGTTATTTATGTTTTGATTATTGAGTTTTAATATGTCTTTACATATTCTAGATATAGACATACAGAGCTTAATGCTAATCCCCATTCCCAAATCATAAGAATTCACTTACAATTGAATCTTATGTAGGTAAGAACTTTACTTTCTTGTCAACATGGCACAGACTTCTATAATCCACATAATGACACACACACTGTTCAACCAGTACATGTGGGTTAATTCATCTTTCCAATAATATATAGTGTAATTGTTTCAGTTACCTTCATTATTTGTTTTATTATTAACAAAGGGTTTTCTTTCCATTACCCATAACTGGCTGTCTTAATGTTAATCATGAATGCGTTTTAGTAAGAGTTTCCAATTGTGTCAATATTTTAAGATGAATTCACAAAATGTGGTTACCTCTTTGAAAGCTGCAGATGAATATTTTTAATATATTTTAATTATAGTTCTACATTTCTTAAATTATCAGTGCACTGTATTATGTTATATTATACATTTAGAAACAAGTCTATCTTGTTTTGTTTTACAGTAGCAGTCTTTAACCATTTTAGTTACCTCTTCAGTTTATTGGTGATGTCACCCCTGAAACTCTCTACACTCCTTGCCCACTTGCCCAATTCTGTCAATTTGCCTGTCTCTCATCTTTCTGTTACTTTTGTCCTTTCAAACTTGGTTGTTTTCAACTAAGAGAGATATTATTTTTCTAACTTATTAAGCATTCTGGTCACCCATTAACCAGCTCAGGCCTCTGGCTTCACAAATATCACTTTTATTATTCTCCCAGTATCTTAATTGATCCAAATTAAACTGAGATGTGTGCTGTGCATTTCCCATGACAGAACCCAAATCCTTCCAAAGAATCAGGCTGTCCTTTCCCTTTTAACGTGTAATTCTTCCTCTTCACAATAGACTCTTCTGGGAACTATCATTTTAAGCATGTAGGTTTCACAAATTTAGCTCCACAGAAGCTAACCATTTTCGAAGTGCCAATAGCATTATTACATAAAATGTAGTTCTACAAGTACTTTTAGTTTTCAAGTAAATGAAAATAGAAATAAATGTTTTTTTATTTCTATAATCTAAAAATCTATACATGAATATTAATAATTTGTCATTTGTGATGACTGGATCCGAATGCCGTAAGACACACAAAAGTTTTAATAGACCTCAGCTTAAAGCTATGGATATTAAAAGAAAAAGGTCAGAACCTTAAAAAAGATTTATCTGATATCTAAAACTAGTTTAGGTGTTCATGTTGTAAGGCATCACACTACTCTGTCCTTTTAATTTATATTTCTAAATATGGCATTTAATGTTTTTCTATTTTAAATTAATATTAGGTTGGTACAAAAGGAATTGCAATTTTTGCCATTACGTAATGGCAAAAAGTAACTGCCATTACTTTTAATGGCAAAACCCACAATCCCTTTTGCACCAACCTAATATATTATATATATGATTTATATATTCAATAGAATATGTTATCTAAGACAGCAGAGGCCATGGTTGTCTTGTTAATATTACATGCTCAAGGCTAAGGTCATAGATTCTCGAAAATGTATAATGTATATGTCAATAAATGGAAGAAAGAAATCAATGGAGGCTTAAATAATCAGAACTCTGGTGAGGCTTAGAAGTACCTAGGAAGATGTTGAAATTTACAGAGTTGGAAAAGAAAGTGGAGTGAAAGGAATTCCAGAGTAAATGACAAAAATAACCCCACCACACACAAAAAAAACCCATGAAATTCTATGGAAATCTCACGAGGTAATGGGAGAATTGGCAAGAGTAGGGTAATGCATGTGTGTTGGAAGTTAAATTACATATATTGTATGAGTTTAAATTA
Organism: Homo sapiens; assembly: GCF_000001405.40. Classification (NCBI taxonomy): domain Eukaryota; kingdom Metazoa; phylum Chordata; class Mammalia; order Primates; family Hominidae; genus Homo; species Homo sapiens. Next base: position 31,634,605 of record NC_000004.12, on the reverse strand, counting down.
TGAAGGGACCTAAAATCAGGTAAAGGAATTTGGACTTCTGTAATAGAATAAAGAAAAGCCATTTAAGTTTTTTTCAATTTTTTTTATTTTTCCCCACCCTGGGGAGCAGCACAATGAAAGCAGTAGTTTGAAGAAATATTTCTTATAATATTTTTGGTAGTTTTCTGTCCTGAAGCTATGTGAAAAATGAACTGGAAGAATTTTGAGTCTAGAAGATGATTCAAAGCTAATTGTTATTCTCAGATTTAAAAGTTTTTCTTATCCTAGATTTTCTGGAAATAAAATACATATATATATATAAAATACCCCAAATCGTTTATGATTTTATATTTGTTTTTACTTTTATATTGTAGTTTTTAATTTTATCTGTGGAATATATAAATATGCATCATTTTCAGAATGGACAAGGTATATCTAAATGCAAGCTGTAAATAAATGGAAATGAATTGAGTTATGGTGGCTAGCTGGGAAGGTACTATTACACCCGCACATGAGTCCATGAAACCCTGGACAACCCTAGTCAAAGAGACACCCTATAAGAAGCTGCACATGTGAGAGACATTTCAAAAGATAATTCAGAAATATTTAGTAAGTAGAAGAATATGCATCAGGTGTAATCAGAGGATGTAGTTAAAGAGGGCTTTATGGTTTGCATAACATACTGAGAATTTAACTGGTTTTTTTGAAAATAGAAAACAAAGAGGAGAAAGAAAACTAATGAGGTGGTTGGACTTTACGGCTTCACGTGACTGTGAAACATACAAGAGGACATATCCAAGAGGCAATTTCAAGATATCAGAGAATTCCAATGATAAACTTAGCAATCATCAGCAGAGTGAGAAAGATAATGTGTAAAACTGTTAAAATAGTTCAGATCTCCGCAAGAGAAGGGGCATATATCAGAAAGGACAGATTATTCTGATTGATACTATATTACTTAATATAATACTCATAACTGTGTGGGGGAAATAGAACATACTGCATTTTACAGACAAGAAAAATTTCAGAGAATGTCAATATTATGTCTAAGGGAAGGTAGCACAGTTAATATATGGGGGGACAGTGAAGGTGCATTGAAAGAGTCTCTTCATATACTACTGGTAGAATTTGAAACTCCAAGTTGCAGTTGAAAATTGGTAATACATATAGTATTATAAAGGTTCATATTTTTAATACACTAATAATATGCCTGTTAATTTTCTTGAGGAATAAAACAAACACACATGGCAGGGAGCGGTGGCTCACACCTGTAATCCCAGCAGGTTGGGAGGCCGAGGCGGGCAGATTACCTGAGGTCGGGAGTTCGAGACCAGCTTGACCAACATGGAGAAACACCGTCTCTAGTAAAAATATAAAATTAGCCCGGCATGGTGGCGCATGCCTGTAATCCCAGCTATACAGGAGGCTGAGGCCAGAGAATTGCTTGAACCTGGGAGGTGGAGGTGACGGTGAGCCGAGATCACACCATTGCACTCCAGCCTGAGCAACAAGAGCAAAATTCTGTCTCAAAAAATAAATAAATAAATAAATAAATAACAGACACACACAAATTCATGTGTACCCATATTCATTGTAGCTCTATAAACAAGAGCTAAAATTAAAAGTGGTATAAATGTCCAATGATAAGATTATATTTATTCATGTTATAGGACATCCATGCACTTTAGTACTAAACAGCCTTTATAATCATGTTTTTAATGAATATGAGAATATGGAAATATCTGAAATATATAAAACGAGAAAAGCAGTATAAAATGGAAAATAAGCCATCTGGCCAAAGTGTCATTTAAGGAAAAGTAAAGTTTACAAACTACATTTTTTAATATGAAAAGAAAATCACTTTAAGTCCCATAGAAAATATTTTTATTAATAGAGTTTAGATTACTTTAATAGATAAGTATCCATAAGAATATGACACTGCTTTCTAGCTACTATCATAATGTTAGTAACTGGAAACATTTATTAAGTACATACTCAGAGGCTCTTTTCTAATTGTGTTCTATGTTCAATACTTTAGAGTTCACTAATTTCATTCATTTGCTCCACATATATCTGTGAAGTAAGCCATCTAGAAAGAAACAGAGTCAGAGAAACAAAATCTCTTGCCCCAAATCACACAGGTATTTAGCATTAGGTATAGAGAACTGCAGAATTACTATTCTTTGAATCCTAGATTTTCTAGAAACATCTTTCTTTCCTTCTTTCCTTCCTTCCTTCCTTCCTTCCTTCCTCTCTCTCTCTTTCTCTCTTTCTTTTTTTCCTTTTTTTGAGACAGAGATTTGCTCTGTCCCCAGGCTGGAGTGCAGTAGTGTGATCACGGCTTACTGCAACCTCCACCTCTGAGACTCAAGCCATCTCCCCACCTCAGCCTACCTAGTAGTTGGGACTACAGGCGCAATCCACCGTGCCTGGCTAATTTTTGTATTTTTGGTTGAGACAAGGTCCTGCTATGTTGCCCAGGCTGGTCTTGAACTCCTGAGCTCAGGCAGTCCTCCCACCTTGGCATCCCAAGGTGCTGGGATTATAGGTGTGAACAATCTGCTGGCCAGAACACAGTATTTTTTTAATTATATTTTTATTTTGTGCAAATAATTGTTAATAACAATGGCAACATTATACTTAACATACCTAACATAATCTAAAATTTCCCAGATAACAATATCTTTTCCCACTATTACATAAAACTTCTTTCTTTACTGTCGCAATAAAACCAAATCTATGTTGCATTCAAACTCTCAAGTTTGAAGAGTCTTCTAAATTACTTTAGGCTTCAGAGTGACCAGTTTTATTTCCTATACCATCCTCAGGACCTTGAATTCTTTGGTTTCTTTAAAACTTCCAGCATATTTTAAAATAACATGAGTAATTCTAGGGTTTGTCTACATTTTCTCTTTTTATTCCATTAATTGAACTATACATTGTTAAAAGTTAAGCAGCTGCATAAGAGTCACCCAGAAGCTTTTGACAAATACTCAGTATTTGAATTATGCTCCTGCCAGACATACTAACATGGGCTTCTAGCCATGACATTTCTGCGCTCTATTTTGAACGATTTTGAAATGTCTGCTGCCTTTAGTTGCTTTGCCTGGTTGATGGCAATCTTCTTCAGGCCTATAATTCATTCAATACTGCACCATGGGGTGCTATCTTTTAAAACACTTAAAGCAATTTTGGGTTATGTTAATTTAAGTGGAAATGCATATGTGGTGATGTTGATGCAAAAAATTCAATGCAGTTGATGGCTGTGTAGGTTGACATTAACTTCATATGGTTAAATTTGCCCATGCCTAGGTAATAACTGCTAAAAATATACCAAAAGTTACTTCTGGGTGACAACTGAAATATTTATTTTAACTTGGGCATAATACAAATTCTGACTTTAGAAACACAATTTACTAGGGAGAGAAGGTGTTCTGGGGTCAGGTGTATATAGTAGTTCATTTAATGCTACATTTATTGAGTACCATTGGCTACATGCATTATGTTATGTCTGGAGATGCTGCGATGAATAAAGGGGTCTCCTTCCTTCCCACCACTCAGCTGTTACTCCATGTGGAGCCTGACTTTCCAGTGGTTGAAACATTTGTTCTTCGCGTATAGTTGTGGAACGAGGCAAGCTGTACAAACAGGAAGGTCTCCAGTAATCCCCATTTCAAAATATGATTCAGTGCCAGGCCTTTCTTCCAATTTAGTTGTGTACTCTTGAGCTCTGAGGCTGTTCCTAGTGCCAGAGGACACCAGACCACAGCCATGGCACAAACAAGCATCACCTCTGCTGTCATGGGCCCTTTCATTGATGTCTACCTTCTTCCTAGGCAACAGTTCAGCCCTGCCACAAAACATGGCCTGGGCACAAGTATCTCCTTGATGCATCCTTTCCCCACCTTTCACGTCATCTGACAAAGGTCTAAAATCCAGAATTTACAGGAACTTAAATTCCCAAGAAAAAAATCAGATAATCCCATTGAAAGGTGAGGAAAGGGTATGAACAGACCCGTCTCAAAATAAGACATTTACGTGGCCAAGAAGCATAGGAAAAAAAGTTCGACATCACTGATCATCAGAGAAATGCAAATCAAAACCCCAGTGAGATACCATCTCACACCAGTCAGAATGAGGATTATTAAAAAATCAGGAAATAATAGATGCTGGCGAGGCTGTGGAAAAATAGGAGTGCTTTTGCAACATTGGTGGAAATGTACATTAGTTAAGCCACTGTGGAAGACAGTATGGTGATCCCTCAGGGATCTAGAACTAGAAATACCATTTGACCCAGCAATCCCATTACTGGGTATATACCAAAAGGAATATAAATCATTCTACTCTAAAGACACATGCACACATATGTTTATTGCAGCACTATTTACAACATCAAAGACATGGAACCAATTCAAAAACCTATCAGTGATAGACTAGATAAGGAAAATGTGGTACATATACACCATGGAACACTATGCAGCCATATAAAGGAATGAGATTATGTCCTTTGCAGGGACATGGAAAAAGCTGGAAGCCATAATTCTCAGCAAACTAACACAGGAACAGAAGACCAAACACTGCATGTTCTCCCTCATAAGTGGGAGTTGAACAACAAGAACACATGTACACAGAGAGGAGAACAAAACACACCAGGGCCTCTTGAGGATTGGAGGGTGAGAAAAGGGCACTTATAGGATGGATCAATAGGTGCAGCAAACCACCATGGCACACGTATACCTATGTAACAAACCTGCATGTTCTGCACATGTATCCCCCCACCTTTTTTTTCTAACAATAAGTAAATAACAGAAAAAGAAAAATGGTTATCTTGGGGTAGTGAAATTGAAAATAATTTTTATGTTCTATTTTCTTCTATCCTCTACTTTAAAGTTTTCTTCAACAAATATGGTCTACTATTATAAGCATAAAAAAATGATTTAAAAAGCAGTAAGAAACAATGTGATAAATAAATGAATAAACTGAGTGTTAATTTTTTTCCTTCTTCATGTCAGTATCATAAAATCATAGAACTCTGAGGGTGAAAATGTTCTAAAAGATTGTATTTTATATCCAGAGCATATGGGCTATATTTATTTAAATATTGAACACAGAAAGGTCAGTTGAGTTTTTTCCATGGAATTCCTCTTTTTTTTTTTCTGAGACTGAGTCTCGCTCTGTTGCCCAGGCTGGAGTGCAGTGGTGCAATCTCAGCTCACTGCAACCTCCACCTCCTAGGTTCAAGCAATTCTCCTGCCTCAGCCTCCCAAGTAGCTGGGATTACAAGCATGTGCTACCACATCTGGCTAATTTTTGTATTTTTTGTAGAAACCTGGTTTCACCATGTTGGCCAGACTCCTCTCGAACTCCTGACCTCATGATCCTTCTGCCTTGGCCTCCCAAAGTGCTGGGATTGCAGGTATGAGCCACCACACCCGGCCAGAAATTTTTAAAGTAATTTTAAGTACAAAAGATAACTAAATATAAAACGCTAATTTCTCCTTTTCATGAAAGGATGATTAGGATCTAGAGAAAGGACTAAAAGGACTAATGTTAATGTTAGTGATAATAAATTAAAAACTAATTTGCTTACCTAGTTCTTTGCAATTACATATGGTCTTCACTATAATTGATGACAACTTTTTATCATTAGGATTGCCAAATTTAGCAAATAAAAGATACTGTTTTTGTTTGTTGGAGCTGCCAGACAAAAAGTACCACAGACCAGGTGGCTTAAACAATCAAAACCTTACTCACAGTCTGGAGGCTAGATGTCCAAAGTAAAAGTGACAGCAGGGTTGGTTCCTTTGGACAGCTTTTCTTCTTGGCTTGGAGACAGCTGTCTTCTTGTGTTTTTACCCAGTCTTCTCCTTTGTACGTGCCTCTGTTCAAAATGTCCTCTTTTATAAGAACACCAGTCATATTGGATAAAGGCTTACTCCAGTGATCTCATTTCAATGTAATTACCACTTGAAGGGCCCTGTCTCCAAATACAATCCCATTCTTTGAGGTCCTAGGGCTTAGGACATCAATGTGTGATGGTGGTGAAGGGTGGAGGAGGGAGCACAATTCAGCCCATAATTTTACTAAAAAATTCTTCAAATTTAACTGAGTGTCCTGTATTTTATCTAGCAACCCTGTTCAAATCCTGAAATTGTTCATCTAATTTATGGTTTCATATGTTTTCATTCATTTTTATACACTTTTAGGATCTATCTTTGTTAAAGTCTGTGGTTTAAATGCCACCAAGGAAATTATTTTATTTGAAATGTATATTCCATTCATATTGCTAGCAAAGAAATTCCTTTGATTTAAAAGCGAATGCCTGTTAATTTGAAAGCAATATTTGAGCCAGTGCCTTCTCCATTAAAGGTTAATCATATGTAAACTAGGTAAAATAATACATTTTATTCACCTTTTGCATGTTCTTCTGTCAACTGCAACAAGAGAGTCTCTTGGAATACTTTTAATTTCTAATCACCAAAGAACCAAGTCTAATGGTGTTAGCATCACCTACCTTAATTATCTGCGTTTCTAAAAAACCTGGAATATTTGACCTTATATTTAAATAATTATCTGAACAGAAGACAATTTCTGCTATAAAATGCTTTTTCTATTTTTGGCAATTTAATGACTCAGTTTTCTTTATAATTATGGTGTTCTAAAGTTCACTTATATTATACTTGGGTGTAACATGTAATTCCACAAGTTAGAAAAATTAACTTTGTCGGAGCTTCAGAAACGAATCCTACTGTTTAATCCTATTGTTTTTAAAAAATAAGATTTATCAGTTATAATTTATTTTATATTTTGAAATACACATGTATTACAAATAATGTTATATTTTATATACTAGAATTTTTTACTCACTATCCTAAAAAGCTAATGTCACAATACTTGGCCTGCTTACCAGACATGTTATCAATTAAAACTATTTACAGATAATCAATGTCAATGGAATTAAAACAATTTTTCAAACACATGTTTAAAAAAGAATTATGTATGATATACACTTTGTCAAATATCAATTTATAGCAGCAATAAAAAGAATACAGACTTTGAAATTTAGATAGTCCTTGATTTTCCTTACAACCTTGCCACTGAATAGCAAACTTGGGCAAAAGACTTGAATTTTCTTAGATGTAAATCTCTCCTTTTTAAAATGGAAATATTAGCTCCCTTCACAAATTTAATCTAAGAGCAAAATGAGATAAAATATTTAATATTTTAAGTTTCTTATGGCTGTAATTATTAATAGCTGCAGGGGGAAATTCATCAATGTCACATTGATAGAATTAGTTTATAATTTTAATTTGCCATAATATTCAATTGAGTCTAGATTTTAATGTAATATGAAAATAATTATATTGAATACTGTTAAGCCATGAACTGGCTCTTATTGTTTATGGGATTTGGCAAGATAAGGTTTGATGCTATGATTTTCTTGAATAGCACATTTAAAACATATAAATACTCCTTAGGATTTCAGTGTTTTTCTTTTTTTAAAATATCCCTGTTATTTATTCTTCAGAGTAATGCTTTACTCAATACCACATTCAAATATTTGACTTAAATTCTTCTTACGAAAATAACACAGACATAAAACTACAGGAAGTATCACCATAATGGAAGAAAATGTAATATGTCTCTACATACACCAAGATGTATATTGCTGTAAATTTATATCCTATAATGATTTGTATCAAGCATAGATGAAGCTTTCTTTATGTATCAGACACTATGCTAGTTGCTTTATGCAATTTTCTCATTTAATCACCACAAAATCCAGGCAGTAAGTGTTATTATTTCTGAACATATTGATAAATAAATTGGCCATTAGAAAGTCACTTTTTCAAAGACAAAATGCTAAAAAGAGCAATACAAGGACTTGACTTTTTCCAAATCATTTACTCTAAATAATCTGCTAGCTGATAAGCATAGACGTTGACAACTTATGTGTAATTTTGTTTTAATGTTATAAAAGTAAATCACTTCATTATTCCAAATTCTTGGCAACTTGAATAGGGAAATAATTGTATAAGTTGCACCTAGGACTTGTTTTCTGGTGATTCATTGGCAAGAGGTTAATAGTGAGGTGGATTTAGAGAGTAAGCACTGATGCTCAGTCTGGAGTAGAACAACACTAAGTTTTATCCTAGCTACACAATGGCTAGTTCTATAGAGTTAAACCCACTTTACAGATTCTGTGTATGGTATAGCCCATCCACACGGGGCTGCCAACCTGGAAGTCTACTTCATTGAAGACCTTCGAATGTATGGGGCTGTTTTACTCATTCCTGTATCTTCAAAAATGGCTAATTACAATTCATATTTTCTTCTAGGGCTACCACAAGAATGCCACTGTGGCTTAAACATTAGAAATTTATTTTCTTCCAGTTGTGGAGGCTGGAAGTCCAAGAGGTGCCAATAGGGTTGGTTTCTGGTGAGTTCTCTTTTTCTAGTTTGCATACAACTTTCTCACTTTGTGCTCACATAGCCTTTCCTCTGTGAGCACAGGGAGAGAAACAGAGATCCCTGGCATCGCTTCTTCTTATGTAAACACTGGACTCTAGTCCTATCGAATTAGGGCTCCACTCCTACAACCCCATTAAACCTCAGTTACCTACTTAAGGGCCCCACCTCCAATATGCAGTCATATTTGGAGTTAGGGTTTCAACATAGGAATTTCTGGAAGATACACAATTCAGTCCATAATAACATGTAGTTTTAATCTCCCCTTTATCATGTAGCATTTATTCATTCCTGTTGTTTCAGTCTTTATAAACGGGGAGATAATGTCCCCATTGGAAATAATTGGCTCATTAACAAAGGTTGATGGTTTAGGTCAGTATGGATGTGGGCACAGGTAGAAGCAAATAATGATTGCAGTTGCTCAAACAGGTTTTTGGTGTACATACAAATGTTCTTTAATAGAATCTAGTAGTTCTAAACTAGAAGAACAAGTAATATTGGTTCGTGATTTAACTTTTAGAGGTTATATACAGAAAAAAATTTTTGGAATGTCAAAATATGCAGAGAATATCTAAGTTGCTGTGTTCTGCTGACAGTGAAATAAACACAAATTCCCTTTGACTATTCAAATGGCAGAGGTAGCTAATCCTTCATTCAGTAGCTCATTATGCATTGTCATGAAAAGAGATAATACAGTTCCTACAAACCTCTTTTGATTTCATGTCAAACAAATTCTTTCAAAGCCATTTAATAAACAAATAGACAGAAAAAGCAAACCTGAAACCTCAATTTGTGTAATCGATTACTTTGTGCCATCTATTTCTCTTTCCTCAAAACAGATGTACATTTCTACTTAACTGAGGAAATTTTCCAAATTGAGGTTTAGATAAATTGCATATTAAGAAAGAAATTAAAGCTGCAGACTTCTTTAATATTTAAAACAAAATTAAGACTATATACAATTAATCCCCATATTGAGAATCAACAAGTAATTAAGTTAAATTGAATTACTTACAACTCCATCATTACTTGCAAGCACTGCTCTCTGGCTTCCTGTATTATTTTTTCCAGAAAATGTTCTAATAATGTATTCTATAATTGAGTTGTATATGGCTTCTTATGATTCCTCAATTATACTGTATAATATTCGTTACTCCTCCTTTGTACAGTATCTTGCACATGCAGCTATTTTCTAGAGGGCAAACTCTGACTTTTCTTCATGATTGAGCTTAAGAGTGTCTCTTCTGTGAAGCCTTTTGAACCTTCTAACTCCAGGTAATTAGGCAATGCTACTCTTCTCTTTTAGGAAGTGGTTACACTCCTTTACTTCTACGACATTACATTGCCATCAAGGCTCATATCAAATTCATCTTTATTTCCCTCTTGCTTAAAGTAGTCCCTAGTTCAAGGTAAGCATTTAATAAAGGTCTATGAAACCACGACTCACCAGGTAAGTGTATATATCTTTGAATAGAGATAATTGCATTTGAATTTTGCCCTAAGCCACTTAGGATTTGGTTGTCCTGAGCAAAGTTCTTAAAGTCTCAAAAGTCTAAGTTTGCCTGTTTGAAGAATGGGGAAAATTATGCTACTTACATATTATGTCATCATATGAATTAAATAAAATTACAAAGATATAAGGAGAAAAAGGGAGAGAGAGAGAGGGAGGGTGGAAAGCAAAGAGAGAAAGAATAAGAGCAAGAGAAAGCTTGGCATAATACCAAAACATACATTAATCTTATTTCTTTCTATTACTGTTATTATCTATCTAAAAAGACAATGTTTCATGACTTACTATCTGTTTACTATTCACTATTACTTCAATAAAAAACAGAAACTTTAATGGATATATTAATTATGATTACTTGGTTAAGTCTATCAGTTAGAAAAAAGCAAAAGGTAAAAATAAGATAAAACTACACTTGTCATTAACTTCATTTAATGCAACTGGATACCAAAATTTCTTTCTATGATAACTTTTGCAATAATTTATATAAGTTGTGAAGCCTTTCAAGTATTTTGTAAATATATATGTGATATAATGTCCACTGTGACCCTTCAGAATAGACTGTCTCTCTATATTGTGCCCATCTCATTAGTTATCACAATTGTAATTAATCAATTGTGTAGTTATCTGTTTAATGTCTACTGTTACCACAAAACTGTAAGTTTTATAATGTCAAAGACCTTATTATTGTTCATTAGTGTTCCCTTGGTATCCCTCAGAGTTCTAGTGACATAGTTATTAAAAAACATTTTGAGAATGAGGAAAAAAGGGAAAATAAAATTTTAAATACGAATAACATCTAGCGTATCAAAAAAGACTTTCGGAAACATTGTTTCATTTCATTTGTTATAACACTTTTCACTATGAAACAGAAAATTATGCTTAATCTTACATTCAAGACAGAAGGATTTATAATTAGGAAGGAAAAAAATTAAAATATTTTGGTAAGAATAATAGAAAGGAATGACGTTTAAATTTTGATAGAGGATTGGGTGAAGAAAAGAAAAAATAACCAACTGGTCAGCCAAAAATTTTTTTTTTTTTTTTGAGACGGAGTCTCGCTCTGTCACCCAGGCTGGAGTGCAGTGGCTTGATCTGCGCTCACTGCAAGCTCCGCCTCCTGGGTTCATGCCATTCTCCTGCCTCAGCCTCCCGAGTAGCTGGGACTACAGGCGCCCCCACCACGCCCAGCTAATTTTTTTGTATATTTTTAGTAGAGACGGGGTTTCACGGTGTTAGCCAGGATGGTCGAGATCTCCTGACCTCGTGATCCGCCCTCCTCGGCCTCCCAAAGTGCTGGGATTACAGGCGTGAGCCACTGCGCTCGGCCAAAATATTTTCACATAGTGAGGAAATAGCATTAGAGATGACAAAAGCAGATGGATGATGAGCTAATTAGAAGTGTCAATGTCTAAGGGCTATCTGCATCAGCCACCATGATGTTTAGACAACTGGCAGGAGTTAAGATGATGAAGAGCAGCTATCATAATAAAGATATAGATTTCAGTTCCCTAGTAATAATCAGAGTTGTCCAAAGATGATATGAGCTTTCTGTGACCGAAGATGTTCACATAAGTTAGGCATATGTTTGACAAGAACTCTTCAGTGTCATGTTCTGGAGATTGCATCAACAGCCCGAGTCGGCGCTCTGCCCCGTTTGCTTAGCAAAACTTCCGTGGGATACCTCTCTGTGCCACAGCCAGGAAATTATTCATGGGTAGAAATCAGAGGCAAATTTAGGGCTCACGGTGTGAAAGTTCCCCTTCTCATGTGCCTGAAAACTTTTGCCTCATATAGTTTGTTCAGTTGAACAGCTTTAAATTTTGGGGGGACTAGTCGAGAACCAGACCACATTTTACTGCAGGCAGCTTTTTATTTTATTTTTTTTAAATTTTTATTTATTTATTTATTTTTGAAGGAGTCTCACTCTGTTGCCCAGGCTGGAGTGCAGTGGCGCGATCTTGGCTCACTGCAAGCTCCGCCTCCCGGGTTCACACCATTCTCCTGCCTCAGCCTCCCGAGTAGCTGGGACTACAGGCGTGAGCCACTGCGCCCAGCCGCAGCTTTTTAATACTATTATTTTGGTACCACTTTTTATTTCAGGTTGTGTGAACTTGGAAATCTCAAGTGTGTGTAACACAGATTTATCCATACATATCCATTGTGTAGATACCTCACAATTCAAGTCAGTCCCTTTCCGCATAGTAACTTTTTATCAATTTTTTTGAAATCCAAATATAGCAATTACTAACTCTCAGAAGGCAGAATTATACTGGAATCTGCATGACTTTTAGTCACATTTGATTTCTGAAAAGTAACAACTAATCTATTTTTAATCTAAAATAACCTCATATTTACATTTCAACTAATATTTGTTATTGAAATAATAAAATGATAATTCTATTTGAACATTATATTTAATTGAACTATAATTAGTTCTGTTGAGTACAACTATGTAATTCAACATAATTACTATGTCCCAACAGTTTTTCTCCTCTCATTCAAATAGCTTATAAATAGTAAAAAGAAGGATGGTTAGTCCTATCCATCAGAATGCAGAAATATTAGTTGAAGGCCAAGTTCCACAAAGGGGGTCAGCTGGGGTAGTGATGGTTACTTTCTCATGAAGCATGGGGGAGCAGAATGCTGGTGGGCAACTTTCCACCAGGTGTGCTAGGTATGCAATTTATTGTGTCTATGAGTGTTTTAATACAGGAATGACTCCAATTATGTCAGGAAGGAAAATTCCAAAGAACAGCTGATTCCAAATGGTGGAACCTTGAAGGACCAATAAGGTAAGTATGATCATCACATTACACAAATTAAAAAATCCTGTTCCATTGTGCAAAATCCTGTTCATCTCACCCAACCCCCTCTAGTTCCCTTAAGGGGAACATCTCCTTAATGTGGAAGAGGTGTTATTTGAATCTTAAAATGAACCAGCCCATATTGTCCACTAATGTATTTGTTCAGAAAATGTTTTTGATGACTTACTGTGTTTTAGACAGAGCAGTTCCTGGGAAAGCAAGTTCTCTGAGACCTGACCCCTATCAACAGTGGCAGGGAGCATAGCTCGCAGAAGAACATAGACACTGAAGCCAAAATTCTGTGGAGCAGAAAAGTTAAGAGTAGATCTCAGAAAAATGGCACTATTAACAGCAGACAAAATATTTTAGAAAGGCATTAACAAACTATGATTATTTACACTGTTCATCTGTTGAGGTTCTCTGGATCAGAAGAATAAATTAAATACGTATTTCCTCCTACCAGACATAATACTAAAAAATAGTATTTTTAAAAGAGGAGAGAGTTTTGTGAAAGAAAAAGCCATAATTACTGGCTAGAGTTTTATTTGTAATTATAAAATTTTTGCAAGAGAGTGCAACTTTCAGACATTTAAACGGAGAGAGGGAGGCAAGAGTGTGTGTGTGTGTGTGTGTGTGTGAGAGAGAGAGAGAGAGACAGCGAGAGAGAAAGAGGGAGGGAGAGAGAAGGAAAGATAATTTTTAGCTTTGTAATTATGTCTAAATGACTAGCAGAATTCTCTGATGTCAGAATCAATAATTTAGAAATAATTTAAAGATGATTTTATTCATTTAAGAAGAATCAATCATTTAAAAATATATATGCTATATTAATTCAGTTTAAATGAACACATATTTACATTCTAATTAGCTGTAGTTTCTGGAAATAATGATGGCCTATTTTACCCAAAAATAAGGTAGGAAATTTAGTAGATAAGAAGATACCATAATAAAGTTTCTCAATAAATAAGTTTTAAGTACAATGTAAGGTCTACATGATAATTAGATACTCATGAAGTATACTTCTGGGGTAATAAAGTTGAGCTCCCTCCAGTTAGAGTTTTGATGGGATATTCAGCAAACTGTTAAAGAAAAACTCACAGATAATTTTTAATGGCTAAAGGATGGTTTTCTTACAATAATAAAACATTGTGCAAGGCCTGGCACAGTGACTCATGCCTGTAATCTCAGTACTTTGGGAGGTCGAGCCAGACGGATTGCTTGAGCTCAGGAGTTGAGACCAGCCTGGGCAAAATGGCAAAACCCTCATCTCTACAAAAAATACAAAAATTAGCCAGGTGTGGTAGCACACACCTATAGTCCCAGCTACTTGGGAGGCTGAGGTAGGAGAATTGTTTCAGCCAAGGAGGTCGAGGCTGCAGTGAGCCATGATCATACCACCACATTCCAGCCGGGATAACAAAGTGAGACCATGTCTTAAAATAAGGTAAAATTAAATAAAATAAAGCAGTGTGCAAAGAAATTCTGCTTAAAGTAAGACTGAACTCCCCAAATAAAGAGATAATATGTGTATGTATAATAAAATGAAATTTTATGTAACAGTCAAAATTCTGATTAGATAACCTTGGGGTCAGTTTTATAAAAAACAAACAAAGGATTAATTGGCTTTGATACAGAAGGAAAAAAGGAAAGAAGGAAGGGAAGGAAAAGAGAAAGAGAGGAGGAAGGGAGGGAAAAATGTAAAAAAATAACCAAATGGAAAAGAAAGGCAAATAAAAAAATAAACAAGAACGTAGTTTATTTCAGCATTTAAAGCTTTTAGAAATACCATCTCTTTTATCCTATGAAATGTAGGATTTAGAAATGCAGATTGTTGGGAATCCATAGAACTTGACATGTCCTGTGTGCAATAGGACTAGGATTAATTCAAGGGATAATAAAACACCAATTTCCCCCTTTTCAGTTTTAACTTGAGGATTAGTTTTCCTATCAAAAGAGAGACATGAAAGGCCAGGCTAAGCAGTCAAGACTAGTTGCTTCTTTCTTAAAATTGGGAAGATAGTGTTGGAAATAATATTAATAGTATCTGGAAAAGAGTATATAATAAAAAAGATATCTTTGTGTTTATATTAATTAAATTTTGTCCTCAATCATATATCATTTATAAGTAGTAAATGTTATTAAGCATAAAATAATAGATTTTTTTTCAAATTATGCTTATTACTTTTAATAAAGCAACTTATGTTCTGAAAAAAAATCATTGAGTGGGAAAGCATGAAAATTCTGCTTCTCAGTCTAAATTGGTTCAAAGGGAAAAGAAAGTGGTTTGGATCTTGAGGTCATAAGCAGGGCTCTGATACTTGTTATTACCAATGCAGGCAATAGTCTTCAGAAGAAATAAATGCCTCCTGCAGCACTGATCTTATAAACTCTAAAAACAAGTAATAGATGTCAGTCATAAAAGCAGACAGGACAATGAAAGTCAAATCTGGTTTGTGAGTTTGCCCACTTAATGCTCTTGGGAAATTAAAGGATTTACATCTCATATGAAATCCAATAACATTTTAAAAGCATTTTTATAACTTTCCAGCTAAGAAAAATTATTTAAATATTCAAGGACAAGCAGCCATGATCATCTTTTAGGATCATTAACTTTTTCTTCCTACAGCATTAAATGTACTTTATCCTTTTCTTAATGCTTCCTTAATGCTACTACCAAGAAAAGAAATTGATGATAAATACGCTCCAGGCTAAGAGTTTGACACTATCATTTAATGTTTTGCTTGAATTGAAACACTCCTAACTATTCACATAGTAAATCCATATCCTCTGCAGAATAGTTCAAGTTTAATCCTTATTTCATTTTCTCTGGATTTTAAAGCATTCCATGAATGCCTGGGTAGATTTTGCATTTTTGTTCAAGGGTTTTAATAATTTGAAACAAATCATTTATTTTCAATTTCAGGTTATGTATTTGGAATATTTGCCAATGTTATTAATCATGCAAACATACAAGCAGACAACTGTATTAGAAAATGTATTAAATGGACTATATGGAATATTACAGTTACATTAATATGTAGAGTATATAATTGAACACATATGCACATATGTAAGCAGAGAAATACGCATTAGAAACAGTTAAATATATAATATACAGTATATTATATATAGCGTATGTGTGCATATATGTATATAGGGAATATATCAAGATATATAATACCACATATTTAATACATACAATACACATAGTATGTGAAAGTTGTAGATACCACGATAAAGTCATTCTTATTGGCCCTAATCAAATTAGAACTAGGAAAGCACGGAGGAGGGCAGCTCATGCTTGCATGTGTAAGATAAGGATTGTCTCAAGGACTCTCTAAAATGACCCTAGAAGGAGTTTCTTCTTCAGGACTGCAGCAATTCAAGTAAGATGCTCTGGAAAGAACACTTGCCCAGTAAAGGCATCTCCACCAATGGACTGATGCCAATTTTATCTTTGAGCCTCCAGAACCAAAGAGCTCTATTCCAAGCAGCTTAGAGGTACTAATTTTTTTGCCACTAAAAGCTGCCCTTTATCCTCCCTTATTTGAATGCACCGATGTCTTGTGATGGCTATGCTTCCAGATTAAAATCTTTTTTGTACACTCCCAAATAAACTCATCATATTCTGACATATTTTTCTCTGATGTCCTTTTTTTTTGTTTCTCATTTTTTGTTTTTTTTAGGTTGATATAATCTGGTGTCAGAAGTGGCCCTGAAGCAAGATGAAATTTTGAGGGAATCACTGACTTTTGGAATCGACTGAAGTACCCACAACTGAGTACTTTGTACTCTTCACTTCCTTAGGTCACCTTTTTCTCTCCAGGTAAGCCTTCTCTCAGGTCCAGTGGGCTCCGTTTGATAGCAGCTCCCTGAGGACTTCATTTTGGATCTAGTTTGATTAACACTAACTTAATAAAAAACCTTGCATTCTTTCTGGGACAATAAAGATTTTTACACTTTTTGTCTTTTCTGGCAAGCCCTTTCTGGTACTAAGACAGTTTCTCTTTCTGGACTTGGTGAGTACTCTTCTGGTTTCAGTTTTATTCTGAGTTGTTTGTTCATGTTTATACTTTTGATTATTGGTAGGCTTTTCTTCTCTGTGTTTTAACATTTATCAATAAGAATGGAATCCCCAAATTTCAATGCATGCAACAAAAGTTCCCCTTCTGAGACCTCGGTTAGCTATACATGTAAAAATTATGGTCCTTTCCTGTGCACATTTTTAAATCAATGGGCAAAGTACACCTGAACTAGTTTAGATATTCAATGGGTCCTCTTGACAGTCTGTTAGTTTCCCAAACATGTCTCTCTTAGGGCTGAATTAAAATATCATGGTTCTAAAATTAACAAATCGGAGTGAAAGGCATACTTCAATTGGAACTTTGGAACTTCTAAATGCATTCAAGATTCAAAAATTGCCTCCATGAAAGATATTGTCTCAAAGCTGGCTGAGACTCTCTTTTTCAGAGTCTTCCTTCCCTTTCCTATGCCTCTTTCTCTTTATTCTTTTGTGAGCTAAACTCTCCTTGTCCAAAATTCCTCAGCTATTCTGGCATATTGACTATTTAAGTAAAGATACTTGAAAAATAGCAGGTATAAAAATATTCATTCTGATGTTTGCACTGTTTCTTAAAAGCAGAAGATGAAATTGTCATGTAATAGGCACCCTGTCTCCTTATGCTTGAAAAAAAGGTAACACAATTAATCTTCAAGGATAAAAAAATTAAGATAAAGATAATACTGTATGGACCTGGTTAGAATAATTGTTATCTTTTAAGCTTCCTTACATTATTTTGTCATATTTTCACAGTTAACTATTCTTTGTCCATTATTTTGGTAACTAACTCTTACTACTTTACCCCAAATTTGGTGCACAGTCTTATAAGATATAAGTCTTATAAGATTAAGTACTGGGATAACTAAAAAATATTAAAGTTTAGCCTTGACTGTTTTGTTAAAAATATAATTTGGATCCAACTGTCTTCATATAACCTGATGAAGTTATATTATTAATACTATGTTTTATTCACAACTAATCTTTTAAAATAAAAATTGTAAGGCCTTTCTGTAAAGTGTTTGTTTTTGTTCATCTGTATTTTTTAACTATATGCTTATAGGTATGTGATATTTTTCTACCCAAATATATAAAAGAGCTTCACTGACTGAAAGGAAAAATGTTAAGCACCTGAATTAAGCTATTTATAAAAAAAAATAGTGAGTGATTAACGCAAATGCCTTTTTGTTCATAATGACTTATGTAAATCTTTGATGAATAAGCTGGTTTTAAATTTGTTGATAAGATAAAAATTAAGATGTTATCAGAATTGTTAGAGTACTTTTTTTTTGCCTAGATTTGCTGGCTAGACTGTTTATTTTTGTCTTTGATAAATATTTTAGCATCTTAAAAGTATGAGTTTGACCTAAAAGCAAATGTATAGATGAGAGTACAATGCATATAAAGCAAAATTATTTAACTTTTAGAGTTTTTCTTTGACAAAAAAATTGAAATTATGACAAACTCAGTTTAATATCTCAGTTTTCATAACTAATCTAGGTATAATTGTTAAAAATAAATAAATTAGGTTAACTTAAATAGGGTATTCATTTATAAATTAACATTTTATGAAATATAAAATATTTAAATTATGTAATAGATATTTAATGTCTGAATCTTTTGGGTTTTTAAATTTTTTTTGTGGGTACATAGTAGGTGTACATATTTATGGGGTACATGAAATAGTGATACAGTCATGCAATGTCAAATAATCATTTCTAAGTAAAATAAAATACAAAAAAAATTGGCGAACATAAGTTTGTTATAAATTTGAATATATTAATATTAGTAAATATGTCTTATTCTACATTAAAATATTCTACAAAATATGCTTTTTAGAGGTTATGAATGATATATTTATGAGATGTGAGATAACAGTTCAAAATTACTTCCTAGGTTTTCACTAAAAATTACAGTTGCTAAATTTTCTGATTAACATATGTAATTTTGTATGTAAAATGTACAAAAACAGTAATTTTATATGAGAAAGAATTTTCTATTGTCTCAATGATAAGAGAAAATAATTAAAAAGTGAATTTTTGTCCTAAGGTAAAATGATTGATTTTTCCAGTATTTAAAAAAGGGGGAAATATAGGACAAAGACTAGGGGTTTAAGAAAATGATAGATCTAAGCCAGTTGTGGAGAGTTTATGAAAGTTGGGTCTTATTTGTGGTTTGGCTGCTGGATGTAGGGAATTGTTTATGTGTTTTTCTAATAATTGAGCATTGGTGTCAGGGATGAACTGGTGCAGGACTAGAGTCTGTTTATTTATGTTTGGAGCAATAAGATTTTTTTAGAATGTTGGTCTATCCTTGGGGGGAAAAAAAAAAACAAAGAAAACTGCAAGAGGTTTAGTTTAATTCTGAAATCTGTTCCTCTAAATTTTCAATCTTCTGAACTGCAGCCCTACAGTTTAGAGCAATGTTTTCCTCCAGTATCACTTGATTATGTACTCTTGGCTTTCTGTGATATGTCTGAATTTGTTCATGTAAATAGGAAATTTCCCATGCTTTTACTAAGGTCCATGTATTTCCCCACTCAAGGTGTTTACATTATTCTTCTATAATGTGATGTATACTCATAACCTTGAACAAACATTCTTCCTGTATCAAACTGAATTCAAGTACCTTTTCATTAGGTCCAACTTTCAGGTTATCTAAATGGGCTTTTCATAAGTAGAAACAACCATGCTACAGGAGCTTTTTCTTTACCTCATTGGTAACTAGCCTAAGAAACAAAGATTTTACACTTTAATAAGATTATTTACTGTATTTAATGTTGTATTTGTTAGTTTTTTTTTTTTTTAACTTAGGAAAACTGAGCTTTGAAAGAGTGTTGTTGTTGTTGTTGTTGTTTTATCATTCATGTAACTTTTTAAATTGTTTTTGAAGTCTTTTGATTGTCACTCTGGTTAAGTGAATTACTGTTATTTCACAATGCCATGTGATTGATAGCAGCAGGAGGCAGACAAATTCCTAGGCAGACAGGGATGGGTCCCTGGTAAAACCTGACCTTCAAACCAAAGACAATTTAAAGCCTGAAAACTGAGCTGCCAGCTCAGTTTTTGACTGGAGTGAGAACTTCCTCGATGCCTTTTAGCCAATCAAATGGTGATTTTTCCAGGCCTGCCCATGGACCAATCAGCATGCAATCCCCCATTCTGAGCCCATAAAAACCCTGGACTCAGCCACACATTGGGCTATATGCTTTCAACCCCTCTCACATGGAGGGCTACACGCTTCAGGTCTGCTCTTGTTTTCAAGAGCTTTTCTGTTACTCAATAAAATTCTTCCCTGCCTTGTTCACTCTCTGGTGTCAGCATAACGTCATTCTTCATGGTTGCAGGTCAAGAACCCGGAACCCTCCCAATGGCAGGGGTGAAAAGAGCTGTAATATGGTAACCCTCCCTCCAGCTCACTGAGCAAGCGGGGGGAAAGCTGCTAGGCACCACATACCCCTGTTCACTGCACTGTGGGTGGCAGAAACAAATGAGCTGTAACAGAAATGAGCTGTAACATGACCCCACTTCCACCTGTTTCCTGCACTGTGGGTGGCAGGAAGACGAGAGAGCTGTAACAATTTCTGAGGACTTAGACCTTGGGACTCCTGGGAGAGAGCCATAACACCCCTTGGGACTCTGTGGTTGCTGGCATCTCTGAGTTTTTGAGTGACGCCACATCCACCTCATCCAGACTCTGGCACCCAAGGTTGGAAGCAGATCACAGCATGCCCAGCCCAGCTGCAGGCTGAGTGTGGACCTTGCAGCAACCACAGCCTGCTGGGCAGAGTGGGTGGAGCAAGCCCAGTGGTGAGCCTAGAGCCGAGTGAAGGCTGTGCAGAGGCACCAATGGCCACGATTTCCAGGTGTCAAGGAGCACTTAAAGAATCCCATTAAGATCCCATTTTGATCAAGTGTTTTAGACCTTTTGACATCTTTGTCAGGCTTTCCTGTGATTAAATTATGTATATATATATATATTTTTTTACCTCAAACCAATGTTGGGATGTTTCAGAGAGTCCTGGAAAGTCTCAAAGGTTTATAAAAGAGAGATATTGAACTAAATCAGGCTTTTTGAGATGTTGGGTAGATACAGAAAACTTTGTCAAGTGAGAAGTGATGCTAGATCTTCTTTCAGTCAATGTATGGGTATATTATTCATATGAAGTTTCCAAAATTATATAAAGTTCTTTAAAATCTATGTCATCAATAATAATTTTAGTTTTTATGTTGTTTACCACAAAAATAACTAAATTTCTTTGTAATTGTTAGTTAACGATGAATTCTCCTTCGATTTTTAACCACAGCTAGTCTAAGTTTCATCACTCACAGTCATTGTTTCAATATTTCTTAAAGGCATGTGTAATCTGATTCTTGGAAGACTCTAACAAGTACTCTTGAATACGGGATTCTGATAAATTTAAGATTAATGAACTAAATAAAGATTTTCCAAAACTCTAATGAAGAAATTGATTAATTCATAAAATTGTTAATCAAGACGAAGAAGAACAAAAATTAATTACATGAAATTAAGTAACTGATTAAGGTAATGTTTTTATGAGTTTAACTTAAAACATTGTTGGTTCTGTAATTAAATGTTTTATTTTCCAGATTTAAGAAAAATTTCTCTCTTGGGCTATCTATAATTGACAACAATTAGGTAAATTATACTTTTGTGAACAAACGTGAAAACATTTACTTTTTCTCCCTACTTGATCTCTCCAAAATTTAAAAACTATTTTGAGCATTCTTATTTTTTATAGCAATAAGAATGTACATTCTTTATAACAAGATAAAACTGGAAATTTTGGTTATATTACCAAGGCTTTGGAATGACATATTTAAATTGTTTACAGGTACTGCAGAAAAAGGCTAAAATCTGCTTTGGTTTGGCTACATAGCCTCTTCAAGTATATCTATGTATTGCCAAAGCTGTACTTCATTATAATCATTTTTTTCCTACTCCTGAATAAACTCATTATATTAGTAGATACTTTTCGCCAGTGTCTTTTCTTAGATTGACAAGTATATAATTATATGTATCATATTATAATTACATATTAAATGTTTAGTTTTTTCAACCATCTTTTTTTGCTAATTTTGTATCAAATTGGAAATAACCTTTATATTTTCATATTAAAAGTATCATATGTACAGATCTACTCAAGCTGAGTGTTAAATATTTCATTCAGAAAGAAGATTATGTACATGGTACTTATCTACAATAGAAACAGATATAATAAAATAATTAATTGCTGAACCTGTCAACCTCACTAACGAGTTTCAGGCAATGCGATTAAACATTGTGTTTATTCAAGTGCAAAATTTGTGAATGGCCACCTGGAAAGACACAGACTCTAAAACATGGGCTCAATGCTCCATAGTGAAATTTGAGGGTCACTTATATAAGCAAGGTTTGGGGAAGCTTAACAGGATTTCAACATATTTCAAAGATGATCCATGCATTGGTACAGCATTTTGATTGGTTATTCGTAATGTTTCCTTTGAGAAGTGCATTTAACATTCCCTAATAAGAATATAATAGTAAAAAGGGTATTTTATGTTAGTCAAGGTTATCATCTGTGATCCAGGTACAAGAAAATGAAGAAGCAAATGAATGTATACCGTTAGGTCAGTAATTAAGAAGCAATGCTCCATGACTTGGTCTCAAAGTCAACCAGAGTAAACAGACTATCCTTTTTTATTTTTCACAATTTCCCCTTTTCTTCAAGATCTTTTGAATAGAGCATCACAGAAGCAATATTTTATTAGAGAGTAATTAAATCTCACATTGCTAAGAAGACTTATTCTTAGAGAGTCATGTCCTAGGGAGGGAGGAATTGTTTAATTTATAAAATGGAAAAGGGGTAAGGCTGGATTATAAGGCATCAGGAGCAAAGTAACTTATGGGGTGCAGTTCAGGTCACATGACCATATTTTCAATTAAGGCAACTTTCTAATCAATCATTATCCCAATTTTATTTGCTAATTGTAGGCAAGGTGAAACACAAGTCGTAAGTAATTTGATAACTGTAAAAATGACAACTATGTTTATGATTATGATAATAACTACTTGAGGAGGAGAACAAAATTAAGAAAGCATCCCCAAGGGTAGCCAACTAGGCAAATCATTCAAAGGATCAGTTTCTCTTATGTCTTGTAACAGTTTAGCCTTTTGGGTTATTCTTTCTAATCAAGTCTCTACTTCTCCAGAGGTGTTAGTACAGGCACAACAAGTGGTGTGTGCTATTACACAGACTCTTCCTTTTCTGCCAGTAGTCTCAGGCAAATCTGTTATCTAGTAACACCTAAGCTAAGGAGTTCAAAGATTTTTGTTGAGCTGCAATGCCTTTTGCAGTGTCTTCAACCGTCCGACCAATAGTGCCTGATAGGTTTTGAATCATATCTCTAGTGATATAAATTCCAGCACTTAGGATCAGTATATCAAAAATGTTTTTACCTAAGTTATCATCATATCCTTCTAACATAGTCCTTTTATTTAGCTCTGTAATGGAGAGAGAAAAGCAGTTATTTTATATTTTTATGTAAGTATGAGGGAGTTACAAAATGCCCTAAAAAGCATAAGCTATTTACCAGCTATAGAGGCAGCAACGTTGCCTGCCCAACCTTGAGTAGCCAATCAATCTTGATATCACATGCAAATACATAACTTGGGAGAGCACAAAAAACTCCTCTGAGGGTATGTTCATTAATGGCCTCACTAACAAGATGGCTAGAGAGCATTATGTCCATCCAGAGATTTCCTTTTTTGCATATTTGCAAGAACCTGCTCACATTACATGAAATGAGAGGAATAAGTTGACAAAGCATAGATTCATTGTTTTCAGCAATCCATTTCTTAATTCAATAAGGAATAGAATGAAGAAGGCCAGGGCCAAATTCCTTCTGAGTAGATTTGATAGCAGATAATTTTAGTCAACATATAGAAGCATTCATTAGTTTCATGAATAATTTGGACTTGAAAAGTCAGCTTGAAGGGAGATTAGTCTGAATAGGTAATGACATTAGGAACATCTGAAAAATTAGTGACAGGTATTACAAATGACATATATTGGTCATGAACAAATCTAGGAATCAAGTGACAGATCCAACCATCAGATAAGTTTCCTGCAGTAGCAGTCCTTTGGAATAGTTTAATCAAAGTGTCATCATATCATTCTACACATTGAGACAAAGGAACAACCATAAGAACTACCTACTAAAGTTGTAAAACAAAAATTGTATCAACAGACTAGAATGGGCAAGGGAATAATTTTTTTTTCTTTTTTTTTTTTTTTGAGACAGAGTCTTTTTCTATTGCCCAGGTTGGAGTAAAGTGGCACCATCTTGGCTCACTGCAACCTCTGTCTCCTGGGGTCAAATAACCATTCCACTTCAGCCTCTGGAGTAGCTGGGACTACAGGCATGTGCCACCATGCCTGGCTAATTTTTGTATTCTTATAGAGATGGGGTTTTGCCATGTTGCCCAGGCTGGTCTCCAACTCTTGAGCTCAAGTGATCCACCTGCCTCAGCCTCCCAAAGAGCTGGGGAAGAAATTTTCTATATCATACAAAATAATAACAATTAACAAGATTTCTAAAACAATGATTATAATAGTCACTAGTAGATAAGTATAAGCATTATTTACCAGACACAGGCCTGGACTGGTATCATGGAAGAACTATCTACCTTAGTTGTCTTTTTCTTGGCCTTGTGTTGACTTAAGTCAAAGATCATCTTCCAGTAAGTCAGTTCATTCAGGAGGCTCAGCCTTCTTTAGATGAGAAGTGTGAATCCATGAGTTTATGCCTTCTAGCCTTGCAGCACAATTATTCTTAAAGTACCTCTTAGGGACCTTTCTATTTTGGTTGAGGAGACTCCTTTAGAAGATATCCTTTCCAGTAGGCAAAATCTTCTGGCTGAAGTCCGTGGGTTTTACCTTTTTTTGGTTCCCAGGATTTACCATAAAATATATATTTTTCAACCAAATTGTAATTTTTAGTTAGTTGTTTTATAAATCCATTACAGTAATGTAATATGTGTCTTTTTTGCATTATGGATTCATAGTTTCCTGGTGATAGTTTCAAATGTCTACCTGTTATTACCTTAGTTGGAGATACCTCATTTCTGAGGTTCAGCAAAACCAATGAAAGAGCTTTTGACCACAAAATTTTAAAAGCCTTAGTTTATTTTGTGAATTCAGTTTTAGTTATTTCATTTGTGCATTCTACTAACCCAGATGATTGAGGGTGATATGAACAATGAAAATGTTGAAGAATTGGCCACATCTTACATATTGACTGGATAACATGTCTGGTGAAGTAAATATCTCTGTCACTAGGAAGTTCTAGAGGGACTCCGTAAGTCAGAATAATTTTTTTTTCCAGGAGAATATCACTTACCACTAAGGCTATATAATATTCTGTATAAAAAATGTTTCTGCCCAATGAGGAAACATACAGATCATCACTAGAACATACCTGAATCCTCATGACGGGGGTAGCTTGATAAAATCTAATTGCCATACCTTGAGGGGGCTTCAGGTGAAGGAAAGTGTTCTTGAGAACTATGTAAAGTTCTCCCTTGATGATATTTTGAGAAGATATGGCAGTGACTGTGTATCTTATGGTGGTATTAAGAGAAAGTTTCCAATGATACTGATTTCCACAAGCAACCGTTTTATCAGGACTCTCATGAGTTAAATCATATACATAAGTAAAAAATAATGACTGTAATTCAGTACAAAGTATAGGCAAGTCACATAGCCCATTCCTTATGTTATCCTTAAGGGAATATGTTCCCCCTTTTGTTTTCTAATTTTCTTGTTCTGCTTTTAGAGCTCCAAACTGAGCTAATTTTATGTCAAGTTAGGGGTTTCTTTAAAAGTTAATATAGATTGTTTTTCTTGCCTAGATATATTTAGAGCAAACTTCTTTGCTAATCAGCTGGTTGTTCTGTTTTTTGTTTTCTTTTCTTTCCGGAGTATCTGATTTGTAATGATCTGGGATTTTGGTTATAATATGGCTTCTAATAATTGTGAAATAAGGTGTCTATTTCTTATGAACTGACCAGAAGAGGTTAAGAACACTATTTGTTTCCATAGCATTCCAAAGTCACAAGACTCCAAAGGCATATCTGTTGTCTGTATGAATATTAGCAGTTATTCCTTTTTCCAGCTGACAAGCTCTAATTAATACTATCAATTTTGCTTGTTGAGCCAATGTTGCTTCTGGAAGATAAGCACTTTCTATTTCTTCAGCTAAGAACACTATAGCATAAACTACATGACAGATTCCAAATTCATCTTTTAAGGACAATCCATCTGTAAATCAAACATTAGTGCTAGTAAGGGGAGTTTTGCTTAGGTCTATCTTAAGACACAGGAATTGATAAGCTCAGGTTACACAATCATGTGGTTTTTCATCTTAAGGTAGGGGCAGAATAGTAGCAGGATTTAGATGATCACACTCAGAGTTTATAATATGAGGTGCAGAAAGCAGTCAGACTTCATAAGAGGGCAGCCTGCTAACTGAATAATGCTGAGTGTGGTATGAACTTAGAAGTACTTCTATAGAATGTGGAACAAAGACAGTGAGGGGAGTTTCCATCACTATTTATTTGGTTGCTTTACTAGCAGGGCAGTTGCTTTTATCACTCTCATGAAAGATGATAGTCCTCCAGCCACTGGATCCAACTGCAGACTATAGTATCCTGTAGATCTATTATGATCCCCAAGTTTTAGAATCAGAATACCTCGGGTATTAAAAAAATGTAAACAATATTATAATTTGAATGTCCTAAGGCCAGGGCATCTATAAAATCCTTTTTAATTGCTTCTAGTGTTAACTGATTTTCCTCTGTCCATTCCAGAGGCCCTGGCTTGTCTTATTTTAAAAGAATATATATAGTCTGAGTTTTTTTTTAATGGAATCCAATTTCTTTATTATTTTGCCAGCCCCAGAAATCCTCTTAGTTGTTTCTTAGTTTTGGAACAGGAAAGTTTCATTAATGTTTCTTCTATCTACATTAATGAAAAGGTCTTTATTTGATATTGGGTGACCTAAATTTAAAACTAAAGTTTTTCCTTTGAGACCTTGTATCCCTTTAAAGTCAAATGTTGTAACAAGTGAATCCCATCTCTTATAGAGGCTTGCTTATCTTCTGAACAGAAAAGTAAATCATCCATATATTGTATTAAAGTGGATTTTTTTAAAAGTCAACATTCAAGAAGTCTTTTTTCAATACTTGTAAGAAATAAGTTGGGCTCTTCGTGTATCCCCAAGGCGTGACCATTCGTATTTATTGTCTGTCTTTCCAAGTGAAGGAAAAGAGGAACTGACTGTTTTTATCAACAGAAATGCTAAAGAACACATCATATAAATCTGTAATAGTAAAGAATTCACCTTCAGTCGGGATGGCAGCCAACAATGTGTCGGGGTTTGGCACTACTGAATTGCAAGGAATGACTATATTGTTAATTGTTCTTAGATCCTATACAAACCTCTACCCTCTATTGTTTTGCTTTCTCACGGGTAGAATTGGAGTATTACATGGACTTGTGCAGGGAATAAGTCAGTCTCTGTTTATATAATCTAAAATGATATGTGTTATTTATTCCAAGGCCTTAGATCTTAGGTGGTATTGCTTAAGGTTCAGAAGAAGCTTTGATCAGTGTATTTGGATTTTAATTGGAGCAGCCAAGATAATTTTTTCAATATAAGTGGAGGACTTTGACCATAATTGATTAAGTACTGCTTTTAGCAGCTTCTGTAATTCTTCATTACTTAATAATTCAGTAACCTTTCTGGAAACATGAAGGGCAATTTGTAACTTAGAAGGGTCCAGTTTTAAATGTTTGGTGTCTAATATTTTTAATTTTTTTCTGTGTTCTAATTCTAAATACATTTCCCCTTTTGGGAAAAGAAAATGTGGGTATCGGATAATTCTAAAAGTCCCTATCACATGGATGGGGACTGTTGGAACTAAGAGGAAAACATGAGTCTCTTGTAAGTTACCTATTTGAAAAGCCACAGGCTGAGATTTATGCACCGATACAGGAGTATTAGTGACACTCGCCACTTGAACTGTTTGTTTACACCAAGAAATAGGGCCTTGTAATAAGGTGGGATTTATTACAGATAATGTAGCTCCAATATGAACAAGTGTTTGTATGAGTTCTTCATTTAAAATAATTTCTATTTTCCCAGAGTGTCAGTAGGAGACAAAGAAAAGATCACTTCAAGTTCCTTGGAGAATCCCTATTCTTCCTTTTATTTTTTTCTTCATCTGGTGCTATTCCTCACACTTTAGTTTTCTGCAATCCTTTTTAAAGTGATCAGGTTTCCTGCAATAACTGCAAAGCAAAGGGTTAGGTCCATTGTGAGGTTTGTAGGTGCATTCTGGAAGCCTGGATTGGGTATATAGTTGTTTTAACTGTTAACTTATAACTTTGTTAGCCCTATTCTTTGTTTCACTTCTCCTTTCTTTCTTCTTTAGTTAAGGTATGAGACAATGGATGGGCAAAATTCACCAAATCATGAGTTTGAGACACATTCCAACTAGAGTGTTGTCTTTTTATTACTGGTGTTAATTCTTCATCTAACCATTTATGAAATTGGAATTGGGGAGAGTATCATTTTGATGATTAGTATAACTCTCTTACCTGACTGTTGTTTAAAGATTTTCTTCAAATCTCAAAATATGGAATCACTGACTCACCTGTATTTTGTCAACATTATTGTATTTTATTTCATCAACTATTTTTTGAAAGACTAAAAGGATGGTATCAAGTAAAGCTTTAGCAACATCATAGGCATGTCTGTCATCAGTATCTGAAAGTTTTCCAAGAGGTTGGTCCAATCCACCATACCTAGTCAATCTGTAGCTTTACTTTCTGAAACTAACATGTGAACTAGTTGATATAAATCAGAAAAAAACAGTATCACAAACTCAAATATTCAGTTCGTATTTTGTGCAATAATGAGTACTGTCCTGATGAGGGTCAGGGAAGTCTTAATTGTGCCTTTTAAGCTCTATCTTTGACCATCATTGAGAAAGCAAGGCAAGTCCTCCTCTACCGGACACCAGATGTTTGTGAAATGGAGCCAGAGCAGCAGGAGTAGGATGAGGAGAAGGTAGATCTGCACAAGGTAGTTCAGATAATAAGGGATAAAGAAGGAGCTAAGAATGGTGGAGGAGGACTTCAGCAGTCTTTTTCAAATCAGAAATTGTTCAAGACAATTTTTTTTTGTTTTCTTCCTGTGAAGAAAAAGCTTTAACAGAAACTCTTTTGGAAGCTTTCAAATGCTGTTGAAGATAACTTTCCCAATTGCTCTATTTTATTTTAGAGCCTTTTTTTTTTTTTTTTCTAATTGAGCATGTCTAAACTAGGCATTTCAAATGAAACTCATTTTGGCCACTGTAATCTGGGGTCCTCGCAAGTTACATATGACCAATTTTTAAAATATTTTCATGAAGAGACACCATAGGTGTTAAACAGAAACCCAGTTGGGGTTCCTAAAGGTGGGTCTGTCTTTAAGGTGGAAGGTGTGGTTTTACATGCACAGTTGCCCATAACTTAGAGCTTCCCTTCCTGAAGGACCAAAAGACGTAGGGAGAGCCTTTTGAATCAAGTGTGCTTCTTGTGGGAATGATTTATCCAGGTGTTACCCTTGAGTTACTTCTTCCCTTTTACATTCTCAGTGACTCCAAGAAACTTGGGTGCTTAAGGTTCTAGGTGATCAATCATTTATGAGTGCCTACTAGATTAAGTGAAATTCCCTTTACGTTCTTCTTATGGGATCCCCAGTGAGACCATTACTTGTCATGAGCAATTAACTTCAACACTCCCACTAGAAGAACTTAGAGAATATTCTAAATCTAAAGAATAACAAATGAAACTCCTACCTTGCATCAGAGCTTTAATTTCAGTCCTGTTAAGTTAGGAATGTATAGCTTGAATAAAGTCTGAATCCTTAAGCAAGCTGGGAGGATTCAAACCCAAGAGAGGCCTCACCAGGGATCCCTGCTAACTATGCTGGGGGTGGAAGAACAAAAGTTGTTTTTACTGATAGCAAGGCACTATCTGTTGTCAGTGACAAGGATCACTGGAGGTTTACTTGAGGTCTTATCTGGGTCACCAAAATGTTAACCTTAATAATGAGATTCAGGCAATATGATTAAATATTATGTTGATTCAAGTGCAAAGTTTGAGAATGGCCACCTGGAAGGACACAGACTCCAAAAACATGGGCCCAGTGCTCCGTAATGGTTTCAGGGTCATTTATTTTGGCAAGGTCTGGGAAAGCTTAACAGGATTTCAACATTTTCCAAAGAAGATTAGTGCATAGTTACAGCATTTTGATTTGTTATAGATGTCTCTCTTGGGAAGGGCACATTTAACATTTCACATTAAAGATATAATAATCAAGGCTTTTTTCTTTTTTTTAATCTCAGTCAAGAGATCTTTTATCTTAGGTCCAATGATGGTTAATATTGAGTGTCACCTTCATTGGATTGAAGGATGCAAAGTATTGTTCCTGGGTATGTCTTCGAGGGCATTGCCAAAGGAGATTAACATTTGAGTGAGTAGACTGGGAGAGACAGACCCACCCTCTATCTGGGTGGGCGCCATCCAATCATTTGCCAGCATGGCTAGAACAAAACAGGCAGAAGAAAGTGGGAGAGGGTGACTTGCTGAGTCTTCCAGCCCTCACCTTTCTCCCATGCTGGGTGCTTCCTGCCCTCGAATATCAGACTGCAAGTTCTTCAGCTTTTGGACTCTTGGACTAACACCACTGGTTTGCCAGGGGCTCTCGAGCCTTCAGCCACGGCTGAAGGCTGCACTGTCAGCTTCCCTACTTTTGAGGTATGGACTCAGACTGATCCACTACCGGCTTCCTTGCTCCTCAACATGCAGATGGTCTATCATGGGACTTTACTTCGTGATCATGTGAGTCAATTCTCCTTAATAAACTCCCTTTCGTATACACATATATCCTCTTAGTTCTGTCCTTCTCAAGAGTCCTAATACAGTGTCATCTAATCTGACTCTGGTACAAGAAAATAAAGAAGGAAGTGAATTTATAGCAAAAGGTCAGTAATTTAGAGGTTGTGCTCTGTGATTTAGTCTCCAAAGTGAACCTTCCTCAGAGCCTAACAACTTTTAAAAGCCCCTACATATCCAGACTATCCAATTTCTTTCATAAACCATTAGAATATAAGTATATGAATTGTATGTTTTTATTTCCATTAATATTTGAATTTGTCCTCATTTATTTAAGATGGGCTAACTTTCTTTAAATCCTTCTTCCAATAAAAAATATAAATTATTCAATGTCTATATCAGAAATAGAACATCAACTTTGTTTTGCAAAGGAGCATAATTATTGCCATGATTATGCCTGAATTTAGACAGCATTGACATAGGTTATTCTGTGTATTTTTCAGTACTAAAAAGTACACATAACAATTGCTAAGTTATCATAAAGTAAATTTTATTGGAAGTTATGGTAAGCAGAATAATGGCTTCTCTAAAATGTCTAAATCTTAATCCCAGAAACCTGTGAATGCATTCTGTTATTAATACATGGCAAGGAGGAATTAAGGTTGTAGAGGAAAGTAAGGTGTCTAATAAGATAATTTTGAGATGGGGAAATTAACCTGGATTACTCACATTGGCCCAATGTAATTACAAGGGTCCTTATAAGTAAAAGATTGAGACAGAAGGCCAAGAGAGCAGCCTGTAGAAGCCTAAAAAGGCGATAAACCTGATTTTCCACTATAGCCTCCAGAAAGGAACACAGCCCTGCCCACACCTTGATTTTAGCTCAGTGATACTCATTTCAGACATCTGACCTCCAGAAATGTAAAATAATAAATTTGTGTCATTTTACTTCACTAAATAGATGACAATTTGCTACACCAACAATAGAAAACTAACACAGACATTATTCTGTGATATGATCACAAAATTTTCTACAACTTGAGAGAAATTGAACTGGAAAATCATAAGCTTCATGGAAGAGTGGGAGTTTTCATCATTTATATTTATATGAAGAATGTCTAGCAAGACCTTAAATGATGACAAATGGCAACACTACTAAAATTTTACCCAATCAGAAGTTTCATGCCCTAGAGCTCTATTGGAAAGAAAATGGCTTATCAGTAAGTTTTATACAATGCATAATTATTTAACAAAGTAAATGACAAATTTTTTTTGTTTGGTATATATCACAAGTGGAACCGCGTTTCATGCCCAAACTTTTTATTTCTTGATCTTTTTAGTTAACAATAAACATATTTACAAATTTCTATTTCTATATTTGGGGATTTTTGCTCTGAAGTTGTAGGGAGTATTTTTATGGGTTTCTCTTTTTGGTTTCCAGGTGTGGTTTCCTGCCTATCTTCTAAGGGTAGGAAAGATGACATTAGAGAAAGGGTGAGATATATTAATACTTAAGTTCTATTTTGCATTCACCTTCACAGTACATAATCATGCAAATCACAAATTAAGGGCTTAATAAACCCGTGATTGTAGGATTGAGATTTAATTTTGGGGGGAATAAATATGGTGGAATTTCTTCATTCATTTATTTTTTTAAATCATTAAATGCTAGGTCCAACTCACTACTGAAACTCCTGGGCCAGTAAATTTTTTAGGGGGAAAAAGGAAGCTTTTTAAAAATTTTTTCTTTTAGCAAGCTTCTTATGGAAGTATACTATGCAAATAGCTAAGTGCACAGCTCTTATACAGTTTGGTAAATTGTCAGAAACTGAAAACACCTGCATAACCAATGCATAGATCTAGATACAGAACCTCACTTACTAGCAGTCCAGGAGCCCTAAGCTTTTTCTTTCTGTTCATTACTCCAATCAAATGTAATTGATTTGCTGGCTTCTGAAATCAAATTTTGACTGCTGATGCATGTTTATAAACATACAGCAATGAAAACATACAAAAAACTATTTTTGTCTGGCTTCTTTTCCTTAATATCATTTTGTGAGATCAATCTAAGTTGTTGCTAGTAGTTGTAATCCAGTCATCTGTGTTGCTCTATAGCCTTCCCGCTGCCTGATTGTATCTAAAATTTATTTATTTATTTATTTATTTATTTATTTATTTAACTGTTGACAAACATCCAGGTAGGCTTCAGATTTCAGCCATTATAAATTGTGTTGTTATGAATATTCTAAAGCAGAATTTTTTACTGGATATCTGTACTTATTTTTAAGTACATTTCTCCTATTGAAA
Organism: Homo sapiens; assembly: GCF_000001405.40. NCBI lineage: Eukaryota > Metazoa > Chordata > Mammalia > Primates > Hominidae > Homo > Homo sapiens. The sequence goes on along the minus strand of NC_000004.12, from coordinate 31,601,534 downwards.
TTGCTAACTCAGAAAAAGCATTTATTTAGCTTTGGTACCTCTACATAGTTTTCTAAACTGATGTTACGAATTTTCACAATCTCCAGGGGAGATCAGAGTTTCAGCTCCCCATGCAGGCTCCTACCTTTTAGTGTCTATTTTTCTCTTTTTAGCCAGTCTGGCAGGTGTACAGCAGTATTACATTGTAGCATTTATTACTTTGAGTAATAAAGCACATTGATATTTTTATATTTAAGTGTATATAGTGATTGAACAAGTTTTTCCATTTTTATATTTTCTTCCTTTTTCTCATTGATTTGTGAGACTACTTTAAATACCCCAACTTTGGGCCCTTTACTGATTATATGTATTGTAAATATCTTCTTTCATGCACTGACTTTACTCTTCACTCTATTAAGTTTTTGAGAAATGCAAATTTCTATTTAGTGATCTTTAAAATATATTCAGGTTAAGCAATGTTTTCGTACATAAAAGGTCTCACTATATTATTCTTCTTTCTTCTCAACATTTTATTGTTTTAAGGTCTCAGGGTAATCGCCCTATATCAAGCTCCTTACCCTTAATCACATTTGCAGTGTCCCCTTTGACATGTATGTAAACATAACAGATTCAGGGGATTTAGGCAGAGACCTATTTGAATGGTGATTATTAAGCCTACCAAAATGGATAAATATACGTAAGTATAAATTATAAATCTCCAAACAAATAATATATATAAGATATACTAATATGTAATAATATAATTATCAAATTATCAAAAAATTACTAAGTTAGAAGACGTTCTCCTGCAGAACAGGACGGGAGAGACAACTATGATCCTGAGCTTATTATATTAAAAGCCCTGTAGAACTATTTTCCTTTTATGCACAATAAAAATTTTAAGCATTAAATGAGTCCCAGGAACCAGTTTTTATTGTTGAAGTGAGTAGTCCAGTTTAAAATGTCATGAATTTTTATTCACCAAATTGCATACCATTGAGACTTATAAAATAAAACCTCATAAAAATGTAAGGCAAACTTACATATGCTTCTTAGTCTTTAACAAATTAAGCACACACACCCACACACACCATACTTGCAGGTATTGAATATATATATTTTTAAGTGAATTTAAAAAGCTCATAGAAAATTGCTTAAACATTAATTAAACTACAAATAAAAAATAATATTTAAAATGTAGAAAATTAAAAATAGTACTGATGAGTTTAAATTCAGCACAATGGAATTAATATAATTTTTATCTATATTCTTCCCAGAAAAAAAAAAAGAGAGTGTTGAAAGGACAACAAAACATCGAAAAGATCAATCAAGCAGTGAGAAAGGTTAGCACATTCTCAGAAAAACTGAAATAAAAAGTTGTCTTATTAGAAAAACAAAGATTATACCACAGTGCCTTATAAGACCAATGGCATACAAAAGTAAGAGTGATTATGTTACTTTATTCTAGAAAAAAATAGGAATAGATGAATCATGTGCCTAACAAGAAAAAGGTGAGAGGCAAGGCTGAAAAAGAGGATTATTTGATGAGCAGGTAAATTCCCAAGTCCTTCCAATAAAGACAAGATCTACCTCCTCCACTCCCAGCAGGGGAATACATGTTACATCTATGAAGTAAACCAAAATTTACTGTGCACCAAGGCACAGGGCAGCAACGATAACAGTGGAGAAGAACCATACTAGAAACAGGAATTAAGGTTCAGCAAACATTTTCTGTAAGTGGCCAGTTAGTTAACATTTTCGGCTTTCCATTTCATAGCCTTTATGTTGCAGCTACTTAACCCTGGTATTGTAGCACGGAAGTAGTCTTAGTTAATATGCAAATGAATGGGTGTTGCTGTGTTTTAATAAAACTTTCATTTGCAAAAATAGCCTAGATTTTGGACTGTAGGCAATAGTTTGCTGACATCTGGATTAAATAAGTCTATACATTTAAGAGTAAGACCACTAATAATCTTTCTCAACTTGGTATTCAATGTATACAAACCAGTCTTACATAAATGTATACTGTCAGGGTGTATTAGTCACGGTTCTCTAAAGAGACAGAACTGGGCCAAGCACAGGTTCACGCCTGTAATCCCAGCACTTTGGGAGGTCGAGGTGGGCTGATCATGAGGTCAGGAGATCGACACCATCCTGGCTAACACGGTGAAACCCCATCTGTACTAAAAATACAAAAAATTAGCTGGCATGGTGGTGCACACCTGTAGTCCCAGCTACTTGGGAGACTGAGGCAGGAGAATCACTTGAAACTGGGAGGCGGAGGTTGCAGTGAGCAGAGATTGCACCACTGCACTCCAGCCTGGGCGACAGAGCAAGACTCAGTCTCAAAACAAAAAAACAACAGCAACGAAAGACAGAACAAATTGGGTAGATGAATATATGAAGGGGACTTTTGAGGAGAATTGTCTCACACAGTCACAAGGTGAAGTCCCACAGTAGGCTGTTTGCAAGCTGAGGAGCCAGGAAGCCTGTCCAAGTCCTAAATCCTCAAAAGTAGGGAAGCCTACAGTGTGGCCTTCAGCCTGTGGCCGAAGGCCTGACATCCCCTGGCAAATCACTGGTGTAAGTCCAAGAGTCCAAAAGCTGAAGAATTTGGAGTTTGATGTTTGAGGGCAGGAAGCATCCATCATGGGAGAACGATGAGGGCCAGATGACTCAGCAAGTCAGCCTCTCCCACCTTCTTCTGACTGCTTTATTCTAGCTATGCTGACAGATGATTAGATGGTGCCCATCCCAATTAAGAGTGGCTTCTGCCTCTCCCAGTTCACTGACTCAAATGTTAATCTCCTTGGCAACGCTCTCATAGACATATCCAGGAACAATACTTTGCATCCTTCAGTCTAATCAAGTTAGCAGTCAATGTTAACCATCATACAGGGTAGCATTAGAAAATTCCTTTCTGGAGATACTGACTACCCAAGGAAGAAGTCCTACTTACAGACTCCAGGCAAACCATTCTTCTTCAGTCTAAAGAAAAGCCCTCCCATGAAAACATGCAATTAGAGCATCTAGGAAGCCTTTAAGAACCTCACTATTAAGTATGAATGGAGAGAAAAGCTCATCAGGTATTTGAGGAAATCTCCAGCACAAAAGACAAGTCAAAAGAAAACAATAAGAATAAGAAATACTTGGGAAAAGATAGGCTGGGTGTGGTGGCTCACCCTTGTAATCCCAGCACTTTGAGAGGCCCAGGTGGGTGGATCACTTCAGGTCAGGACTTTGAGACTAGCCTGGCCAACATGGCGAAACCCTGTCTCTACTAAAAATACAAAAATTAGCCAGGTGTGGTGGCAGGCACCTGTAATCCCAGCTACTAGGGAGGCTGAGGCAGAAGAATCGCTTGAACCTCAGGGGCGGAGGTTGCAGTGAGCCGAAATTGTGCCACTGCCCTATAGCCTAGGCAACAGAGCAGACTCAGTCTCAAAAATAATAATAATAGTAATAATAATAATAAAGTGAGCAGAAATTTTAAAATATATTATTATTATGTATTATTAATATCCTCTGAAATGAAAAAGAGCAGTTGATTCATAAAATGATATGCAATTAGAGTCATTCACCTTTTACTTCAAAAATATTTATTGATACCTACCATACATGACTCAATATAAACATTTGAGATACAGCAATAAACAAAATATAAAAAAATCCCTGCCTGCATAAAACTTCTGTTTTAGTGGGAGATGAGAGGAAAAAAAAAATAAGCATAACAAACATAAAAAGGGAATGTACTAAAAGCTATAAAAAATATAAAACAAGGTAAGTAAAATTAAAGGTTCTGAGTTGCGATCTTCAATAGTGTGGACAGGGTAGGTCTTATTTATAAGGTAATGTTTGAGCAATGGCTTAATTAGCTGTTAGCCTTTGGGGAGATAGCCATTTGAATGTGATGGAAGATCACATCCAAAGCAGAGAGAACAGCCAGTGCAACTTCTAAAAACTAGTGTATGTCAGCAGTATTTGTAAAATAGCAATCAGGTCAATGTGGCTGAAATGGAGTGAAGAAGAGGAGAGCAAAAGAGGGTGAGGTCAGCAAGGAAACAGAAGGAAAAGTGGGATAGGCTTTTATAGACAGGTGATTCTCATGGTGTGACCAGCAGACACTTGGAAGTTTCTGAGTCCCTTTCTGGGAGTCTGTACAGTCAAAAATAAACTCCTAAACTATGCTTTTGACATTTACACTCAAGGTGCAAAGTAATGATGGGTACCACTGCTGGTGGCTTAGCACAAACTAAGGCAGTGCTAACAATATTCTAGCCTTCATCTTACAAAATGCTTGCCAGTAGTTATAGCTCTTACTTTATTTCAGATAGAGTTTCCGGTTTTTTTTTTCTTCCATTTATTTATCTTCCATTGTTCTACATTAGTCAAGACATATCCTTACCGTGAAGAGGTCAGTTGTTCTTCCCTTTTGGCCATATAACCATTTTGGCCATGATACATCTTTCATAAATTTCGACAACATGTACTAAAGATACACTAACTGGAGCCAGTTTATTAATCACAAAGCCCTCAGTCACAATTTTCAATAGACTTTGTTCCTGTCTATACCAGCCTAGGTTAGCAATGCTTCTTATGAGTTCACATGGCACCCAGTACTATTCTCATCTTGGCAATTATCATAGCACATTAATTTTATTTTAAAAAATTGGTCCGCATGCCAATTTGACTAACTTTTATAAAGAAAGGGGGCACGTCTGACTTTTTCATCCTTGTATCCTCATTACTTACCATTACATCAAGAACATGCATTTTAGAGTGGTATAGGGAATTTTAGCCTATTTTTTTTCTTTCTGAAAGCCTCATATCTCAAAGATGAAAATAAGCATCACTCAGCTCTAATTTACAAATATATATATATATTTATATTATTGTCAAACAGTAATGTAAAGCCCAATGTGCTTTGAATTCTCATGAGGCAGGCAATTAAGAGAGAAAAATACTTTGTTTGTTTTTAATAGAATTCTAAATATCAGGATTTCCTTACCATGAGCTAAACCTAGAAAACTCAAGAGCTAGGTTACATCCATGAAATGCTGGATCACGAATAATGCAATAATTAAACTAGAGCTGTTTTTCCAAAAGCAGGGAAGAGATAAAACTGTTGGGATTGGAAGCTTAGACAAGATGAGTAAGAGAGAGCATAGAGTTCAGATGCCCAACCATGATTGTGGCCAAAATCTGGGTTGTGGTGGAGGGAGTAGAGAGGAGGGATGGCATCTATTGAAGACAACTCTTATATTTGTGATCTGAAAAAAACGGAAATTTTGAGCTACTGACTATCAGGAACTCTCTAAATGGGTACAGAATGCTCCTAGACCTACATAGCTGCAGAAGAGTAAAAATGCCAGTGTGAAACAATGGAAGTCTGAGATAGACATCCTGCATCTCAAATCTCCCTCACAATGCATAAGACGTAGATAATATCCATATCTTTCCAGAATCAGAGTGCCGAAGAGAAATAAATGCTAACTCAGCTGCCCAGAAATTGTTATGGGAATTATGGATTCCATGGCAGGAATTGTAAAGCCATCAGGAGCTGAGCCAGGGTTGGGGCAAAGTCATCCAGAGAGTCAGTCACGCTATCTCCAGAACAGTCAGAATGTCTGCCTGTTCCATAGGATCAGAGAAAATACACCAACCTAAGATGCTGATGATGAAGACAGAAGCCAATTCTCATTATCAGGGAGAAAAAGACCTTAGCAGAGGCCAATGAGAACAGCAGAACATGCTCAAGCCACAAACATTTCCCAACTCCAGGGCTATAAAGAATAGTACACTGCAGTAGCTTCCCACCATCTCATTAGAGCCAAGTGTGAGCATCTCTATCCAACACCGCATTCAGTGATGTCAAGTTGGAAGCTCAAAATTGGCCACTATGTGAACATTCATACCAGAAACTTGGAAACCCTACAAATCAGGGCCTTTTTTATTTTTTCCCTCCAAAGTGCTTGTTGTTGTTAAACATTTACCAGCACACTATCGATGATATATAAGCCTGCTAACTACTTAGGTCACCCTGAGAAGAAGGAAAAAGAGGGAGAAGAAATAATCAGATTTTACCATGAATTGAGAATGGGTTGACAACTCTGCAGAAATAATTCCTAAGAGGTAAACTTTAATTATAAACAAATAAATAAGAACTTTGCTTTCATTTTTGACAATTAATTTTGATCACAAAATTGTGAAAACAATATATCTGCTATTTGAGTGAATAAATAACATGAAAGTGTTCCAAATATCCACTTATCAGAATTCCAAGCAAAGATGAGACTTTATTGCTATTCAGCTCATCCTGAGTTATTTTTGTCTCCATTTTTCCTGCTGGGAAAGCTTTCTGCAACAGAGATACTTTTGTTTTAAACATGTTGAGTTAGCCATCAAGATGGAAAAATGCAACTTTCCCTATGGTTAATGCATGGCTTGTTGCCCATTGTACTGAAGTACTGTGCTTCCAAAGATATTAATGCTGTCAATGCCATTAGCAGGATTTTTAAAAAATCCAATTTATAGATTGGTGCCAAAGTGGCTTACATATTGGTATCAATTACTAGATTGTCATAGTGGCTTATAGACGAAAGAAACACCAAAACCTTTGCTAGCCTGGAGTTTACTACATGGTTATTTTGTCCTGTTATCTGCCGTGTTAATCTGTTTTCATTAGACTGTCAGAGAACAACTTGAGTTAGTCTTAGAAACGTATAGGAAAAGTGGCTGCCTTAGCTTTGCATTTGCTAGTCCCTTTGCTGGGCATTGTTTTCTGCTTACCAATTCATCTGTCAGAGCTCATTCTAAGCATCATTTTCTCTAAAAGGCCTTTTTTGTTTATTCAGCATAAGTCATGCTTTAAATTATATTTTCAAAGGACAGAAATACCATCAAACACTTATATTCATAATTTTGCATACATCCTCTATAATTATTTAATTTATAGCCACCTCCCAGACTGTAGGCTCAATGAAAATGGGAGCTTGTTAGCTTTTTACTACCGATTGTTTTTTGTCATTAGGAGTAGGACACTGTGTAGCTTATAGTTTATGCTAATACATATTTGTGGAATAATTAAATGAATGGTGACTGGAAAACATTGCAACAAAAGTTGATATCTACATATATTTCCAAAGTAATATTATGAATAAGATTAAAAAAAGAAAATATAATTTAATAAACTATTAATCAACAAAGACATAAATACAAAAAAAGAAATATGTACAAAAAAGTTTAATATCACTATTACTGAAAACATATGAAATTCAGTAAATGTAGATAATAATTCAAAAAATGTAGATAATAATATCAAATGGTAATGAGGTTTTGATAAGCAGATACTCAATTCCTAAAAGAAAGAAAAAAACTGTGTAAACTTTTTGCTGCATAATTGCTCAATATCAATAAAAATTCATAGTTTTACCCAATATTTCCATTTTGGGGGAATGGTCTTCCCTAAATATTTGCAAAGATGTATATAACAGGGTGTTGTTCACTAAGACATTCATAATACTGGAAATAATTTAAACATTCAAAAATACAGAATTAGTATAATGATTCATGGTTACAAAAGAAAACTAGGTACCATTAAAAATGACGTAGCACCTATTGATTGACTTAGCTATTCATTTACAATCTATTTAAATGAAATTGGGTGATGTAGAACCTTAAATATTTTATATGTCATATTGCAGAAGACAATACAGAAAAGTATTTACAGTTCTTATCTGAGCTTTTGAGTCTTTAGGTAATTTCTTTTGTTTTTCTCTTTTTGTGTTTCCTCATTTTAGATTATTTTCTATTTTGATAATGTCTTACTTGAATAAATTAGAAAGAGAAGATTAGGGCAGGCGTGGTGACTCACGTCTATAATCCCAGCACTTTGGGAGGCCATTGGTGGATCACCTGAGGTCAGGAGTTTGAGACCAGCCTGGCCAACATGGTGAAACCCTGTGTCCATTAAAATTACAAAAATTAGTAGGCATAATATCACTTTATAGCATTATTATGATGACTAACTAAGTTTAAAATGTGGTGGCAGGTGCCTGTAATCCTAGCTACTCAGGAGACTGAGGCACAAGAATCGCTTGAACCCAGGAGGCGGAGGTTGCAGTGAGCCAAGATCGCATCACTGCACTCCAGCCTAGGTGACAGAGTGAGAATTTTCCAGAAGAAAGAAAGAAAGAGAGAAAGAAAGAAAGAGAGAAAGAAAGAAAAGAAAGAAAGAAAGAAAAGAAAGAAAGGAAAGAAAAAGAAAGAAAGAGAAAGAAAGAAAGAAAGAGAAAGAAAAGAAAGAAAGGAAACAAAGAGAGAGAAAGAGAGGAAAGAAAGAAAAAGAAAGAGAAAAAGGAAGGAAGGAAGGAGAAAAGAAAGAAGATTAAAAGAATGGTAAAGTATGAAGTAGTTTCTCTAGCCTACTGAAGTTGGCTTACAGATAAATGTTTCAAAAGAGATTTAGGGTTGAATATAGAAACAGGGATTTGAGAGTGACAATTTTATGAATAGGTCCTTAATACCTGCTTCTGTATTGAAATTGTTATTTTCCACTGTAACCTTCTTACATATCAGAAGTATTATCTGTGTATTCTTAAGAAAGAGACATAGTTAATAGTCGATTTCATGGCCTAAGTTAAAGTAAATTACTTAAATTATTTAGAGTTAGATAATATAAAGAACGGATTTTTTTTCCCCTGGTGGGTAAGTGGCAGCAGATGATTTTGCTTTCTACAGGTCACTCTTTTTCCTTTTTTAAAAACTGTTAGGGCAGGAAACATGTTAAGTTCTCATAAATGGAAAGCGCCTGCTGTGGGAAACATCCCTTTGGACTTAAAAAGGAGCATTAAAGCCTCTATAACTTCACAGTGATGTGACAATTAAAAGAGCAAACGTGAAGTACTTAAATATCCAGGTTACAAACGTGACAAGTTCAAAAATTTTAAGTTTTGCTGTTGTTTTTTGTGAGGCAGTGGTGATTTGTGTCTTTATCAGTCATCTTTGTTCTTGTCAAGGTAAAGTCAGTTCCTGGGCTATCACTTCTCCTGACTCATCATCAAATAAATTTGTACATCAAAATTCTTCCTTTGTTAAGTCAGCTTCCAGGAAGCTTTCATGGAGGAATAATAAAGGCCAGCCTTGACCCTTCCTTTGCTTAATAGCAAACTTCTATGGCTCCCCATTAGCCACTCCAGATAGAATTTGATTACTTTTTAAAATGTACCATGCTCTGCTTTCAATATTTAAGAAATGCTTATTCAGGTTCCGTTTCTCTTCAGTATTTTAGTCATGGTTGTCTGTCAAGGCTTGTGAACTTCAAAAAGTTTATTCTTCTTCTCTTTAACTCACCATGTACGGTAGCTTACACAAGTTAGCAATCAATTTGAGATATAGTGATATAGCATTGGTTTTGATGATCCATCAAAAGCACGGTTGCTCAATCTTGGCACCATTGACATTTTGGATTGTCGAATTTTTTTGTGGTGGAAGGTAGTCTTGCATATTGTAGAATGTTGTACACACCTCCTTTCCAGTTGTGACAACAAAAAAATTCTAAACATTGCCCAATGTCTCCCAAGGGGCAAAGGAGACCCTGGTTCTAAACTATTGATTTAGTAAAGTCAAACAAAGAGAATTTTATCCACAATATTGGGTATACTGTGTATTTATTTTTAAAAATGTTTTATCAAAAGTCACACAAGTAAGTTTGATTGTGTCCTAGTTAAATACAAATTGTGTTTTGCTTTAAGATATCCAGTCATAGTCAGAAATTGACCTCTTAAACCTTCGTGTAAATATCAGTTGTAAAAGGTTGTTTTATATTTATCCTAAATACATGTAAAGAAAGACAGAAACAAATATTGTAGTTGTCAGTTTTAAGCAAGTGACTTCATCACAATCTCATTGTTTGTCCTGACATGTCATATAGTGCTGAGGTAGAAAATCAATCACAGGCACATGTGCCAGGACTAATGCTGCCCAAGAAATGGGATTGAGCCAAGTCAGAGGCCTCTTATGTGCAGTGTCCTCCAAAGTGTATTTTAACTTGCCCTTAATTCAGTGAAAATGTCAAATTTCACATAAGAATGAAATCTTGCAAAATTAAGAATGGGAAATTAAGGAGTAGTAATAGAATGAGATTGTTTCTCCTCTCCAAATCTCATGTTGAAATGTGATCCCCAATGTTGAAGGTGGGACATAGTGGGAGGAGTTTGGATCATGGGGGCAGATTCCTAATGAAAGGCTTGGTGCCTTCCCCATGGTAATGAGTGGGTTCTTGCTCTCTTCGCAGGAGAGCTGGTTGTTCAAAAATGTCTGAGACCTACCCCTCTCTCTCTTGTTCCCCCTTTTGCCATGTGATGCTCTGCTCCTCTTCCCTTCTGCTGTGACTAAAAGCTTCCTGAGGCCCTTGCCAGATGCCAACCAGATGCGGGTGCCATGCTCATACGCTTCCAGAACCAGGAGCCAAATTAACCTCTTTTCTTTATAAACTACCAAGCCACAGTTACTCCTTTATAGCAATGCCAAACAGACTAACAGAGATGGGAAAATACAACATTTACAGCAATTGGAGGGATGCTACGAATTACATTTGTGGCGAAATGGAAAAATATATGGATTTTAGAGTCAAATATATGTGAGTTAAATCCTAATTTTTATACAATTTGTAGCTGTGTAATATCAGGAAAGTTTTTTCTTATTCATCTGTTTAGTTTTATGCTTCCAATTTTTATTTTTATCAGTAAGCATAATAATACTTTATAGGATGATCTTGATGACTAAGTTTAAAATGTCAAATGATCTAGCACAATCCCTTCAACAAAATAGATATGTTCAATAAATATTTGTCAGTAATTGAGTAAACACAAAATGAAAGTGACCTTCTACATAGAAATTTGTAAACAATTAATGTATATTAGTTCTTTCCTCATCTTCTATTTTATAAAATTATAAAATTTGACTCAGAAAAAAAAGCACGAAGACAAATAAAAATAGGTTAAAAAAGTGTTCATTTATTGGGTTTTAAGGTGGTAAGAACAGCATGTCAGTGCAGCCAGTGTTTTATTTTGTGTACTATGGTGCTTCAAACATCATTCAGGAGAAAACCACCTACCTAAATATTAAACAAATTCCAAGTTGGCAAGGATAAAAATAAAACATTCAGTTTGTTTTAGTCAATTGCCTCTAGACACTTCACAGGACTTCTTGAATTATATGAATATAATACCCTCTAACTATCAATAGTGTTCATGTAGAAGAACTTTAATTTTCCCACTTATTATTTTACATTGCAAGATGCATTTTAACGTGGCTTACATCTTTGACATTTGATTGGGAACAATTTAAATTACCTTGACTAGTTTTCTAGTTAGAGGGAAAAAAAGAATGAGTTTTGCTTCCTTTCCCATAATCCTGCAGAGATAACCATTTATTTTTTGTTGTACACTCAACTACAAGAATACAAAATTCAGCTGCTCTTAACACTGGATAAAACATTTGTTAAGTACCTTCTAAATAACAAACACTGTGGAAGATACAAGAGTCGGAGACATAAAAATAATAGGGAATACCTTCAGGCGTTATCAGTTTAATGTAAAGGAGAAAGAATCAAACAGCTAATTGAAGTATGATATAGTATGATAAAGACTACAACCTAGGTAAGCAAAAGAATCTATGAAAAAATAGAAAAACTATATCATCTTCAAATATGCTATCTTAATCAACTAAGAAAAACAATTTCTTCTCAGGCATGAAATATATCAATGTTCACCAATTCATAATACATTTGAAATTTGAAATTTGAAATTTGATTTAGCATGAAAACAATACAGAACATTAACAGAAGTTCTCAAATTTGTTTGTACTTTAGAATAGCTGGAGGAGCTTCCAAACTCCTGTTATTCTGGCCACAGCTCCCAACCCATAAAATTAGAATATCTGAGACCGATGTCTAGGAAGGACAAAATTTAAAGCTCCTCAGATGATTTTCATGGACAGCCAACCTTGAGAGCCACTGGTCTACAGAGAACAAAGGAGCTCCATGGTACCTAGTGTCTGAAATAAACTCAATAGTATAACTGGCCACAGAATATGGCTATTCACTTTGCGGCTGAGACAAAACTGACGTGAAATGCAGATTTTTGTTGCTGTTTTACAGGAACAAGCATATGTATTTGCCAGAAAAAGATGAAGTTTTTTTTTCTTTACACTAAATCAAATAGTACAATATTTTACTTCCAATTGCTGATTAAGTAAAATTGACTGTTACCCCTGTTGTTCTGTCAGAAGACCATAGTAATGGTTTGATAGTAGATCTTTCATCCAATCCTGGTCAAGGAGAACCCTGCTTACAGCCTCAGCTAATTGGAAAAGGGGCATTTTTCTATAAAAGGGTTTCAATGGTCTTGACCAGTTGCTATGTAGTAGGTTTGGGTAACTATCTCTACTTTCTTACAAGAAAAGCCTGTATGAAAGTAAAGAAAGCAGAAGTAGAGAACTGGAGGAGAGAGATTCTCACTTTCATTGAGAACCTGGATCCAGCTGTAAAAGTTCTTTCCTAAAGAACTTAGCAGTAATATCTAAAAAGAGAGTCCCGTTTTCTTTGCCTAAGGCTTAGTTGAGATGAATTTTGGACTTTTAAAGTTAAGAGCTCCAAATAATAGAGACATGAGATATCTTATTTAAAATGTTTAAAAGCATGATACTTGCATTGTTTCTCTCTGTAATTGATTAGGTTACAAAGTCAAAACAAATTCAGTGAAGATAACTTGAGTGAGGGCGTAGTGGAATGAGGGAAGAACCTGAGATAATTATGATCCAATTTGCTTTTCTATGCCACTATCTTATCCCACAGGAAATGAATAATTAGAAGATGGGAAATACTAGTTATTGTATTGGTCTTTTTTTTTCTGCTTTTGGAGGGAAATGAGGATGAAAACAGTGGTCATTACTAACAATTCAGTGTTCCATACAGGATACTTAGATATGGCAAATAAGATAACCAAAAACACCTCTGGTAGAAGAGCAAAAATACTATGTTATATAATTAATATCTAAGGAAAAGAAAGATTGTGCAACTCTAGGCTGTTAGTTTTATCTTTTTTAAGCCAATAACAAAATGCTTTCACAGAGTGCTTTTATCTATCTCAAGGGGCATTTTATACATACCAAAAATAGCGTAAGGCTTAATGCACATAGTTGTCAAGAATGTCTCACATGAAGAATAAGATCTTCTCTACAATTGCATAGGTAGAGGTACGACAATCTATACTTCTAAATGAAAGTGGCTCAGTGGTTTTTAATATTTTTCCCATTTGACTGCCAAACTGCAATTACACATGGCATTGGACCTTATTAAATCAATGTAACTTGGAGAGATCTGAAAATTTAGAATAAATTGAGAATTTCTGTTATAAACCAAATGACTCATAATAGTACACTCAATCTTTATGATGTGATCTCAAATCCTTGAACAAAAGGATTAGCCTAAATTTATTCCTAGGTTTATTGGTTTTGGACCAAAATATAATACACCTTTCATAGTATCAGCAAGTTATCTATCATGATATATTACTCAAAGAATTGATCTCAACAAGATCAATTTAGTTGAATTAATAGCTATATTTTTTAAAAAAAGAAATATGGTTTCCTTTATTTATATGTATCAATTATTTATTTCTGATTTTGTCCCCCTTCCACCATGAATCAGAATCTCAGAATTTCAACTTAATCTTCACGCTAAGTTGCTGTTTCACTTTTTCTTGTTCAGCCAGTGGAAAGGCCACAGGCTTTAGTCTCAAGCTAATCTAAGCTTCAGTTTTACCTTTGCCAATGACAGACCTTTCTACCTAGGGAGAGTCACATAAACATCTAGAGCCTTAATTTCTTATCATAAAATAGTAATAATAACAATAGGTTCTCAACAAAAAACAACTATTTTTATTTGCCTAGATTGAAACTTATGTTAAGCAAATTGTCTCAGAATAAATTAGCCACTGAAAAGTCTCTAGGCTATCATATACTTTCAATTGTCATTCTATTAGGTTGATCCAAAAGTAACTGTGGTTTTGTCATTAAAAGTAATAGTGAAACCACAATTACTTTTGCACCAACCTAATATTATAACATATTTATATGTAACTTTTTTTACTGTAACCCGTAAGCCTATCCACATTCTGTACCGTTTTCCTTCTGGTCAGCCTCCAATTTCCACTTGCAGAGAAGTCACGTGCAGATCATCATCCGTTTCTTATTTTCAAATGTTACATGTCTGAAATTGGCATATCAAATGACCTGTCCATTTTTCCTTCCTTCCAAATCTTCCCTGTGTGTCAATGCCTTTCTTCTTCTTTTACTTTCTCAGGTAAAAAGATCACAAGACATTTTCATTTTTCCTTCTTTGTATGTTATCCCCAATATTGTCACATTTCTTTTTCTTTAAAAATTTTCCTGCATGTCATTTCCACTGCCATTTCAGTCCACACCCTCACCCGGTCTCTTCATATCTATGATAAGCCTCAATTAATAAAACAACTATACATAACATTTTTTAAATGGAGAATATATATATATATATATATGTAACATGTTTTAAAAGTTGAACATCTAATTAGAAGTAATAGTTTAAAATAGCAAAAGAGTTTAGAATCTGATTAGTTGCCTTTTATATTAATTCAAATCATATTAAACTGATTTGGCCTGATCAGATGAAGGAAGAAATAATCTACTTTTTACCCTTTACTCAGTTCTTTATTAACTTATTTTCTTTTAGCAGTCTATGCACTCAATATTAGTTACCCATCCTTCCTAAAGCTTTTGTCTGCATTGCCTCATGGCACACTCTTCCTTTGTTCTAGAACAGTGATTTTCATCAACTTACTCTGTCTTCTCTATGATCCTCAAATGTGGACATATACCAAGTTTCCATCCTGGGCTTTTTATTATTATTTTGAGACGAGGTCTTGCTCTGTCTCCAGGCTGGAGTGCAGTGGTGCGATCTCGGCTCACTGCAACCTCCACCTTCCAGGTTCAAGAGATTCTGTGACCTCGGCCTCCCGAGTAGCTGGGACTACAGGTGCTCGCCACCACTCCTGGCTAATTTTTGTATTTTTAGTAGAGACGGGGTTTCACCATGTTGGCCAGGATGGTCTCGATCTCCTCACCTCGTGATCTGCCCGCTTCAGCCTTCCAAAGTGCTGGGATTACAGGCGTGAGCCACCACCCCCGGCCCCATCCTGGGCTTTCTAATCTGGATACCTCTCTCTGTTTCGCCAGACTATCTTCTAAGAAATCTCTACTGCCTCCTTATTTCAGCTACTGCTTCCAAGTATATGAATCCTCAGTCCTCAGGTGTGGCAAGCCTGTATCATCAGTTCTACTCCAGTTTCTCTGCTGGACAGTAATATTGAGTACTCACAGAATTTACCTTCAGTTTTTTCTTTTAACAAATATTCAGAAATTCTACAAGCAGAAGTAAAATTTAAAGGTGCTGTACAATGGTTTCCATAAGAATTAATAGCGCACAGGCTCACCAGTCACTTTAATACAGTACTTCGCATTTATACAGACAGACAGACTTTTTAAAAAATAATTTCTACTTGTTGCATTTTTGTTTACTGTCACAAAACTCAGCGGGTAGAGAAAATATTTTGATTTCCATTTTATAAATGAAGAGGCTATTAAAATATTTAGGAAACTTGCCCAGTGTTTTGAATTGAATGATAGTTTTCCTCTATTTCATCTTGCCTTTCTTATCCTGAAATAGACTCTTTAAATTAACCAATAACCATTGTATTGTTTTTGTTTTCTTAATCATGTTAACACTGCTGTATTTTCGAGTTACCAAGTTAAAAATGCTGAGTCGTTTTATAATCATGACTGGTATAAGAATCATATTTTGTTTTTTTTGTTTGTTTTTTTTTTGAGATGGAGTCTTGCTCTGCCCTCCAGGCTAGAGTGCAATGGCAGGATCTCTGCTCAGTGCAACCTCTGCCTCCCAGGTTCAAGCAATTCTCCTATCTCAGCCTCCTGAATAGCTGGGATTACAGGTCCGGCCACCACTCCTAGCTAATTTTTGTATTTTTAGTAGATACGGGTTTTACTCTGTTGATCAGGCTGGTCTTGAACTCCTGAACCTCAAGTGATCCATCCACCTCAGCCTCCAAAAGTGTTAGGATTACAGGCGTGAGCCGCAGCACCTGGTCATATTTTGCTTTTAACAATTGATTTTCTCTTTAATGTTTGATTCCTTATAACAATACATAAGTTTAATAGCTATAATCATTTTTGTTTCCTTCACCTCTTTGCCATAAATTTATATATTTCTTAAAGGCAGGGACTCATTTTTTGAAAATATTATTCTGATTCAGTCTAAACTACTTTTTACTTAACTCAGTGTTATGGAGCAAATGTTTCTGTCCTGCTACCCCCTCCACCCCACCCAAATTCCTGTATTGAAACCTACTCCTCAAAAAGACTATATTTGATGATAGGGCCCGGGAGGAGGGGGCTAAAGGTTAAATGAGGTTATAGGGTGGGGCCGTAATCTGATAGTCTGGTGTCCTTTCAAGAAGATGAGACACCAGAACTCTGTCTGCCCTTTGAGGACACAACAAGAAGGTGGCTGTTTGCAATCCAGGAAGGGAGCCCCCATGAGGAACCAAATTTACCAGATTTTATTTTGGACTTTCAGCCTCCAGAACTTTGAGAAAATTAATTTCTGTTGTTTTAGTCCCCGACTCTAGATACTTTGTTATGGCAGCTTGAGCTGACTGAGATGCTCAATAAAATGTCTCCTGTTCTAATTTAGGGAATTCATGTTGTCAATATGGGAGACAGAAGGGAAACATTATAAAGTCAACAAAGGATTCTGTAGTATGTTTATAAAGTGTATTCCAAAGTTAAATTTGACAACTTAATTTTACCTTAATAAATTAAAGTTATCAGTTCTATTTCAGCTATTTTGAAGTAATATTTTCAAAAAAGATTTACTTTGCCCTTTGGATCAATGGAATGTATCATAAATATGAAGATTATTTAGACAAGCATAAATTTTAAATAGAGCATATTAGGAAATTTTAATTAAAAATGCATCATATATAGTTTGCACTTATAAAATTGGTAAGAAAGAAAATAATTTTTTATTTTTATAGTATTTATTCGTAACATATTAAGTTCTAATAAGGATTCTAAGAATAAAACTGCAGGTAACACATCATTAGCCATATATACTGAAAAAGTAAAATTAATAAATAAGAAAATGAATCATAAATAATTAATTTGTATGTGGTAGGGTTCCAAGATGGATAACAGATAACAAAAAACATAGCAAAAAGAGTGAGGTGGAAGGAACATAGTGAAAATGTCTTTTTTTCTTCAATCTAATCCTAGTTAGAACAGAGTGTAACATTATTACCTTAATCATTAGCTAAATTACAGAATCTACTGTATCTCTCCTCTAAACCTTTAGTATATTCATCCTCACATCAACTTTCCTAAATGATCTATAAAAATATGTTTATTATGATTAATTATGTATTTAAGAGGATTAATACAGTCATATGCTGCTTAACAATAGGGAAAAGTTACCAGAAATGTCTCATTAGGCAATTTTGTCATAGTGTGAACACCATGGAGTGTACTCACACAAACTGTGTGGAATAGCTTACTACATACCTAGGCTATCTTATATAGCCTAGTCCTTCTAGTATAGAGACCTATACAGCATGTTACTGTACTGAGGACTTGAGGCAATTGAAACACAATGGTATTTGTGTATCTAGCCATGTCTAATCATAGAAAAGCTACATTAATAATATGATATTGTTGCTTAAAAAATGATTACCACAAATGGATCTTGCAGGACTGGAAGTTGCTCTGGGTGAGTCCGTGAGTGCATAGTGAGTGAATATAAAGGATATTACTGTACACTACGATAGACTTTATAAATATTGTGCACTTAGGCTACCAACTGTATAAAACAAATATATTCTTCAATAATAAATTAGCTTATTGTAACTTCCTTTATATGCTTTCTAATTTTTTAAACTTTTTTGCTGTCATGTAATAATTTACTTAGCTTAAAGCACAAACACATTAACAGCAGTAGAAAAATATTTTCTCTCTTTACAGCCTTATTCTATAAATTACCCTGTAATTTTTTTTTCCTTTTTTACTTTTTTGTTAAAAAAGTAATACGCAAACACATACATTAGCCTAGGCCTACACAGGGTCACGATTTTATATATGTATTATATATATTGAGTAATATATATAATATTTATATATTATATGTAATTAATATATATAATATTTATATATAATATATATAAAATGTTATCAAATGTTATATATTATATATATCTGTGTATTTTATATATATATATATATATATATATATATATATATATATATATATATATATAAAAAAATGTCAAGAAGACAGTGATATATACCTCCACATCTTGTCCCACTGGGAGGTCTTCAGGGGCAGTAACACACAAGGAATTATCATCTCCTGTGATAACAATGCCTTATTCTGGAATATTTCCTGGAGGACCTACTTGAGGCTGTTTTGTGGTTAATATTTTTTTTTTGTAAGTGAAGAGAAAACACTCTAAAATAATGAAAAAAGGGCATAGTATAGTTATTATATAAAACATAGTATAGTTATTATATAAAACAGTAACATATTTGCTTATTATAATTATCAAGTATTATGCACTGTATATAATTATATGTGCTATACTTTTATAAGACTGGCAATAAAGTAAGCTTGTTTACATCAAAATAGCCACAAACATGTGAATAATGCATTGGATTATGATGTTACAATGGTTATGACATCACAAGATGATAGGAATTTTTCGTCTCCATTATAATCTTATAGGACTGTCAGAGTATATGTGGTTCATCATTGACCAAAACATCATTATATGGTTCATGACTATATTTTATTTTCCAACTAATATGAATTTAAGAATAAAATGAATATTTGTATATACACAAAGGAAACTGAGTTTTGATAACATAATATTTAGTGTTTTGATAACATTTTCCTGAGCCCTCAGTCTGTTTGTTTTTGCATATAGCAATCTTTCCCCAAACAAATGTTGCACAAAGAACAGCTCAATCTAGCTAGCTAATGAGCCCCTCTGGTCTTATTTAAGAAAGTTTTCAAACTCTCAGTCTTTCGCTATCTAGGAATTAAGGGAAAAATTGAATCTGAAAACTACCATTGCAAGATGATGTATATTTGTAGCTTCAAATATTTTATATGCAAATTAGAAAATAGACAAACTGTAAGACTAGAACAAAAATACCATATCAAAAATTTCTATGTTGACTTTTAGAAATCTCAATTGCCTTTAATGTCGTATACATCCTTCAATACTTTTAGGAAACCCATCCTACTGGAAATTCATTTACCTAAAATTTTATTTTTTTAAATTTGTTGTTATGTTTTTGGAAAATCTTTAACAGTTTACCAGCTAGTAATAAAAAAGTTTAAATAAAATGAAATGTAACTTAAAATGTTGGCTTAGAGAATTGAAAATAAATGTTTTTTTAACCTAACTTTTTACATAAGGAAGTTTTTTCTAACAATTTTTTCCCTTGGTGTAGTAGATTGAATGGCAGTCCCCCAAAAGATATGTCCATATCCCATAACTTGCAAATATGACCTTAATTGGAAGAGTTCTTTGCAGATGTCATTAAGAATCTTAAAATAATATCAATATGGATTATACAGGTATGTGCTAAATCTAATGATAAATATTTTTATGGGATGCACATGATAGAGACGTATACACAAGAGAAGGCCATTTAAAAATGAAAGCAGAGATTAGAATGACGCAGGCACAACCAAGGAAAGCCAAGAGCCACCAGAAGCTGGAAGAGGCAAAAGGTTCTCCCTTAGATACTTTTAGATCCTTTAGACCATCGTGCCTAAATTTGGATTGTAGACTTCTGGTTTCCAGGTCTATGAGAGAATATATTGTTGTGGTTTTAAGACATCAAGTTTGCAGTAATTTGTTACAGCTGCCCTAGGAAATGAATATACTTGGTAAGTTACCAAATTTAATAGTTTGTTCTATACATTGCAAATCCCACTGACTCTATAATTCAAGTTTATTGTTTTGTGCAAAATCGTGTTCAAAAGACAGGAAAAAAGTTAAAATAAGTGATCAATTCATAAGCTTTTGCATGTAAAAAGAACTTAAAAATTATAGAACTCAAACTCTTTATATTGCAGAGGAAATCAAGTTGAGAGAAGCACAAGGTCTTACTCTAGCTCACAAAACCTGAACTAAAAACACCAGCCTTCCTTTATACAACCATTTGAAATGTAAACAAATGTCCATGTTAATCACAGCTTATGCTCCAGGTTACTGTTTTTCCCTCAGTATTAATCTGCTAGGGGTGCCATTAAAAATAGCACAGACTAGATGACTTAAACAATAGACATTTTCTCACAGTTTTGGAGGCTGAAGGTGCAAGATTGAGGTGTCAGCAAATTTGATTTCTGCTGAGGGCTTTCTTCCTGGCTTGTAAAAGCCACCTTCTCACAGTGCTCTTACATACCTTTCTCTTTGCTTGGGCAGAAAGAGACAGAGCTCTAGTCTCTATTCTTTTGTAAGAATACAAGTTGGGTTGGATGAGGGCTCCAACCTTATGACCTCATTTCAAATAAAGTTACCCCTTATAGGCCGTGTCTCGGAAGGTTATCACATTGAGGGTTAGGGCTTTAACATATACATGTGGGGGTGACAGCATTTCATCTATGACAACTCTTAAAGAAGAGCTAGTTATTAGTACATCTTTAAGTATAAAAATGACATAACTGAAGCAACTAATTGGATATTAATTTTGTCTCCTTTATCACAACCTAGACCTGATTTGAAATTCAAGTCATCCCCAAAGAGACTTCAATTCTCTAATTTTTTTTCTTTTAATAGAAATCACATTTGTGGTAGCTATCAAAAGTAAAGTCATATAATTTCTGGTTGTGACTATAATTTTCAGTCAAAATAATATATTGTGTTGTATATAAATGCATTTCTAGACCTGTGTATAGTAATTCCATGGTAGATGTGACAAGAAAATGATAAACTAAAGGGGACTGTCTCAGACTGTTTGGGCTGCTATGACAAACTACCATAGAATGGGTGGTGTATAAAAATTAGTAATTTATTTCTCACATTTCTGGAAGCTGGAAAGTCCTACATCAAAGCTCTGGCAGAACTGGTGTCTGTGAAGTCCCCCTTCCTGGTTCATAGACAGTTGTCTTCTCCCTACAACCTCACATGAAGTAAGGGGCAGGGAGTCCCTCTGGGGCCTCTTTCATAAGGGCACTAATTTCATTCAGAAAAGCTTCACTTTCATCATCTAATCACATCTCAAAGGCCCCATTTCCTAAAACTTTCATGCTGGGGATTAGATTTCAACACATGAATTTGTGGGGAGGGGAGGCATGAACATTAAGTCTATAGCAGAGACTGAGAAAATAATCCGATAAACATTTTTTACTCATTTAAAAGCTAGCTCCTCTTGATGTTTTTCCTGCTGTTCTCACCCTAATTCTTTGTTTTGTGACCGTGAATCGTGTTCAGTCTTCTGAAAACTCTGCCTGATTGAGGATTTCTATATAAGTGAGGAAGGTCAGTAATGGATATTTTCACACTTTAGCCAAAAAGAACAGAAAAGAATCTTCAAAGTTCGTGATAAACAGAGCAATATTTGGGGATCGAAACAGTCCCTTAGATTCAATGCTAGGTGTCTTTCCCAATCTTAGCTTCACAACTTCCCAGCCCTATCAGCTACTTACTCTGAGCAGGGAGTCGAGCAGATCCTGCTGTCAGAAAGAGTCTGGGAAAAAAAAAAAAAAAGAAAAGATACAGCTGCTGCAGGCATATATTGTACCTGCCAATTTCACAAAATGAAAATGAG
The DNA here is from genome assembly GCF_000001405.40 of Homo sapiens. Classification (NCBI taxonomy): domain Eukaryota; kingdom Metazoa; phylum Chordata; class Mammalia; order Primates; family Hominidae; genus Homo; species Homo sapiens. Next base: position 31,579,607 of record NC_000004.12, on the reverse strand, counting down.
GGTGATATATAGTGTCCACAAGGTATTCAGTTACTTTTTTTTTTTTGCCTCTCTTAATTCCTTTTTCTATTTTCCGGTCTGAATACCTTATATTCCCTTTTCTCCCTCAATATATTTTCTCTGAGCTCTTGTCCTTGCTTGTCACTCGGGTAGGCATACCAGAATCAGAATTGAAGCATCCCAGATCAACACCTTTGATATTTCAAAAGACCAGGAGGCATTGATAATGACCATAGGATAGTGTCCTCCTTCCTGTCACAAGAAATGCAGACAAATGGCAGTCCATAAGATTAGCTGCTTCAACTTGTTGTAATGTAAAGTAGAAAATGATCAGGCCACCTTAAAAAGGATGGAAGCAAGAGGAATTATACCTCTTCTGAACTCATTAATTGAAATTAGTTATTTAATCACATTACTCTCTGGAATTTAGACATGGCACTTTCAATTTCATTTGGAGGCAATAAATAACTAAAGTTTGACAATCTAGATCTGATTTGAGTCTTCACCTTACTTAAATATGTAAGCCTAACTTATAAATGTGCTATTATTGTGTTTATGAGAACTCTAATATGATTCACTAGTATCTTAAACATGCCTGTCTCAAATGAGGTATTTAGCCTAAAGTATAGGAGTTATAATTTTTTAAATGAAGGCAAATTAAGAGACATTTGTATTCACACTGATAATACAGCTTAAACAATTAATGAGAGCTTTAAAAACGTTATTGGGTTTTTTTCTAACACAAGATATTCATTCTAAAAATCAAAATTACACATGTGTAGGAAAAAAGACGTCTTATCTTCTAAAGCCACACCCAATGAAGTCACCTCAAACATATACACAAGGATACAACCCTAAAGTTCATCTATGGAAGTAATTGATTTATGGTGCATTCATACTATGAAATCTCTCACAGATCTTTAAAAATAATTGGTTAGGGCCAGGCACAGTGGCTCACACCTGTAATCCCAGCACTTTGAGAGGCTGAGGCAGGTGGATCACCTGAGGTCAGGAGTTTGAGACCAGCCTGGTCAACATGGTAAAAACCCATCTCTGCTAAAAATGTAAAAAATTAGTCAGGCATAGTGGTGGGTGCCTTAATCCCAGCTACTCTGGAGGCTGAGGCAGGAGAATCACTTGAACCTGGAAGCTGGAAGTTGCAGCAAGCTGAGATCATGCCATTGCACTACAGCCTGGGTGACAAGAGTGAAACTTCATCTCAAATAATAATAATAATAATAATTGATTCGATTTGAAATTTAAAACACATCAAATTAATTGCAGTACTCTTTTGGAATATGAGGTGATGGAGAATAGACAAAGGACACATTCTTTTTTGTCAAATTAATATTGTATCTAGTAGATAATTTGTAAATTTTTGGGTTGTAAATGAGAATGATGAAACTTTAAGATGTTCTCTTGAATTACATATCTATTACTAACAATAAAATACATTATTTCATATATTACAATCCTACAGGGAAAAAAGTTCCACTTATGGACAACTCATTCCATCTTCAATGATGAAGACAGACTTTGGGGAAAAAGAGAAAATCACTTGGAACCACTCAAAAGAATCCATTGCTTTTATAAGTTGAATTATAATAAATAAGCTTTCCAAAGAAAACTAGACTGAATCCTTTCTTTTGTTCTTTTGTCAAGACACAAGATTCTCAAAGCTATATGTGTGTTTATGAGTGATTTAATGATTTACATTTTTTTAACATAAACTTACTAAGTAATCGAACTTAAATTTGCTAGACTCTTAATAGTCATTGAGAGGTAATCAACATATCTATTGTTTTGAAAGGATCTCATCTGTTATCTAAACTAATAAAATACATATTTGGTAATAATTTATGTGTTCAAAACCAGTGTTTACTTAAGTAATTTAATACATAAGTTGCTATTGTAGAAACTGCAGTGTTGTGTACACTAGGCCCTCTGTTGCCGCTCTCCTCAAGAAGGTAAATTAATAGAAGAAATATGAAACTAAGATACTTCTAAATTATGATTGTATGTGGTACAAACTGTATGTGAGGACAAGAAGGCATAAACATGCTTAGACAATGAGCATTAGTCAATGTGCTGAATGGGAAAAATAGGCACATGTTAGTCAAATAATCTCTCCCTACACACGTATCCCTAATAACATAAAAGCATTTTAGGTATTAGCATATAGTATATTTATTACATGTACACATTTTTCTTAGAGATATCTGCTTACTGCCACAATTTCCATAGTATATGAACAAAATTATTTTGTTCTCCTTATGACCATACCTATTCTGCTATTTTGAAGCATCTTATAACATTTTTTTCTTATATTTTTTCTCAAGCCAAGGACAAATACCTTTACTATTGCAGGATGCCAGCTTAGTTCGTCATATATTATGGATTCCCAGCTAGCCACAACTCGGCTGCTTCACTGGAAATTGTGCTTTCAAATATCTAACTGTACTTTCTCTCTTTTTGTTAGAGATCCTAATTTTTTAAGTAATTTCAACTTTCATTTTAGATTCAGAGTGTACACGTGCAAGTGTGTCACATGGGTATATTGCGTGATGCTGGGGCTTGGGATATGGATGATTCAGTCACCTAGGTAGTGAGCATAGTACCTCTCAGGTAGTTTTTCAGTACTCTGCCTCTAGTACCCCCAGTGTCTATTGTTTCCTTCTTTATGTCCATGTGTACTCGGTATTTCCATATGTACTCGGTATTTAGCTCCAATTTTAAGTGAGAACATGTGGCATTTACTTTTCTGTTCTCAAGTTAATTCACATACGATAATGGCCTTCAGCTGCATTCATGTTGCTCCACAGTATATGATTTCATTCTTTTTTACGGATGCATAGTATTCCATGGTGTATGTGTACCACATTTTCTTTATCCAATTCACCATTGATGAATTGCAGCCAACAAATGTATGAAAAAATGGTCATCATCACTAGTCATCAGAGAAATGCAAATCAAAACGACAGTGAGATACCATCTTAACACCAGTCAGAATGGCTAATATTAAAAAGTCAAAACATAACAGATTCTGGTGAGGCTGCAGAGAAAAGGGAGTGCTTATACACTGTTGGTGGGAATGTAAATTAATTCAACCACTGTGAAAAGCAGTTTGGAGATTTCTCAAAAAACTCAGAACTACCAATGGACCCAGCAATCCCATTACTGGGTATATACCCAAAGGAAAATTAATCGTTCTACTTCTCTATCATTCATACTCCATTCCAGTTTACCATGTAACAGCTGTCAGCATATCCCATTGTGATCTATGCTTCTCTCAGAGCTGTGAACACTGCCTTACAGTTGATATTCTGGCTAAATTCCAGACCTTCATTAAAAGTAAACCTGCCTTGCCACTTAAAACTAATTTTTACTTTATTTGATGCTGTTAAAAACTGCTCCAAGAGTTTACAACATTATAACTCTAGTCAAACTGTCTTTGATTCAAATGAGCTAGAAAAACAAATAAATGGTACAAGCAAGCAATGGAGAAAATGTATTTTATCATTAAACATCTGGCATCACGACTTAGGTTTATGTACTAGCTGTGTGGCCCTGGCTTAGTTAAAATGTTTGTGACTGAGTAGCTTTATTTATATCAGTGGTTCTCAGCCAGGGGTAATTTTGCCATCCAGGGTACATTTAGTCATGTCTGGAGTCATTTTTATTTATGACTACTGGTATCTTAATAGGGACAGGTCAACTCTGCTTTTTGAAGATCATACAATGAAAAGGATGGTCCTGCAAAACAGAATTATGCAGCCCACAATGTCAACAGGACCAATGTTGAGAAATCCTGATTTGTATAACAATGGCCACTAGAATACCTTCTTTATAGAGGGCTTTATAAGGTTAAAGGCAAGTCTTTACATCTCTCCGCAAGGCCCTGTACATTCTGCCTGCACTACCCGCCCCACCCTCACTTCAGAGCATGTATTCTCCTCTATTATCTCCTCCTGCTTTTCTCCTCACTCATTCTGATCTATTCTCATTAGGCCTGGGATTCCAGGCCTACTTTTGCCTTAGGATGCTCACACAAGCTGCTCCCTCCCCTAGAAGCAATACTGCCCTGAGATATCTGCAAGACTAACCCCTTTTCTTCAAGTCAATGTTCAAATGTGGTCTTTCCCATGAAGCTTATTTAAAATTTTAAACTACCCTATTTAAAATTGCATCCACCCATTCCCACAGACATATATATATATATATATATATATATATATATATATATATACTCCTGACACTCTTCTCTATGCTTTTTTCCATATCATTGAACTCAATATAGCATAATACATATTTACCTGTTATTTTCATTAGCTATTGATTGTGACCTTGATAGAATGTCAGATTAAAAGAGCAGAGATTTATGTCTTTTTTTAATTGATGTGTCCCATGTGTGTGGGAGTGCACAGCTGAGTTTTAATAAGTATTTGTTGAATGTACCTGCCTCACTTTATTATTAAACAAAAAAAGTTTAATAAATATTTGTAGAATGATTTTTATATTGAGCACTTTGCATACCACTACCATTTAGTAAACAATAGAAAAGGATGTATATTATGATTACCTATGTTGTTATTATGCAAAATAGCAGTCAATGTTCAACTGCCAACATTAGTGTTGATATAAAATGAAAGAAATCTCTAGGCACCACTGAAATGGAAAAAGACTTAAAAATTACATCTAGTATCTTTTAATGGACATAAAGCTAAATGTGAAAATTTGTTCAATATATTTTTGTGCCTCCTAGATGAAATAGGGTATCTCTATATTTAGGGTGGAAACACCTTCAGGATTGACACTTGCCTTTCTCTTTTTTAATATCCCTTCAATAGTACATGCTGTGTTCTGTGTGTACATTATCTAGAGTTTTGTTTTTGCAAATCAACACATTTTACCTAATTTTTCTGCCACTGTACTTGGGTGCCAAGAATCATTTATTCTCCTAAGAGCTGTAGTGGTAGAGAAAATATCTTTACCTTGCTATGAAAAACCCATAATTCCAAGTGTCAATAACTGGGAATTGACATAGAAAATTACACATTTTCCCTTTTATATATCTTAAATTTTCTCAAGAACTTGGGCAACTGCCCTCTCTTGATTTATTATAATAAATGATTACCAACCTTCTCCAACATTTAATTTTCCTCCCCTGATTTTCAGTAATTAGAAACCTCTGGAAATTGGAGCATGTCTTAGAAATTTTTATGGCACCGATGCACTAAATGATTTTACTATGACCTTATTCACTTGTGAGTTGTAGAACATTGCCAGAGAAAGCCAAGTGAAATGAGGTACCTTGCTTTTGCTAACATTTTATTGTCCTAACAAGTATTTTCAATCCAGGTTTACCACTAAGTGCTTGCATGAACAAATTTCACCTTATCATGTAGCAGGAAGTAAATATTCTAATGATTCTACAAAGGGCAAATGAGTCACATAATAAAGTGACTTTCTTATGAACATTTCTTTTTTACTAAAACCCATAATACAATCGAAATGATCTCAGGTTGTTTGCCTAATCTTCTAGTCTAATTCTAGTCCCTTGGTGTCTAAACAAAATGGATAATTTTACTTCTGATTTTCTCTCTACTAATTCGTTGCATCCCCTTTGCCCTTTTCAATGCTTAAAATGTAGTTATTGGAAAAATAAAAGCAAATCCTATTTGTACACACATGCAATGAGTGTTTTTTTTTTTCATTACAAGTTCTTGTGCTCTGCAAGCTAACATTATCAACACCTTAAACCTATTGCCTCGAAATGTCAGGGAATTAAGAAATGCCTGCCATGCCTATCTGACGTGCTGAAGCCATGAAACCTTCCAAGTTTATACTTGTCTATATTAGCAGTTCCTTTCGTGATTCAGATCTAATTTGAATGGTTATAAGCAGCCCTGATTGTGCTACCTTCTATACCCAACTAGTGGGTGACTATTGCTTCTCACCCACCTGTCGCTGCTGAGAGTAAATTAAGTACTCAACCTAGGAAGATTTTGCTCTATTAAGACAAAAAGTGACGTGTTGGTTCAATTTAAACTGTCAGATAATATTTATTACAATGATCACTTGGAGGGTATACATAGTCACCCTCCAAGAATTAACATCTAAAGAATTAAAACTCATTAGATGTTTTTGTTTAGATGTAATGTGTTATGGCACTTCTTCCCAGTAGATTTATGTAGGAAAAGTTGTCACTTTTCTAGGCTGTTTTAAATGTATGTAATTAATTATTTGGCAAAGTAGTTTTCTTTAATTTCCTACAAAGGTGAAAATGGAACAAAGTTATTTTTCCAAAAGATTTATGCCGTATTGTAGGCAAATTTGTAAAGGCTGATCACATTATATATGCTTTAGAAATAGTGTCAAACCTAGACTTTTTGTGTGAGAGCAATCGTTTCAGAGATTGTTGAGAAGAATTAGAAATCATAAAATCAAATATCTCTTCTAATGAAATACAGATGCCAGAAATGCAAGAAATGCAAATAACAAGTTTAAGCTGTAGTTTTTTTGTGTGTGTGTGTTTTTTTTTTTCGCAAATGCACTGTCCATTAATTTAAAAGGACTTAGAGCTTATTTTAAGAGAATTATTTTCTTCACACCATATATCTAAAACATTTTTTGCTTTGCTTCCCTCTCCCATTTACACATCATTTTAAGCACTAAGTGTTGAACATACTCCCTTTATCATACAGGTAAGCCTACAATTCATTTCCAGAGTAGTTCTACATTTAACCACAATTTAGATTTCTGGAAGTCTAGTAATCTGTCCCTGAATTTGGGAAAGTTTAGTAAAGATATATGGCATTCACACTTTACAATTCTTAATGATAAATTTAAAACCAAATATAGCAAATTTTATGTTTTTTCTCATCTTTTTTATATTTGTATTTCTCCTTTGAATTTTCATTCTCACATTTTCATTGTTTAGACTTAATAGCAACATAACCTCTATGTCCTTCATAGTCCTTTTTATTAAGTTTTAATTATGACACGAAAGAAGTGAAAACAAAATGCCTTAAGAAAAAGTAGGATGTGGTGTATCGCCATCAGTGGCCCTGTGAACTGTAGCTTTCAATGCAATCGCATGACTCGTCTAACACTGACAATATCCAATAGTTATTTTTTTTAAAAAAAAAATAGGCTTATAAAGCCCCAAATGGAAAGCTTTATTATTTGGTTATATTTTTTCCTAAAGATTTTTATTGATCCTTAAATCAAAGGAATTTCCTTGTTGATGTATCAGTGTAGCTCTCAAGTTTTTTGTGTGCATTCCAAGTTGTGAAATAAAATGAAAAAAGGACCTCAATTCATGAAGTCAATCAAATTATTATGACGGTGCTTTATTTATTCCCTGGGATACTGCTCCGAGAGCAATAGCTTTCTTGTCAGATTTATTTTCTGATCTTTAACCTTGATATGTGTATTTATTAGATTACCACTGGCATCCATGCTTTGTTAAAGAAATTTGAGTGTTTAAAAAAGAGTGAGGTTTGTAGAAATATCAACTTTTGTACACAGCAGAGAGTCCAAAGGGCAATTTGTGGCTGATCACAGAGTAGAAAATATAATCCTAAACTGTATAGAAGCAGGGTTTCATAGATTGCCTTCACCCCACCTTTGAACCAAGTGAATATCTCAAGAACATGTATGCTGTGTTCTTTATGAGAATAAAGTTTGAAGCAAATTTGTCCTATGTTTAAGTTCTTTTTTTATCATGTACTTATGTGGCTTTTTTACAAGTTATTTAATGTCCCTGAGGGGCAATATCTTCTTTTGTAAAATAAGGATATTGATACCATTTCATATGATCATTGAGAGAACTGAAGAGGCAGAACTTACAGTGTAATTGTTAAGAATCCTGGTTATGCCAGAGTCAGAGGGTCTAACTTTGAACTCTACTGATTCTGAACCTATCAGTAATGAAGTATATTTTGGGGGCAAGTTACTTAACCTCTTTGAGCTCATATATATGATATGGATACTAATATTTCCTCCTACATTTCATTTTCACAACCCTTCATAAGGATTAAATAACATGGTTATACTAGTTTTCTATTGTTTCTTATTATCTCTGCATATTTCGCAGCTTAAAACAATACCCATTCATTATCTCACAAATTCTGTAGGTCAGGGGTCTGAACATGCCTAACTGGGTCCTCTGTTTAGGGCCTTACAGAAATGTAAGTATTGGCCAGGTTATATATCTTCCTGGAGCTCCAGTGCTTTTCCAAGGCCATCTAGTTATTGGCAAAATTCACCTCCTCCTGGTTGTCGGACTGCCATCCCTGTTTTCTTTCTGGCTCTCAGCAGGGGGATGCTCTCACCCAACCTTTCACAGTACAACAGTTTAATTCTTCAAGGCCAACAATTTCCTCTCTTCAAAAATGATCTAGTCCTTCTTTTATGAGATTTTACCTTACCCGACTAAGTTAGGCTAACCTAGAAAATTCTCCCTTTTGATCAACTCCTAAGCAATAAATTTGGATTCTTTATTACATCTGCTAAATTCCCTTACCTTTGTCTTATAGTGCAACCTAATTATTGTGGTGGCATAGCATCATATTTATGTATTCCATCCACAGGCAAATGGAGAGAATTATCTGAGGCATGGGTACCAGTGATGGATATCAGGTAGGATTTTGCCTACCATTGCGACGAAGAAAAGTGTTCAGTACCAAATCTGGCAAGTAGTATAAATATTCAATGTACGTTAGCTATTATCATGTACAGGACTTTGCCTAGTTGATAACTCTCTAAAGAGTAACTACTAAAATTATGATTATTTTGACTACTCAGTGAATTAATACAACATATTTTCCTTGCCAACATGTTTGACCTCAACAACATTTGCATTGTTATCTTATCACTCATCAAGCTTCAATAATTTCCTTGATCAATTGGGAATTTGCATTTTTTTGTGTTAGTAAGACTTACAGTAGCAAGTGTTGTGATATTCCTGTAGCTACAAAAAAACCCCACAAACTTTAGTTTCAAAAGAAAAATCATGTAGTGGCTACTTTCACTAAGTTTTCTGGAGAAAATTAATATTTTGGATTTCATCTGGCCAAGAAAAAATGTTTTATAGAATGAGGTTCATGAACATCAGGACAAGTAAGTATTGTTTTATCTGATATTTGACATATTATGTACCAGTTCAGCTGACTATTGTATTCAGTGTCTCTTTTCCCTTTGTACTTGGTTAAATTAAAAATTAAACAGGCTTGGTGTGGTGGCTCCCAGCACTTTGGGAGGCCAAGGTGGAAGGAACACTTGAGTCCAGGAGTTCAAGTCTGCAGTGAGCCATGATCATGCCACTGTACTCCATCCTGAGTTACAGAGGAAGATTCTGTCTCAAAGTATATATATATACACAAAATGAAATCTTATGTTGACGTTTTCGTTGTTCGAAAATGGGTTCAAGAGATTCTCTGGCCTCAGCCTCCCCAGTAGCTGAGATTACAGGCGTGCAACACCTTGTCTGGCCAATTTTTTTTGTATTTTTAGTAGAGACGGAGTTTCACCATGTTGTTCAGGCTGGTCTCGAACTCCTGAACTCAACTGATCCAGCTGCCTAGGCTTCCGAAAGTGCTGGGATTAAGGCTTGAGCCACTGAGCCCACCCAAGATTTTGTTTTTAAAATAAAAATTCTTATACATGGTTAAAAGGTAATTTATAAGACTACTTTGCCTTAATTGTATTTAAAATCATTTAAAGCCCCACACTATTTAGTGTATATAAGGCTGGGATAAACACCATCATTTTTCAATTTCTCACAAATGATGGCGTTTTTTTCCCTAAAATTCTGTGAGCATAGTAATTTCTAATTATGTACAAAGGAGGGAATATTCAGTACTTATTTTATTAGCACCATTTTGGGATATTTTTCTGATTATAATTTTCTCTTTGGACCAAATTAGAGATCTTTTGATTCCCAGAGAAATTTACAACTTCATTGAGTCTAAATAGCTGCCCCACTGACAGTCATTTTCCAAAAACTGTGGTTGTAATATGAGCTGAAATTCATTACTATCTGGATCTGTTAAAAGGAAAAGCGAGTTAAGATTCCACACTGGGGAGAATTGCATCGGCTGAATGCTGTCTTTTTCATAAAAACATAAGACTATAACAGAAATCTATTCCCACTTAAAATTGTACCCCAGATACTATGCTTTGTAAATCATTTTATTTCCCCTAGAAAACATTTCCATTCATTCTCGAGTGATAACTAGAGGTGACTTTTCCATGTGTTTTTGAACTAGTAAGTGTAGGTAATTATTTCTTAAAGGTTGACAAAATGAAGTCAAATCAGATGGTAGAAGGATCTTTAGGTAACAACGCCTTTAATGTGTACCATTAATAATGGCAGAGTAGTTTAATCAATCTTCGTCACAGAAGCTACCAATGATCAATCTGTAAATTAGAATATTGAAAACATTTAAGTTGTTTAAAGGTTCATATATGCACAATTTGGTGCCAAAATGCAAATTCATGCATACATAAAACTTTGTGCTGACCACTTTTTTCTAATTTGGCATATTTAAGGAAATAAATGTCATAGCAATGTAGAGTTCTGCTCATTTAGTAATAATAACATATTTTCATTGAAAATTTTATTTCTATAAGATAATTCAATGGATGAGAACAATTGGTTCTTATTGTCTCAAGTAGTGTATAGAATTAGTGGGAATGAGCAACCAAAGTTTTACAAAAGCTATAATTATGTTCAAATCTTAACTATTTACATTGCATATTGGAAATCCTCCACTTGTTAATAACAGCGATTTTCATTCCAGTTTAAAGATCTAATATTTGTAAGACGTACCCTTCATTTTAATTTAGCTACATAGAGATAAACAGGGTGATAAGAATTTCACACCCTCTCAAATAAATTTATACATAAGTTGAATATAAACTAATACATGTTGCCATTTAGGCATTCAAAATTTACTTCTAAAGTCTTCTGAAACTCAGCTTTACTGACCTGTGCCAGATTACCTTATGGTTTATTTAGAAAGAAATTCTTCCCTTAGCCTTTGGGAATATAACACAGACAAAGTACAGAATTTTTGTCAATCCAATGCTCTTTGTCTCAGATTAACTGTCAATACAGTGTTATTTCATGCTGGAATATTTCATGGTTTTCTGTATTTGAAAAAACTTTCCAGAGCATGGCAGGATTTCAGGTTCTTTTCATCCTCAAGTAGATACTTCTGAAGAAATAGCTCTGACATATGTTTAAAATGGCATAAAACAGGTGTTAGCAATCTCTTGTGGGCCAAATCCGGCTGACTGCCTGTTTTGAAAATAAAGTTTTATTGGAACGGAGCCATTCCATTTGTTTAAGTATTGTCTATGGTTGTTTTCATGCTACAATGGGAGAGCTGAATTGTTGTGACAGAGACTACATGTTCTGGAAAGTATGAACTGTTTACCGTCTGGCCCTTTATGGAAAAAGTTGACTATTTTTTGGCATAGAGGAAAATGGGAAGATTCTCAAGTTGAAGTAATATTAATATTTTAATAAAATAATCTCAGTTATTAAAAAGGAAGTTTATATATTATGGCTATTATATTCATTAAACATTGTTTTATTTTTTAATTTTATTTATTTATTTATTTTTTATTTTTTTGAGACGGAGTCTCACTCTGTCACCCAGGCTGAAGTGCAGTGACGTGATCTCGGCTCACTGCAAGCTCTTCTCCTGGGTTCACGCCATTCTCCTGCCTCAGCCTCCCGAGTAGCTAGGACTACAGGCACCCGCCACCATGCCTGGTTAATTTTTTGTATTTTTAGTAGAGATGGCATTTCACCATGTTAGCCAGGATGGTCTCGATCTCCTGACCTCATGATCTGACCATCTCAGCCTCCCAAAGTGCTGGGATTAGAGGCATGAGCCACAGTGCCCAGCCTGCTTTAAATTTTGTACTTTATGTAACATATTTAAAGATGTATTGTTATAAGGTAGAATAAAAATGCATACATGAAAAAGCAGAGATAACATAAGCTGAATTGGCTTGCCTCTAATTTTGAAACCATCAAATCTTTTTGAATTATTACATGTCCTTCAAAGCCTAAAGCAAAATAAATAAATAAATAAATAACACCCACAAGACAATTACCTTTCTGACTTTTACAGAATCACTTTTTCCTGTACATTAGGAACAAGTAAGGTCCAGTTTTGCAATTATTTCTCATCTTTAAAATCATTTTTATTTTCAATTATAGTGAAAATTACAACATAAAATTGACCACCAGTAACCAATGCTCAATTTAATTGTGTTATATTCTTTTTTTTTTTTGTGCAACAGATCTCTAGAACCATTTCCTCTTGCAAAAGTGAAACTCAATTCCCAATCAATGGTACCTCCCTATTTCCCCCTCTTCTCAGCTTCTGGAAACTACTATATAATTTTTTGAATTATATATCATAATTATACATATTTTAGGGTATACATAATATTATGCTACATGTATGCAATGTATAATAATCAAATGAGGGTAATTCAGGTATCCATAACCTCAGATATTTGTCTTTGTGTTGGGAACATTAAAATTCTTCTCTTCTTGTTATTTTGAAATATGGAATAAAGTATTATTAACTATAATTTTCCTACTTTACTATCAAATGCTAGATTGTATTCCTTCTAGCTAACTGTATTTTGTACACGGTAACCAAACTTCTCTTCATCTCCCCTTCCTTGTTTTCATTTCTAGCCTCTGGTAACCACCATTCTATTCTTTACCTTCATGAGATCCACTTTTTCAGACCCACATATGTATCTTTCCATGCCTGGCTTATTTAACTTATCATAATGACTTCCAGTTCCATCTGTGTTGCTGCAAAAGACAGCATTTTATTTTTTTTCAATGGCTAAATAATATCCCACTGTGTATATAAACCACATTTTAAAAATCTACTCATTCATTGATGAGCATTTAGGTTGATTCCATATCTTAGAGATTGTGAATTGTGCTACAGTGAACATGGGAGTGTAGATATCTCTTTGATATACTGATTTCCTTTTTCAAAAATGTATATACTCAGCAGTGGGATTGCTGAATTGTATATAGTTGTATTTTTCAGTTTTTTGAGGAACCACCACACTGTTTTCCATAATGGCTGTACTATTTTACTTTCCCACCAATGGTCTGTAAGTGTTCTTTCTCTGCATCCTTGCCAGCATTTGCTATATGTTTGTTTTTTAAAATAATATTCATTCTGATAGCGACTGGAGACAGACACATTCCTAAGCAGATGGAAACAGGTTCCTGATGAAACCCAACCTTCAAGCCAAGGACATTCTAAAGCCTGAAAACAGAGCTGCCAGTTCCAGATAGAGTCCATGGCTGGAGTAACAACTTCCATCCCATCTTACCCACTCCCTCTCTATTGTTTTCTTCCAAATGATGCCTTCTAACCAGTTGAATTGTGTTCTTTCCAAGACCACCCATGGACCAATCAGCATATACTCCCACATTCTAAGCCCATAAAAACCCCAGATTAAGCCTCACAGACAGCTACCCACTTCAGGTCCCATCTCATTATTGAGAGCTTTTATTTCACCCAGTGAAATTCTATTCTGCCTTACTTACTCTCTGGTGTCTGTGTTCCTCATTCCTCTTGGTCGTGAGACAAGAACCCAGAACTCAGTGAATGGCAGGAGTGAAAGAGCTCTAACACCCCTGCCTGGCAAGCTGTGAGTGGTCGGAATAAAAGAGCTGTAACCCTCTCTCCCACTAAGCGAACAACAGGAGAGAAGCAGCCACTGGGTGCCATTCCCTCCCGTTCACACAACTATAGAAGTGGAAAAGCCACTGGGTGCCACATAATCCTGCTCACTGAGCTATAGAAGTGAAGAAACTGCTGGGCATCACTCTCTCCCACTCACTGAACTATGGGAGCAAAAATGGCACAATAATTCTAACTCAAGTGAGATGGTATCTTATTGCGGTTTTAATTTTCCCGGAAAGGACTTTTTGAAACTAATTTAAGCAACATGCGAAGTGAGGCAAACAATTCTTCAGGGTTGAAAAAAGGTGTTCTCTATTTCAGGAGTAATAAAGAGAAGAAAACACACACACGCATATGTATACTATATCTATTTTACTAGTTTATATTTATATATGTTATAGTTTTAAATTATGTATGTATACAATATATACAGATACAATACTTAAACATAGAGGGTTATAAGAATAAGAGGAGAATACATACATACATGTGGTCGAATAAGATTCTACTCAACGTCTTCATTTATGTAACAATAGAATAGCATTTGGTTTTCACAGTCGTTCGTTCACAGATAATAGCACCAAATAAATCCTACTTCTCCCTCGGCTATAATTGTAGATCAAGCTTCACCATTTGGATAGAAATATGGGAGGACCTGTGTTATTCCTATATTTGTCCCTTTCTCCCCTAATCCCTGGTGAACAACATTTTTTTCACTGTTTCCATGATTTTGCCTTTCTCCAGAATGTCATATAGTTGAAATCATACAGTACATAGCTTTTACAGATTGGCTTTTTTCACTTTGTTATATGCATTTAAATTGCCTCCAAGTCTTTTTATAACTTGATTGCTCATTTATTTTTATCGCTAAATAATGTTTTATTGTCTATGTGTACCATAGTTTATCCACTTGCCTATTGACAGACATCTTGGTGGCTTCCAAGTTTTGGCAATTGTGAATTAAGCTTTTATGAACATCTGTGTGCAGGTTTCTAATTTTCAACTCCTTTAAATGAGTACCAAACTGGATCATAAGGTAAGAGTATGTTCAGCTTTTAAGAAATTGACAAAATGTTTTCCAAAGTGGATGTACCATTTTGCAGTCCCATCAGCAAGAGTAAGATTTCTTATTGTTCCACATCCTCACCAGCATCTGATGTTGCCAATGTTTTCTATCTTGGCTATTATAATAGCTGTGCAGTGTTATATCATTTTTGTTTTAATTTGTAATAGCTTGATAACATATAATGCTGAACATCTTTTAATATGCATACTTGTCTCCTGTGTATCTCCTTTGTTGAACAAAGTGTCTTTTGCCTATTTTTTAACTAGGTTATTCATTTTCATATTGTTGACTCTTAAGAGTTCTTTTTATGTATTGTATAACAGTTCTTTTCAGATGTCTCTTTTGCAAATATTTTCTCCAAATCTGTAGCCTGTCTTCTTAATCTCTTTACAGTGGTTTTTGCACAGCAGTAGTGTTAAATTTTAATGAAATCCAGCTTGTTAATTATTTATTTCATGGATCATGTCTTTGGTGTTGTTTCTAAAAAGTCATGTGACAACCAAGTTCATCAAGGCTCTCTGCTGTTATCTTCTAGGAATTTTATAGGTTTACATTTTACATTTAGGTATATAATTCATTTTGAGTTAATTTTTGAGAATGGTATAAGGTCTGTGTCACTATGCACTTTTTTTCACTTAGATTGCCCATTTTTTCCGCACCATTGGTTGAAAAGATAATTTTTGCCCTTTTGTATTACTGTTGTGACTTTGTCAAAGATCAATCGATTATATTCGTGTGGATCTATTCTGGGGCTCTCTTTTCTGTTCTTTTGTTTTCTGTTCTTTTCTTTTTCTGTTTTTTTTTTTTCTTAGTCAATCATTTTGCCAGTATTATACTGTCTTGATTACTATACCTTAATAGCAAGTTTTAAATTTATGTGTCTCTGACTTTCATCTTCTCTTTCAGTATTGAGTTGGCTATTCTAGGTCTTTTGCTCTCCCATATAAACTTTGGAACAAGTTTGCCAATATTCATATGATAACTTGTTGGGATTTTATTGGACTTTTTCGACTTTAGATCAAGCTAAGAACTGACAACTTGATAATATTGAGTATTCTAATCCATGAACATGGAATATCTCTCCACTTATTGAGTTTTCTTTGGTATCTTTCATCTAAATGTTGTAGATTTTCTCATATGAGTCTTGAATATATTTTGTTAGATTTTAAACACTTCATTTTGTGAGGTGATCATGTAAATAATAATGTGTTTTGTTTTCAAATTCCTTGTTCATTGATGATGTATAGGAAAGCAACTGACTTTTGTATATTAAACTTGTATCCTGCAACCTTTCTATAATTGCTTATTAATTCCATGAGGAGCAATTAGTTTGGATTTTCTATCTAGACAATCATGTTATCTATAAACAGACTTCTTGTATTACCTAGGACTTCCAGTACATTGAAAAGCAGTGGAGAGAGAGGAAATCCTTATCTTGTTCCTGATGTGAGTGGCAAAGCTTCTAATTTTTTACTATTAAGTAAAGCCATAGATTGCATAACCACATTTTGGTAAATGACAGACTGCATTAATAATAATGGTTCCATAAGATTAGAATGCCACATTCTTACTGTACCTTTTCTGTATTTAGGCATGTTTAGATACACTAACACTTACCATTATGTCACAATTGCCTACAATATTCAGTACAGTAATATTCAAAACAAGTTTGTAGCCTAGAAGCAATAGGCTATAACTTACAGTCTTGGTGTGTAGTAGGCTAGACCATCTAGGTTTGCATAAGTACACTCTATGATATTCATAAACAACAAAATTGCTTAATGATGCATTTCTCAGAATGTGTCTCTGTCATAATGTGACACATGACTGTATGATGTTAGCTACAGATTTTCTCCTTTTAAAATCAAATTGGGTAGATTCTCCTCTATTTGTTCCAAAAACAAAACAAAACAATCTATCATGAAAAGGTGCTGGATTTTGTCAAATGCCTTTTCTTCATCTATTAATGTGATCATAGAATTTTTATTTTTTGATGTATGTGTGTGTATTTTATTATACTTTAAGTTCGGGGATACATGTGCAGAATTTGCAGCACTCTTGTATTTTGCCTCACATGTGTTGGTGTTCTCTAAGGACATACAGGTTAAGGATTGTTATGTCTTAATGAAGTATTAGTCCTTTATTATTATATATACCTCTTATTATCCCTGATAACTATCCTTGCTCTGAAGCCTTCTCTCCCTAGAATTAGTATAGTTACTCTCATTTATTTTGGATAAGTGTTAGTGTGCTATATCTTTCTCCATCCCTTCACTTTTTAACCTATATGTGTTTCATGTTTAAGAAGGGTTTCTTATAGACAACATACAGTTGAGTCTTGTTTTTTGATCCACTCTGACAATCTCTATCTCCTAATTGTATTTAAAACATTGATGTTTAATGTGATTATTGAATAATCTCTACAATATTTTTATAGTGTTCTATTTATTGCCCTTGTTGGTTTTCATTTCTGTCTTTTACAATTTTTTGTCTCTTCTGATTTAATTTAGCATTTATGGTTCCATTTTCTCTCAGTTTTTAGGATAACATTATACTTCTTTTTTAATGTATTTTTTTTCCTTTTTAGTAGTTGCCCTTGAATTTACTATATAGTTTACAGCAAATTGAAGTCCACTCTCAAAAAACACTATACCATTTCATCTGGAGTACAAATACCTTATAATAACAAAATATTTCTAATTCTTCACATCCATCCCTTTTATCATTATTGTCATTCGTTTCACTTATACATAAGCATATATATATAATATATATACATATATACACACATGCAGAAGTATGCATACATGAATACATTGTTGCTATTGTTTATAATAAACTATGCTAAATTAGAAATAAGAAAAATAAAAGTTTATATTTGACCTTCACTTATGCTCTGATCTTCTTCTCTTTGTATAGATACAGGTTATTTGCCTATACCATTTTTCTTTCTCTACTATTTGTTAAAAATATTTTTAAAAATAATTTTTGTTTTTGTTAAAAATAGTATTTCTAAAAAGACTAAGATAAGGAATTTATATACAAAGACTTATCTGGTAGCTTTATATTTAAAGCCTGATTTATGTTGTTGAATGGAGAAAGCCTTTATAAAACTATTTTCCTTGTGATGTTCAAGGTTTTGTGCTCTCCAACCTTTTATAGTGGCTCCACAGTTCTTGAATATTCTGTTCTGTTTTTAAGTTTTTCAGTCTTTTTCTGTATGCTTTTTAATTTAGAAGTTTCTATGGTCATATTGTCCAGTTCAGAGATTCTTTCTTCAGCTGTGTTCATTCTGCTAATGAGCACATCAAAGCGTTCTTTATTTCTGTTACAGTGTTTTTATCTCTAGAACTTCTTTTTTATCCTTTCTCAGAATTTCCATCTCTCTGCTTACATTATCCATCTGTTCTTGTATGTTGTCTACTTTTTTTCATTAATACACTTAACATATTAAACCTAATTTTAAAAAATTCCTGCTCTGATAATTCCAACATTCCTGCCATATCTGAGTCTGGTTATGATACCTGTTCAGTCTCTTCAACTATGTATCTTTTCCTTTTTTGTGTGCCTTGAATTTTTCTCTAAAGGCAGACATTAAATACTAGCTAAAAGGAACTGTGGTAAGTAGGTCTTTTATAACGTAGTGGTAAGCTGTGGTAGAAGAAACATTGCATAGCCCTATGGTTAGGTCTCAGTCTTTCTGTGAACCTGTGTCCCTGGACTGTGAACTTTATTGTTGCTTCTCAATTTATCCTGCCTTAGGTGAGACAAAATGGCCGAAGTGAACTGAAATTATGTATTTCTCTTCCCCCACAGTGAAGGCTACAGAAGCTGGAGCAGGGTATTTCCCTTCCCCCAGGTAGTATAGGTTCTGGAAACCTCGGCTGATTAGGCTTTGGCAAAATAGATTTTCCTAACAGCAGGCCTTGTTAAGAAGAACAGAATGCTCTGGCATGTTTCGAAAATGGTTCTTTTTTCTTCCTCTCTCTGCTAGAAACACAAGGAGATTTTTCTCCAATATTCAGTGTGAGGATCTGGTAGATCCTCTAATGGTAAAACCCAAAGAAGTGTAAGGCTGGCCTTCCAGAAGTTTGTCAAAGTATAAGTTTTTCTCCCCTAGTATTGGTTCCCCAGTAGGTCTCTTCTCTGCTCATGGGTTTCTGCTCCAGTAATTTGTGGTTTCTCTGTGTCTGCTGTTCTATCTCTCCAATTTTGATGGCAGTGGTTTGCTCTGTGACCTTACTTCTCTTACAGATCTAGAATTGATTTTTCAGTCTACCTTTACACTTGTGAAAGCTTTTTACTTGTTTTTGTGGCAACTTCCCAACTCCTTATATGCAGAATCAAAAACCATAAGTCACAACACCTTTAGAAACCCTTCAATTCACAGCATTTTAATTAAGTTCTAATTGCCCATAATTTCTTAAATATACCTACAATGTCACTTGGTCAAAACAAGGAATAGACTATGCTTACATATAAGCAGTCTAAAAATAATTTTGATTAAAAAAAACAAAAACATAAAAGATGTTATTTCTACTTCCTAAAGTAAATTACCTCCGTATTTATTTTAGAAGTCTTTTAAATAGCTTTGTCTATTCCTTTCCAGATTAAATATCTTTAAAATTTAAGTGTAGCATATAAATTAATTTGAAATGATGATAATGGTAACAGAAAAGATTCTTTGTATTTTTATTAGAAACATTTTAATAATTTTTTAAAGCAAAAGAGGCATAAAGAATCTTAAGAAATACTGTGCCCAATCATCTTGTCTTAGAGATATGCTGCCCCAAGTCATACAAGTGATCTGTGTTACAGCAACTTAGGAAAGTTGATTCCCTGACTCTGGGTCTATTACTTTTACCACTGCAAGAGGCTCATGTGGATTTTGTTTACTTTACCTTTTCTTGTTTTTCAAGGGCATAGAAAGGCGGAGCTGCATGGGGGGACTCATTTGTGCATTGTTTTCTGGTTATCAGTGATTTTTATTTGCTTACTTCTAAGGAATTTTATAAAATATTTACACACAACTAAACAAGTAAATTAAATTACCAAAATCTTTTGGAGGAGGCACAAAAATAAATATTCTAGGAGCCCTCATGATTAGTAAATATATTTTGCATTTACTTTTATGTTTTCCAAAGCTAAAATAAAGCATGGAGTTGTGTAATACCATTTGCCAATGGCAAAAACATACCATTTTCATGTGATAGAACTTTTCTGCATACTAAATTATCAAATTTAGTTACTTGCAGTTTTTTCAACTAATTGTTTGGAGTATGAATAAAATCATACATATAATAGCAATTATTTTCATGATTGCTTCTTCTGACGATAGACTTTCTTCAAATGGCTCTTAGAGTTTATAGTTTTATCTGTGTCTATATACCTATAGTAGAAGCAGAGCATTATTAATAATTAAAGAAAATGTGGGAGGTGGAGTAAGTCTTGGGAAGGAGTGCTGCTATTGATGTTCATGTACATGGCTTCAATGATCTCTATAATTACAAACAATAGGGTCATATGGAATGGATAAATACTATCTTAATACTATTTTATCAGTTATAGTCGTTCTAGCTGACCTTTGTACAGGAATGAAGACAGAGTTGAATAGTAGCATCTATAGTGCCATATTCAGCTTTTCCATTTTTTTTTTTTAAAGACAGAGTCTGGCTCTGTCACCCAGGCAGACCTCAGCCTCCGCTTCCAGAGTTCAAGCAATTCTGGTGTCTCAGCCTCCTAAGTAGGTGGGATTACAGGCACCCACCAAAACTCCCAGTAATTTTTTGTAATTTTAGTAGAGACAGGGTTCGCTATGTTGTCCGGGCTGCTCTCGAACTCCCAGCCTCAGGAGATCCACCCACCTCGGCCTCCTAAACTTTTGGGATTACAGGCGTGAACCACCATGCCTGGCTCACATTCAGCTTTTTCAATTAAAAGAAAATTCTTTTGCAAGAATATAATCGGTAACACAATTGATGAGTCTGGCTTTTATTCTCACCCAGAGTGAGCATTATCTAACATCTTCATGGAGAGTGAAGAAAATTAAATTATCATCAACATTTTTTGAGGCGATTTTTGTGATTTTGGATGAGCAAAGTTGATTGAGCAAGCATTCTGTGATCCCCGGTTTTTGCCCTAAAGCCTGGAAGAGATCAGAAATGTTTTTAAAAAAATCAATAATACATATTTTTAATTAATATTATATATTATTATTTTGTTTATTATCTTATAATAATAAATATCTTAATTTATTATCAATTGGGTTAGCTAAAATGAAAGCCACACTGTTTTAGGCATGCCTGGGTGTAAAAGTTGTAATGGAAAATTCTAATTTATTAGAAATATAATTGAGAAAGTGGGACTATATTCATTGTGATATAATTAACTATGGATATTTCGTTAAGTTCTCCTACAACAAGTTGAGGACGAAGTAAAGTACAATTTTTGTACACCAATTTTTAAACTAGACATTAAAAGAGCTGTCTACTCACGTCACTGTACTTAACTAACAAACAAGTCTATAAATCAGATACCGATATTCCCATTTAACAGACCAGAAACTGAGGTAAAAATATTCTCCGGTAACTGGTTCAAAACCAGCCAGATGATAAATTGTAACATAGGTATTACAATACTGGCTTATCTGATTTCAAAGCTCATCTTCCCTTCAGTTCTTTTTATATCTTTAAAATAACTGCGTTCATAAAAACACACTATTTATAGTGTGTACTTGCAATAGTTTCATAAACAAGGAAAACATATGGTTTAGGAGCAAACATTTCTTCATCGATTACTATTTCTCCATTCTAAGATCTTATCTGAAGGAATCTTTTAAAGTATTCTAGATTTGTTTTTATAGTTCTTAATTATTCCATCATTCTCTCCCTCAAGGTGAAGTCTTACTGCTGCCTCTTAATTTTAGCAACATATTTTACTACCTTGTTATTTCCCACAGCAGCTAGCATTGTTTCTTATTGTGAGTAGCCTCTCTGTTAATCATAGTTGGTTTTCTACCATTGCAAAACAAACCGACTCAGAACATTGGATTAAAATCATTTATTATTTCTTAAGATTCTGTGGTTACACCAGGCAGTTTTTGCTTTGTTTTGTTTTGTTTTGTTTTTACCGACACCTCCTTGTCTCATTCATGGAGTTGCAGTCTACTGTGACTCAGCAGAAAATGGATGGTTTATGATCACCTGACTCCCATATATCTGGAGTTGTGCTGATGGCAATTGGCAGGTCCTCCCTCTTTCAAGCTGGTCTCTCATCAGTTAGCAGTGTGGCTTGGCTTCCTTAAAGGAGAGAAAAAGCATGAACAACAAGGACTCTTGGGGCTATTCTCTAGAATTCACATAGTGTTTAATTTGCCTATTCCTATTGGTCAAATAAGTCACAGGACCAGCCTGGATTCAGGATTTGGGGAAACAGTCTCCACCTTTTGATAGAAGGACTGTAAAATATTGTATCCATATTTTCAATCTCCCATAATCATGCATATTTATGTTAGTATTACTAGAAAAAGTACTAGTATTAGTATTAAGAGATACAGAATTGTGTAGAACTAATATCTCCAACTCGAGAGCATGATGGCCCTGGGTTCAAACCCCAGCACTACTACTTAGATCTGTGTAAACTTGGGAAAGTTAATAAATCTTTCTGCATCTCAGTTTTCTTATATCTAAAATAAGGATGATTTAATAGTATCTACCAATAAGGATATTAAGAGGATAAAATTGATTTATATCATAAAGTGCTTAGAACAGTACCTGGCTTGCAGTAAGCACTACATAAGCGTTTACATTTTCCATATTCTGTAATCTTAGAGTTAGTTAATTAATATACTAATGAAGTACTTTGAAGCAATTAACTACTTACGGCATATTTGATGCTTAAATCTAGATAGTGTCCAGGTTTATCATTGTTTCAGATTAAAGTCCATATTGGGAACAGATATAATACCACCTCACTTTTCTTCACCTGCCTTCCTTGCAAGTTAACCTTCTCAAATATTCTTTCTCTCTCTCCATTCCATAGTCATTCTAAATATAATCAGTTGCATGTCTTAAAACTATCTTCTTCCATTTAGCCCTTTGCCAATGCCTTGGTTGACTTTCAGACCCTCATAATAAAGTATTACAGTGACCTCCCTATAAATGTGACAGCTTGCTTTTTGTCTTGGTTAAAATTATCTCAAATACAAAACTTGAGACAAGGATATGGGTACTGACAGACAATCTATTTGGGAAGTGATCACAGGCAGCAGTATTTAGGGAATGAGTTGCTGGTGTGGGAACCAGGCTCAAATCCACTGGGAGTGTTGACAAATGTGAAGACTCATCACATGCAAAATGGAAGAGGTGCATTTATCAGTCAACTTCCATCCTTCACAGATGACGACCTAAACCTGAGAGGCTTAAAACACCCCTCTCTACCTCCCTGCTACGACTTCCGGGCTGTGCTTATGGAGAAACTACAGGAATAAAAAGTTCCTTGAGCAAATTATAAATTATACAGCTTGCAACTGAGGTAAGACAGTGGGAAAATTTGGTGAATGTGAGCTCACAAGATGTGACTGAAATCACAAGTGGATTGAAGGAATATAATGCAGTCAACAGAGGCATCTGCTATGTCCACATATAACTTCCACCCAGTTACCAGAATAAACCTTCTCTCTTAATCCATTTAGGCTGCTATAACAAAATACCATAGAGTGGGTAATTTATAAACAATAGAAATTTACTTCTCCCACTTCTGGAGGCTGAGATGTTCTAGATAAAGGCTCCAGCAGATTTGCCGTCTGGTGAGGACCCACTTCCTGGTTTTTAGAGGGTTGCCTTTTTGCTGTGTTTTCACGTGACAGAAGTAACAATGGAGCTCACTGAGGAGGGTGGAGGGTGCTTGTTATAAGGGACTAATAATCTCTTAATGACCCCCTTATAAATTTGTTTCAATGCATGAATTTTCATGGAGATATAAGTGGTCTATAAGCATCTGCTATGACCTAAATCTGACCTCGTCAAATTCCATCCCCCAAAGACGTCGACAAATTAATCTCCAGGAACCAGTGAATATGTTATGTTACATGTCAAAAGAGACTGTGCAGATGTAATTAAGGTTATGGATTGTAAAAGGGGGGATTATCCTGGATTTTCTGGATGGGCTCAGTGTAATTCGACGGGTGGTTAAAAACAAACAAAAAAAGTTTGTCTAGATGTGAGCAGAACAGACTTGGTAGAAGATAAGCAGCAAAAAGTGAAGTCAGAGAGATTCCAAGTGTGAGAAGGATTTGATGAGCCATTGCTTGTTCTGAAGTGAGAGGGCCACATATAAGGAACAGAAAGAAACCTCTAGGAGCTAGAGGCCACCCCTAGCTGACAGCCATCAAAGAATAGGGACCTCAGTTCTACAGTTATAAAAAGCTGGATTCTTTTAACAAGCTGAATGAACTGGAAAGCAGATTCACCCCAAAGCCTCCAGAGAAGAGCCCAGCCAATAAATACTTTGACTTTAGCCTTGTAACTCTTGGGTCATATAAACCAATTGAACCAAATGGGACTTTTTGACCTGTAAAACTGTGAAATAATTAATTTGTATTGTTTTAAAACACTAAATTTGTGGTACTTAGTTGTGGCAGCAATAGACAACTAATATAACATGCAAAACATGTCAATAATTTTCCATCACTTTTGCTGGATAATGACCAATGAATTCATTTGCAGAACATTTGATGTCAACCCAGCCTAGACTTCCAATGTCAGCTCCTGCAAAACCCCCTGAGAGATCTAGCTGAAACAATACCAGAAATACTTTCATGATTTCTACCCATCCATGCACACCATTTCATCATGCTTTTTAAAATATGCATCAACATTTTGAACACTATTCTCTTTGTCCTAAATTACCATGTCACTTTCCTATTCAAATTGTGAAAGAATTCTCACCTAAACAAAGAAGAAAAGAAAACTCTTTTAGGCTCAAAAAGCAAATAATGTAGAACAAAACAAAATAGAGCTAAAATAAAATATAAGGAAATGTAAATGTACTTAGGAAGTTCTGAATCATAATGAGATAAGGCAGGCAAAGGAGGAAAAGAACAGATCTTGAATGATCCTGGATGCTATTGTAAGGGGCTTATTCTTTTAATCTATCATTTGAGAGAATCCATTGATGGATATTTTGTAGAGGAGTTGCATAGTGAGATTGGAGGCTTTTTATAATAGTGCTCTGAGACAGTATGAAAGAGACAATTGAAAAAGTCATAATGAAAGTATACCATGCCATTAATAGGAAAGATACAAATTAGAAAGGATGTGTAACATAAGCATTGGTGGAGACAATAATACCTAAGAAATATTTGGCTTAGTGTATTCAGCAATAAAAAATTAGTGAATTAATGTTACACACAACCTGAATGAATCTGAAAAATATTATGCTGAACAAAATAAGTCACATACAAAAGAATATGCGCAATATGGTTTTGCGTATTAAAGTTCTAGAAAAAGTAAATCTAAATTGTGGTGATAAAACTCACCTCAACGGTTGCCTTGGGAGGATGACTCTGATTCTAAGAAGTTATGTGTAAACTTTTTGGGATTTTGAAAATATTTTATAGCTTGATTAAGGTGGTGTTTCTATAGGTAGATAAATTTGTCAAAACTCAACAAACATACATTAAAATATATGCATTTTATTTTTGAAAATTATAACTGACTAAAGTCTATTAAAACATTTAGAGGCAAAATTAGCAAAAATATAGATTTGAGGGGTAAGGGGAGGAGATATTCAAGTAATAAAGCCAATAACATCAGACTTTCAACATGGGCATAAGGACACGGGAATGTCATGAGTTGAGCGAGGGAATCCATAGGGTGAAGTAGGATAGAGGGACATGATAATGATGAGTTCAATTTGCAATGTAAGTCTGCAGTGTGCATGAAATCTCCACATAGAGGTGTTTGTATTTTTGAGATTGAAATCCAGAACAAAACATGAAAACTTGTATTTCTGTCATCATTTTTGGTATTGTCCATGTGCTTTATTTAATTATTTATAATTTAACTAGTCATGGCAGATATCCAGGAAAACCATTCATGTTTATGTATTGATTAATTCTGTGACTTGCTTCATTAGCAAACTCTCTAAGTTCTCATTGTTTCTAAATCATTCTCATTGTTTCTAAATCATTCCCATGGGTTTTCTATGTAGATAATCATAATGTCTGCAAATAATGAAATTACTTTCTCTTCCTCAGCTTTTAGATTCTTATTGGTATCCCCATCCTTTCCATACTGAAGACACTTTCAGCACAATGATAGAGAATAGAAGCCAAATGCCTTGATATAGCTGTGAAATAAGATTTTCCTTGCAATTCATTGAATTCTAGAACAGGGAAAGAACCAATTAGCATGGTGTAATCTTCAGTGGCATGTATTTTAGAGTTGCACAGAAATTGATTTATGTCTTAATAATGTCATTTTAATAGTGATATGATCTTGGACAAGTGGTTTAACATCCATGAGGCAAAATTCCCATAACAGTAAATTTTAAAAAAGAATAATAATACTTTTCATGTGCATTTCTGTGAAGATTAAGTGTAATGCAATACCAGATGTGGTAAGTTGTTTGAAATAATATCATAATATCCACAAATATTCTTTTCTAATATCCATGGCTTTTTACAATGGCTTTGCAGCAACTTTGATGAAGGGCTAGTTTATTTTTTATCTGAATTTAGATGGCCTTATGACTTGCTTTGATGAATAGAATGCAGTACAAGTCAATACCTAAAATCTCAGACTCAAAATGTTGTAGAAACCAAGAAACTCTTATTTTAGATCCTATGAATCTCTGTTGTCAATATCTCGTGTTCAGTATGTAGTTGGGCAGTTTTTTTGTCAGCCAAAATGAAAATCTTCTCTTCTAACAATTAAGTCTATTCATATTTATTTCTATGACTATTATTATTGGTCTCAGCTGTCAGATTTATAATTGCTATTTGTATTATATTTGATATATTTTATTGATGATGAATAATTTTTTTTTTAAATTTAGTTGATATTTAGAAATATCAGTAGTTTTGATCCTATGATTATCTTTATACCTTTACTTTTTTAAAAGCCTTTAATCTCTCTTTTTTTTTACATTTTACTCTGCTACTTCTTATGGCATCTTTTGGTTCCCACCTATTGATTTTTCATTATTCAGTGAATATATATTTCTTATTCCCATCTCCCTTTTTCTACCATTCTTTACATTCATTATTTTGACTCTGTCAGAATACATTTTGATTTATATATGTATACATATTGAAGTACACATATGTATGTTTGTATATGTATATGTGTATATCTACAATAATTTTTTGGCCCTTGCCTTTACAATTAAATGTTCATCAATAGTGCTTTTGCCAGTGTTTATTTAGTCATCTCTTGGTTAGATGAAGCACATTTTTTAACACAGGAATTAATATGCTCCCAGGGGCCAAATCTGGCATGCATCCTGTTAAATTATGGTCCATGAAAGTTGTATTTCACAATTTTAAACAGTTGTAGAAAAACAAAAGAAGAAGAAAATATGACAGAAACACATAGAACCAACAAAGCTTAAAATATTCATTATGTGACTCCTTAGCAAAAACTTTTCTGACCACTCTAGTCAATTGCTTGAGAACAGCTAGTGAGTATAGTATTCCCTGGGCTATGCACTATTTAAAACAATATTTGAATAGCTTTGATACTTGATGGACAATTTAATAGTAAACATCCTTTTTCACTCATTTTTTAATTAAATTTCTTTAAAAACTGATGCTCCATTAAAGGCTTGCTTTTTATATTGTTTTGATAAATCTGATGCCAGTCTAATTGTATTGTCTTGTTATTTAATTGGTAATTTCATTTGGAAGTTGTGGTGGTTAATTTTATATGCCAACTTGGCTTGTCCACAGTACCCCAATATTTGTTCATACACATCTGAATATTGCTGTGAAGGTATTTTTTAAATGAGACTAATATTTAAATAAGTAGACTTTGAGTAAAATAGACACTCTTCATAATGTGGATGAACCTTATCCAATTAGTTGAAAGTCTTGAGAAAATTAAGAATGATCTCCCCCAGGGAAGGAGAAATTCTGCCAGCAGACAGCCTTCAGATTCAACTTCAACTCTTCCTTGGGCTTCAACCTGTCCATTTACCCTGAAGACTTTGGAATTGCTAGCTTTCCCAATAGCATGAACCAATTTTTAAAAATAAACCTCTGTGAGTGTACGTGCGTGTGTGTGTTGTGTCTGAGTGTGTAGATAGATAGATGCACATATATTTATAATCATCTATATATTCATGTGCATTTATGTGTATATATATTTATAGATATATTTATATATGGCTATATACATAGTCATATATATTCTCATATATATATATACTTATATATAGAGACCTTTTATTTTTATCACTGTTCCCCTATATTTAATATGTATTTTTTCCTTACTGCTTTTGAGATTATTTCTTAATCTTTAGGTCTCAAATTTAATTATAATATGATTAGGTGGTGTTTTCTTTTTAATTAACATTCTTGGCCTTTGTTTCACTCTAAAAATCTTTGGGTTACTGTAAGTTACCAAATTTGAAAAATTTTCAGGAAATAATTCTTCAAATAGTTTTACGCATAATTTTTTCTCTCTTCTTTTTCTGGAACTCTGATAGAAATATGTGAATATAAGCTGTTCTCCCATTACAGGAAAGAAAATTCCTTTCCCTGTGATTTTTTTAAAGGAAAAAAATTATAAAGATGAAATTCATACACCATATAATTCATGCATTTAAAGTGTATAATTCAGTGTTTTCTAGTGTATTCACAGAGTTGTGCTATAATCAGCATAGTCCATTTTAGAACATTTTTGTCATTCCCAAAATAAACCTTGTACTCTTCACCTTACAACCTTCCCATTGCCTCTAGCCCTAGGCAACCACTCATCTACTTTCTGTCTCTATAGATTTGCTTATTATGGACATTGCATATACATGGGATCACACTAATATTGTCTTTTGTCACTGGCTTCTTTCACTGTACTAAGTGAAACATTATACTTAATGTTTCAAAAATTGACCCATGTTGTATCATCTATCAGTGCTTCATTCCTTTTTGTGACTGAATAATACTTCATAGGATAATGGTCATCCATTTATCAGTTGATAGGTCTTTGGGTTGTTCCCATATTTTGACCTTTTTGCTCCTTGACTTTTAATTCAAAAAGAAAAAGGGAAATCCTTAAACAGGACTTTCCCATGAGACTTACAGAAATGTTAAACCCAGGGAAAACATCGATTAGGATCAAACTGGAAATTTTGAAATACTGTTCTTTATTCTACTTACAAATTATCCTTCTATGATATAAATTTATTAAAGCAGAGATTTTTAAATGTGTGGTTTATTTTCTATCTCTAGAGTAGGTGGTCAGTTATCTATAGAATTAATAAATGAATATATTTTCTGCCTCCAATACCAGGGAATAGTCCTCACTTAAAAATTTCTTTGGGGCCGGACGTGGTGGCTCACACCTGTAATCCCAGCAATTTGGGAGGCCAAGGCAGGTGGATCACCTGATGTCAGGAGTTGAAGACCAGCCTGGGCAACATGGTGAAACCCTATCTCTACTAAAATACAAAAAATTAGCTGTTTGTGACTACGTGTGCCTGTAGTCCCAGCTACTTGGGAAGCTCAGGCAGGAGAATTGCTTGAACCCGGGAGGCGGGGGTTCCAGTGAGCCGAGACCATGCCACTGCACTCCAGCCTGGGTGACAGAGTGAGATTCCATCACAAAAAAAAAAAAAAAAAAAAATTAGCTGGGTGTGATGGTGGGGGCCTATAATCCCAGATACTTACTTGGGAGGCTGAGGCAGAAGAATTGCTTGAACCCAGGAGGCAGAGGTTGCAGTGAGCCGAGATTGCACCATTGTACTCCGGCCTGGGCAAAAAGAGTGAAACTCTATCTCAAAAAAAAAAAAATTTTTCTTTGGGTAAACAATATTTTTCTCACACTTTTTGTTGTGTGAGACAGGTGATTATTTCCATGATTTATTCCATACTTAAGGGCAGAATATGTCTACTGTTAGTTTTTTTAGAGACTATTCCAAGCGCTTGTTGTAGCCATCAAAGAGGGTCCTGAATTTTATCTGAAGAATGTCTAACATGATAGTTAATAGTCATTGTTTAAGGCCTCAATTTGGGAATCTAGTAATTAGTCTCATACTGAATTATATTATCTTCATCTCTTTATTTCATGCATATTCAACCAAACATTTGTTCAACACATATGACTTTGCTGATGACTTTGCCAATAAATGAATTTACTGGCAGCACAGTAAATGCAAAAAGAAAAATATAGCCACACTACTTTTCAGTTCCTTTTGAGACGTGTTCTTACTTTGTTGCCCAGGCTGGGGTACAGTGGCATGATCATGGCTTACTGCAGCCTCAAACTCCTATGCTCTATCAGTCTTCCTGCCTTGGCCTCCCAAAGTGCTGGGGTTATACACATAAGCCAACATGGCCTGAACCTTGCAGCTATTCTAATCAATGTGTAGTTTATATTTATGCCCTTTGAATCTGAGCTGCCCTGGTGATTTCCTTTGAATGACAAAATTTAGAAACGATGGAAGAATTTGAAGACTTGACCTTAGGAAGCCTTGCATATTCCACTCTTGCTGTCATTGTGGACCTAGTTGCCATTTGAGTAAGCCTGGGCTGACCTACAGGAGGCAGAAATAAACCATCAAAGAAGAGACTCTTTGAGACCAATGAGCCATGAGACAACCTGGCAGCTGACCACGTTTCACATGAGTCTTGCCAAAACCAGTGGAAAACTTAACCCAGATAAATGTGGCCCAACATGTAGACTTACAGAATAGTGACATAAATAAATAATATTTTAAGCTACAAGTTTTGGGTTAAGTGGTTAAAGCAGAAAGTTAAATAATGTCATTGTATAGTGGCCAAAAAGCCATGTATATCAATAATCACATAGTTAAAATGAAAGTATCAAAAGTCTAGAAAAATGCAGAAATATAGCTGAGAAAATTTTTAATCTTAACTTTTTTTGAACTTCTCCTTTTTGAATGCAGTGGTAGTCTCTTTCATATTTTCATCATGAATTGTTATACATGAATACATGCAACAAAAGTGTTCTATCAGGCAGTCATTTTTTCCATTATTTTAGCTTTTTCTGGCCTTTTTATGATCATCTGTGAAATCAACTGTGACTTTGAGAAAGTTGTTGGCAGTTGTAAATTTATTTATTGAAAAGTAGAAATAAGACTTCTACAAGAGAAAAATGAAAATGTATCAACTCAATCAGAAAAAAATATTAAAGAACTTTTCTCAGTAAAAATAACTCATTTTTTTCAGACATTTGAAATTGAAAAAATAAAATCTATAGGCAACCACATTGTTAATAATGAGGTGTTTGATATCTAGCAGCAATTATGGTCAGCCTTCATACAAGTACAAGAAACATGGAGTGAATAAAAATAAAACAGAAGATTTACCATCTCTGACGAATTCATGTGTGAGTGAAACCAGATGTACAACTTTAGAACTAAAAGGGGCTTATGAAGTCATAAAACTTAACACTCTTCAGTTTAAAAAGAGGAAATAGGGATTCATGGTAAGCTCTTTTGCCGGTGACAAAAACTAGTATTACACATTGGCCTGGGATCTAAGTTTTCAAAGTCCAGTTTACTAGTTTTTCATATATATTTTTGACAATTAATTTTATATTTTACCGTAAAATTGGAATGCAGCTTTACTTAGTGATAAAGATACAAATCTATAGAAATTTTAAATAATGTATTTAGCATGCATTTACTTAAGGAAAATCTTTATATACTTCAATCTTCCTTGAAATACATTGTGTTTTTTTCTTTATTCTACAAATTCTGAAGTAAACGTGACTTTTTAATATGCTTTTGTATATAACAGTTTTGAATGTACTTAGGTAATCAACTGTTTTCCATATTATAAGCTTTTTCTATTTTATTTGTATTAAAATGTTAGTTAAGTAAAAAAAATAGTTTATTTCCAAAGCAAATTGTAGATATGAAGACAGTGGTTAACATTCTATATTTTGGTATAAGCTTTGGTATAAGTTTGAATTTGCTATATATGTTATTAGCTTTCTACTACTGAGGCACTTATTTTATCTATATCTAAGTTACTTAACTTCCATGAGACTCAATTACATCATCATTGAAATGGCTTAATAAGACTGTTTGGGAAAATGGAAATGATTGTCTTAGTCTGTCTTGTGCTGCTATAAGAAAAAAAATACCTAAGACTGGATAATTTATAAAGGATAATAATTTGTTTTCTCAAGGATCTGGAAGCTAGAAAGTCTATGATCAAGGTGCTAGCATCTTAAATGGCCCTTCTTGCTGTGCTATAACATGTCAGAAGACATCACATGAGGAAGACAGAGAGAAAAGGGGGGTGAACTCATCTTTTTATTACGAATCTACTCCAACGATAATGAACCCACTGTTGAAATAATGGAATTAATTCATTCATGAGGTAAGGACTCCCGTGACTTAACCAATTTGAAAGGTCTCACCTCTTAACACGGTTGCATTTGGAATTAAGTTTCAAACACATAAACTTTGGGGAATGCATTTGAACCTTAGCAATGATTATGTGCATTGTAAAAATGGGAATTGCAGGACCTATTTTCCTTGGATTTGTAGTTTTGGGAAAGTCAGCTACATTTTTTAGTAGTACATTTTTTAGTTTGGACATCAAAGACAGGACTCCTGTTTTTCGTAATGGGAAAAACCTTTGACCATATACCTAAGAGACATTTTTTTAAAACAAGTGCCTTAGAAGAGGCTGGTACCCAAAACAGGAAAGAGCCTCAGTGTTGCATATATCAAGATAAGGTGATTGATACTAACAAATGATCTGCACATACTCTTCTAATCCAAATGCTCATGTGTTTTAATCAGACACATTTAGGGTAAAAAATATTTTTTAACAGAAAAAGTGAAGTTTTAAGTATGTGGAAAATTAACCAGTGTGAATAAGCTATTCCCCAGTGAGAACAGAATGACATAATGATTTAAAAGAAAAACTCACTTGAGAAGCTTGACGGTATCAGTATAAGTTGAAGTACTGGATTTCTTCCTACTGTCTTTTTTTAAAATTTTTTCCAATGCTTTTCTCTAACCTTTCCTCCAGTGTTTTTAAATTAGTTAATTAACTGTTTAGTGATCAACACTGTCAAAACTAAATTAATATCTATAGAAACATTTCCTTAAGGAGTGCTGCAAATTTCTAGTTACAAGAGCAAATTGTTGCATTACAGCCAGTAGACTGGGATTTATATGGAACCTGAAATAAATTTTTTCCTATATTTTATATTAACCTGGTTCAAATCAGAGGTACACCAGCATTGGAATACCCATTAGTTGAGAAAAACAAAATTAAACCAGTATTCTAGGTCAATATTTTTTAAACTTTTTAAAAAGTTTGATCAATTCTATTTTTGCCCATTAAATACTTGCACACATGCACATTTCTGTATATAATTTAAAATATTTCTTACTTTTACTAAATGTGATCCATTTCTATTTTAATCTGTTCTTTTTCATTTAAGAAATGTTCTTTTTCTAGTTTTAGCTCCAACAGTTAAAGAGCCTGAAAGTCATCACTTCAGTTCTGACAAGTTGAGAAATCTTAACAAACTGAAACCTTATGACTTTTCTTGAAGTTATCAGAGAGACCTGAGGTCACAGAGCAAACTGAGATCTTGAAATATGGAGAGATAGGTTGAATCCAAAAGTCATTGCCAAGATCTATTCATCTGGAGCAGAGGCTGCTGGGGTCAGCAAGTCAGAACAAGTAATCTTAATGAATGCTGAAGACTGAGTGTGAACTACAGGGAGAGTGAGTAACTTCTGAGGCTACAGTTAAGTGGGTACTTTCTCCAGGAACCCCATCAGTCTCTCACAGTCAGGAGCCAAGAAGGATACCCTCTTGGCTCTAGCGGTGGGAAGGGAAGAATAATCATCATGAAATAAATTCAAGTTTTACCCACAAAAAGATTTAATCTGTAGGGGAAAAGGCTAACATAGGGTTATCCCATCTAGGAGAAGATAACTGCTCAAACATCACACTGCTTGCCTTCCTGTCTCACTTAAGTGGGGATAAAAAGTTAAAAAATGTGTGAAAATCACAGCCCAGAAACATCAGCTCACTACCAGACAGAATTTAATCATAAGATTACACAATACTTTCTTTCTCCTACAACTAGACCACTAGACCAACAGGTTTCAGTGGAATAGCAGTGGATTATAGCTAACAACAACAACAAAAAAGCTGCAAGTTTCAGACTCTCCCTGAAAGCAATTATTAGAAAAGCCCAAAGACCATGTAGAAGACAGAGAAAGAAAAGAAAAATAATTTTAATCCTTAGTACATACAACTATAGAAAACAGTAAACACAATCCTATTTCAAGCAGGAGTAACATAAATCTTCACACAAAAGGCCACATATAATGTAATCCTTATTAACAGGACAGATACATCATGTCTGACTTTAACAAAAAGTTATAAGGCCTGCCAAACGGCAAGAAAAAACATATTTTGAAGAGACAAAGCATTCATAATAACAAGAACTAAAGCTGATATAGATGTTGGAATTGTCAAACAAGGAATTTTAAATAACTATGAATATATAATAAACATATAAAATAAATAGAAAACAGTTATAAATGTGGTAGATATTAATACAACTATATCGACAATCATTTTAAATGTGAGTGGTCTGGATATTGTAATTAAAAGAAAAACTGGTAGGATACAGAAAAAATAATACACAATGTCTATTAAAAAATTCAGTTAACTATAGATATATACATAGATTAAAAGTATATAAATGGAGAGTTACATCATGCTAACAGTAATAAAAGAAAGCTAGTGTAACTATTTAATTTCCAACAAAGAAAACTATAGTGCAATAAAATTCCAAGTGTTAGAGCGGCATTGCATAGTGCTAAAGGGACCAATTCTCCAAGAAAACATAATAATTCTAAAGGTATATGAAAGACGATAATATTAGGAGGTGGGGCCTTTGGGACAGTGATAAGGTCATGTATTAGGGTTCTCTAGAGGGAGAGAACTAGTAGGCTATATATATGTGTGTATACATATATATGTATACACACATACATATATATACATATATGTATGTGTGTATACATATATATATGGGAGTTTATATATATACACACATTATATATAGCTTATTAGTTCTCTCCCTCTAGAGAACCCTGACTCTCTCTCTGTCTCTCTCTCTCTCTCTATATATATATATATAAACATATATATATAGATAAACACATATATAAAAAGGGAAGTTTTTAGACATAAAAGGAGGAGTTTATTAGATATTAACTCCCTTAATGACTTTGCGGATAAATGAATTTACTGGCAGCACAGTAAATGCAAAAGGAAAAAAGAAAAATACGGCCACACTACTTTTCAGTTCCTTTTGAGACTTGTTCTTACTTTGTTGCCCAGGGTGGGTTACAGTGGCATGATCACAATCACAAGGTCCCATAGTAGGCCATCTGAAAGCTGAGGAGCAAGGAGAGCCAGTCTGAGTCCCATAACTGAAGAACTTGGAGTTTCATGTTCCAGGACAGGAAGCATCCAGCATGGGAGAAAGATGTAGGGGGTGGCTGGGAGGCTAGTCCAGTCTAGTCTTTTCACATTTTGTTTCTGCTTGCTTTATAGTCTAGCCACACTGGCAACTGATTCGATGGTGCCCCCGCAGATTAAGGGTAAGTCTGCCTTTCCCAACCCACTGACTCAAATGTTAATCTCCTTTGGCAACACCTTCAGACACACCCAAGATCAATGCTTTGCATCCTTCAATCCAGTCAAGTTGACACTCACTATTAACCATAACAGGTCATGAGGGTAAAAGTCTCATAAAGGAGATTAGCCTCTTATAAAAGAGGCCCAAACAAAACCTCCTTATCCCTTTCATCATGCAAAGAAACAGTGATGAGATGCTATCTAAGAATCCGAAAGTAGAAACTCATCAGACACCAAAACTGCCAGTATCTTGATCTTGAGCTTCTCAGCATTCAGAACTGTGAAAAACAGACTTCTTTGTTTATAAGCTACCCAGTATATAGTATTTTATCACAGCAGTCTGAAAAGACTAAGACAGAGACTCAAGTATACTTTTATCATTAATTGACAGAACGAGCAGACGGAAAATTAGTAAAGACATATTTGACATCAAGAACAATATCAATCAACTCAATCTAATTGACATTCACAGCACATCCCATTAAAAAACAGACTGTTCTTCTTAAATTCCTGTGTCTTATTTGCATAGAGAGTCCACCTTCTGGGAAATAAAACATACCTTTATAATTTAAATGTTTAGAAATCATACAATGCATGTTCTTAGACCATAATGGAATTAAACTATAAATCTATATCTAAACGATAGCTAAGAAATCCCCAACTATTTACAGCATGTACAAAATATTTTCAAATAGCATATATGACAATAAAGAAATCTCAAGAGAAATTTAAAAATATTTAGAACTAAATATAAATGAAATTACAACTTATAAAAATGTATGAGATATACCAAAAGCAATAATTAAAGAGAGATTTATAACATTAAAGACATATTAGGAAAAAGGAGAGATCAAAAATCAATAGCCTAAGCTTCTGCCTTAGGAAATTAGGAAAAGAGTGATTTAGTTCTAACACAACTAAATTAATAAAACATAATAATTAGAACAAAAGTCAATAATATTGAAAATAGGAAAAAAATGGAGATTATCAGTAAAATAAAAAGCTGAAAACTTTAAAATATCAATCAAATTGATAAACCATTAGTAAAGCTAACAGAAAGTGATCATACATTATCAATATCAGAAATAAAAAAGTAATCATTACCATTGATGTAGACATCATTAAAGGATAGTCCAGGTGTTCATTGAACAGGGCTATTCCCACAAATTTGATGTTAGATGATATTTACCAATTTATTGAAAGATATAAAGTATTAAAACTCCTACAAGGAGAAGTAGAAAATAGTTCTATAAGTATCAACTACATTGTATCACTAATTAACAACCTTACAAAAATATAAAGCAGCCCATATTGTTTTACTGGAAAATTTTAGCAGTTATTTAAGAAAAAAAAATCAATTCTTCTCAACCTCTTCCAGGCAACAGACACAGGAAACATGTTTTCTAACTCATTATATAGGGCCAATATTATATATTGCTAAAGTGTAATGAATTTATTAAAAAGAAGGAAACTACATACTAATATCTTCCATGCATGTAGACTCAAATGTCCCAAAAAATAGTACCCAATTGAAACCACAATATATGAAAAGAATTATTTATGACAAACAAGTGTGATTTGTTTCAGCTATTTAAGATTTATTCATCACTGAAAATCAAACAATGTGACTCAACATGTCAACAAGCTGAAGAAGAAAAATCATGTGATCATGTTATTTGACGGAGGAAGAACTTCTTCAAAAAACCCAATATTAATTTACAATTAAAATAATTCACAGCAAATTGAGAATATAGATGAATATTACCAACTTGATAAAGAACGCAACATTAATTTGCAATAAAAAATACACAGCAAATTGGGAATATAGATTAACATTACCAACTTGATAAAGAACATCTGCCAAAAAACCTGTAATCAATAACACACAGAATTAGATGCTTTCCCCATAAGATAAGAAACAAAGTAAGGATGTCTTCTCTCAGCACATCTATTCAACACTAGATTGGAAGTCCTAGCTACTGCAATTAGACAAGGAAAATAAAAGCTATGCAGTCAAGAAGGTAATAATAATGATTTTTTAGTGACATGATGACATGATTATCTTTGTAGAAAATTTTAAAGATCCTACAAAAAGAAAAATTTCCTGGAATTAAAGTGAATATGAAAATATCACAAGATACAAAGACAATATACAAACTCAATTGCTTTCCTATATACTAACAATGAAAAATTGGAATGTGAAATTATAAAAAAGATACCATTTATAATAGTACCATAAAAGGAAATACATAAGTATAAATTTAGCAAAATACATTCACAGCTTATACGCAGAAAACTACAGAACTCTGATGAAAAAGTTACAGAAGAGATAAATAAATAAATATGTTACGTTTATGAATTGGAGAATTCAATATTGTAAAGCTGTCAATTCTTCACAACTTTATAGATCCCATTCAAAATCACAGAAAGCTGTTTTAGATATTACCCACCTGATTCTAAACTTTATAGCGATAAGCAAAAGACTTAAAATTACCAACAAAATAGTACAGAAGAAGAAAAAATTTAAGAACATACAGTAGCAATATCAAGATCTATTTTAATAGAGCTAATGAAGACCTTGTAGTATTGCCAAAAGAAAAGATACATAGATTAACAGAATAGAATAGAGTCCAGAAATAGACCCATGCAAATATAGCCAACTGATCACTGACAAAGGAGTGAATTAATTCAATGTAGAAGAAATACTTTTTAACTAATAATATTCCAAAGATTAGAAATTCCTATGCACAGAAATGAACCTACAAGCAGGCACTAGTTCTTTCATAAAAATTAACTCAAAATGTATCATAGATCTTAAATATAGAAGCACAATTATAAAACGTCTAGAAGAAAAACTAGGAGATCTTCAGTTTGGAAATTTTTAAAATAAAACAATAAACTCATGATCTATGAAGGAAAAGCTGATAAGCTGAACTTGGTTAAAATTAAAAATTTCTATTCTGCAAAAGATACTATTAAGAAAATGAAAATACAGACCACCAACTGTTAGAAAATAATTGGAAAACACCTATAATGAAAAACTTGTGTTCAAATATACAAAGAACTCTCAAAACTCAACAATACAAAAAAAATTCATTTTAAAAAGAAAAAAAATCTGAACAAATACCTTGGATGTAAAGATGGAAAATAAACATGTGAGAAGATGGTCAACATCATTTGTCATTAGAGAATTGCAAATTCAAATAGTATAACAGCACATTAGAATGGCAAAAAAAAAAAAAAAAAGAAAGAAAAGCAAACACACACCAAAAAAACTGACAATACCAAACAGGATGAAAAGCAACAGGAAATCTCGTTCATTCCCGATGAGAATGCAAAATGGTACAGCCCCTTCAATAACAGTTTAGCAGATCTTATAATGCTAACTAACAGTCTAGCAATTGGACTTCTAGATATGTAACTAAGTGAAATGAATACTTTTGTCTACATAAAAACTTGCACATATACGTTTATAGTAGCTTTATACATAATCACACAAAACTAAAAGCAAACAAAATGTCCTTCAATAGGTGAATGGATAAACCTGCGGTATATCCATACAGTTTAATATTATTTTGTGATTAAAGTAAATTTGGTAGGAACTAATGAAAAACTAGATGAGTCTTAAATATAAAAAAGTATAGTTTGTGTTTCTTTTCCTTCCAAGATTGTTGAATAAAGGTTTTGCCAGCATAACTTAACCACTTGGAAATAGCAAAATAGTGTGTACAGATTAATGTTGTGAATTTTCACTCAAGAAAGAATGTGGGAGTTCAACAGAAAAGCAAGGAAAACTTCAGATATTGAGAAAAAGAATGCAGACAGCAACCCACATTTACTTTGTCCAGCTGAAAATTAGTGAATCTCAAGTGTGTGTTTTTTGGGGTGAGGGTAGTGTCTCTGTGATACACATTCCCACTGAGGAATCATGCAAGCCAGACCACAGGGGAGCCTCTTGACCATCCCAAGCCTTGGATCTAACATGGGAAGGAGCCAGGAGACTGTGAGAAAGAATGACACTGGGAAGTGTTCCATTAATGTTTTCATTCCTGGAGACAAATAGAAAGAAGCCATTTCTGATGCTAGCTCACAGCAGGCTGTATGGAAACCTGCCAGCCAGTGGAGGTAACAGCCACTGGTTTAGAAAGTGTCAGACCAGGGATTGGCATTCTGGTCTCAGGCAGAGGAGGGAACCTATGGTCAGAACTCAGAGTTGAGTGTGGTTTTGTCTCCAGTCATGAGTGTTAGAGTTTAGCAACCCTCATTCATAGGACCAGATCATGAGGGGATTTGTCTTAGAGGCATGGTTTTGACCCAGCTGGCAAGTTCTGCAGCTTGAGGAAGTTTTAACAGATTGAAGGCACTCTGCATGTGACTTGTCTAACAGTCCCAAAAAGCTGCCAGAGTTATCCCATGAGGGACTCCTGCAAAGTTTGAGCATAAGAGCAGAGCAGATCTCACTCCTACTTACTCCTGCCTCTCCTGGCTGTGGAGCTAGGACTGCCCCTCTTTCCTAGTACTGTGACTTAAGCACAGATGCAGTTACTTCACTCATTGCAGGGACATTTCTCCCAAGGCCTGAGGACTGCTCCCTGACTCCAGTCAGGTCCAGCCTTTGTGCCCATCATTGTGGGGTCCAAGTGCAGGATTGCCTGGCCCAACCCTGCCTGGGTCACTTCTGCCCCCTCCTCAGAGGCAGAGCACAGAACCAGGACCACTGAGCATTCCATTGTCCAACCCATCACCTGGGACACCCAAGTAACTCCCCTAGTTAAACTCTAGTGAACAAAGGCTAAGAATAAACCCTACTGCCACCACTGCAGCTGGCTCTCACTTGTAAGTGCCACCTACTGGTCTGGAGGTTGATTTGCATAGCTCATTACAATGACTGCTGACACAAATGCACAGCACTTGCAGAGAAGCTTCTCACAATCTCTGCTACCACTATCACCCATGCCACCCCAGTTTCTCAAGAGGTCATGAGCCTGCTTACTGACCCAGCATACTGCTACAACTGACATTTGAGAAAGCCACCACACTAAGGCTATTTATGACCAATGGAATCATACAGTCTTTGCCACTGAATGCACCCAGAAGCAAAGCCAAACGGTCCTACTCAATATACATCATAATCACATTCTAAAGCAAAAAAATTCCTGCCCCAAGGAAAGTAAATTCAAAAGTAAAAAACATCAAGTTTCTTCAGATGGGAATAAATCAGTGTAAAAATACTGGAAGTGTGAAAAAGCAAGGTGTTATGACATCCTCCTCCCCGAAACAAAGTAATTCTCTAGCAATGAATCCTTACCAAAAAATAAACCAAAAAAAAAGTTTCCAATATTTCACATAAAGTATTTGAAATATTGATTTTAAAGAAGCTCGATGAGATGCAAGAGAAATCTAAAACCTATACACATAAATCAGAAAATGATTGAAGATATGAATAAGAAATTCACCAGGAAGATAAATATATTTAAAAACAAAAACAAAACAGAACTTCTGGAAATAAATGCATTGAGGGAATTACAACAAACATTTGTAAGCTTCAAAAATAGACTATACCACACAAAAGAATGAATCTCAGAACCTGAAGATGGGTCTTTTGATTTAATCAATCATATAAAAATAAAGAAAACAATAATAAAGCATGAACAAATCTTTCAAGAAGTAAAGTATCAAATAAATTGAACGCACAAATCATCAGTTTTTTTTAAGGAAAGAGAAAAAGTAAAATTCTAGAAAATCTATTTAAGAAAACAATAGAAAAATTTCCTAGTCTAGCAAAACCTTTAGACATCCAGTCAATACATTGCGGGAGAGACTACACCATGGCATATAGTCATAAGACTGTCTGAAGTCAATATGAAGGAAAAAAAAAATCCAAAATCGGCAAAAGTGCCAAGTCACCTATTGAAGAAACCTCATCAGACCAACAGTACACTTCTTAGCAGAAATCTTACAAGCCAGAAGCAATTGGGATCCTATTAAAAAAAACAAAACTGGCCGGGCGCGGTGGCTCACGCCTGTAATCCCAGCACTTTGGGAGGCCGAGGCGGGCGGATCACGAGGTCAGGAGATCGAGACCATCCCGGCTAAAACGGTGAAACCCCGTCTCTACTAAAAATACAAAAAATTAGCCGGGCGTAGTGGCATATGCCTGTAGTCCCAGCTACTCTGGAGGCTGAGGCAGGATAATCGCTTGAACTTGGGAGGAGAAAAAATGCTCAAAAGAATTCTAAACTTGAAAATGAAAATTGGTATTCACTATCATAATAACACATAAAAGTAAGAAACACACAGATCTCATGAAACAATTACACAAAGGAGGAAGAGAAAAAATCTCAATGGAAATATGACAGAATTTCACCAAACAACAAAGATAAACAGAGGACAAAAGATAAAAAAAATTCACAAAACAACTAGACAAAAATCAACATTATAACAGAAATAAAACCTCATATGTTAATATTAACCTTGGATATAAATGTACTAAATGGTTTACATAAAAGATACAATTTGGTGGAATGAATTTTTAAAACATTAAGTCATTATATTCTGCTTACAAGAAACTCATTTATCTGGTAAAAATGCTTATTGAATGCATTTTTACCTGCAATGCTTATTGCAGGTAAAGGGGTGAGAAAAGATATTTCACACAAATGAAAAACAGAAGCAAGCTGGAGTATGTACTTACATCGGATAAAGATATCAAATCAATGACAATAAAAAAGACAAAGAAGATCATTTTGTAATGATAAATGGATCAATATGACAAGAGAATATAACAATTCTAAATATTCTAATATATGCACCCAACATCAGAGCACCCAGATTCATAAAGCAAATATTACTAGAGCTAAAGGAAAATATGAATAGCCATACAATAATAATGCGGGCTTTGATTCCTATCTCACAGCACTAGATATAACATTGAAACAGAAAATAAACAAAGAAAAACTGGAATTAAGCCAGACTTTAGAATAAATGGACCTAACAGACATTAACAGAACATTCTATCCAACAACCACAGAATATATATTCTTCCCATCAGGACATGGGACATTCTCCAAGATACAGCTTATGTTAGGCCACAAAACAAGTCTCAATAAATTTT
This sequence comes from Homo sapiens, assembly GCF_000001405.40. Classification (NCBI taxonomy): domain Eukaryota; kingdom Metazoa; phylum Chordata; class Mammalia; order Primates; family Hominidae; genus Homo; species Homo sapiens. The sequence continues at coordinate 31,536,810 of NC_000004.12, read as the reverse complement.
TTAAAATAAAATTATATCAAGTATCTTCTTAGACCACAGAATAAAACTAGATATTAACACCAAAAGGAACTATTGAAGCTGTTCAAAAACTTGAAAATTAAACAACATGATGCGGAACAATCTTTAAAGCAACAAAAGTAAGATAAAAAATTTAAATTTTGAAATGAATGAAGATCAAAACACGACATACAAAAACCTTTTTTTGATACAGCAAAAACAATGCTGGGGGGAGGTTAACATTGTTAAATGCCCACATAAAAAAAGGAATATTACAAATTAACAACTTCACATCACAATTCAAAGAACGAGGAAAAACTAAACCCAAAGCTGGCTAAAGAAAAGATATAACAAAGATCAGGGCAGAACTAAATGAAATAGAGACACACACACACACACACACACACACACACACACTACAATGGATAGAGAAAATAATACGTTGGTTTTTAGAAAGATAAAGAAAATTGATTAATTGCCAGTTGGACTAATGAAGAAGAAGATCCAAATAAACATAATCAGAAATGAAAAAGAAGACAGTACAACTGATAACAAAGAAATACAAAAGATTATCAGAGGCTACTGTGAAATGCTGTGAACTGTATGCTCACAAACTAGAAAATCATGAGGAAATGAGTCAATTCCTGGAAAACAACCTCTCAAAATCGAACCAGAAAGAAAGAAAAATTCTGAGTAGAGCATTAATGAATAGTGAGAGTAAATCAATACTACAAAATTTTCTAAAAAAAGTAAAGACCAGGACCACAGAGATTCAAAGCCAAATTCTATCAAATGTATAAAAAGGAATGGGTAGCAATCCTCTTAAAACTTTTGCAAAAAGTTGAGGAGGAAGTATATACCTCCATAATTCATTCTAAGAAGACCTCATAGAATGAATTGTCCGGATAACAAAGTTAGGCAAGGAAATAACAAAAAAAGGAAACTATAGAACAATATCCCTATTGAAAATAGATTCAAAATTTGTCTACAAGTACTAACAAACCAAATCCAACAGCACAATAAAAAGATAATACACCATGATCCAGTAGGAATTTTTTTTCCCGGGAATGCAAGGATGATTTAACATATACAAATTAAAAATGTGATTTATCACATTAACAGAATTAAGGTTAAAAACCATATGGTTATTTCAATAGATACAGAAATAGCATTTGATAAAACTGAGCATTCTTTCATAATGAAAACCCCCAAAAACTAGGTATAAAAAGAATATACCTCAAAATAATGAAGGCTATATACAACAAACCCACAGCTGACATCATACTGGAAGGGGAAAAATTAAAGCATTCCTTATAAGAATTGGTACAAGACAAGGATGTCCACTTTCACCATTCCTATTCAAAATAGTAATGGAAGTCCTAGCCAGAGTAATCAGTCAAGAAAAGGCAATAAAAGTCATCCATATTGGAAAAGAGGAAGTCAAATTATATGTTTGCTAATAAAATAATCTTATACTTGGAAAACCCTAAAGACTTCTCCAGAAAATTCTTAAATTTGCGAAATGCATTCAATTTCAGGATACAAAAAACAATGTACACAAATCAGTAGCATTTCCATACATTAATAGTGATAAAAGTGAGAATTAAATCAAGAAATCAATTCCATTTACAATAGCTACAAAAAAAAAAATCCTAACAAGGAAGTGAAAGATCTGTATAAGAAAAAACTAGAATATGGACAAAATAAATTTTAGTTAACTCAAACAAATGGAAAAACATCCCATGCTCATGGATCAGAAGACTTAATATAGTTAAATGACCAGACAGCTCAATGTATACCAGGTTTTCAGTTGGAAGAAAAGATAAACAGTTGAAACAAATGAAAATGTCGGGGGTTGTGAATTATTATCTATGATACTGAAAGTGTGGATACATGACACAATGTATTTATTAAAATTCATAGAATTGGAGCATAAAGAGTGAAACTCTGGTTTGAATTTCAACATATAAAATATTTTTAAAAAGGAAAAACATTTGCAATAAGAGGATCCAGGATAAAATGAAGAATGTGAAAAAACTATCTAATTGCATTAAAATTTCATGAAATAACCTTAATGAAGTGGTGTGGGTCAGGGTGTTGGCCTGAGTAACTTGGGAAATGAGTGAAGACTACAACATTTAGAAAAAAAAATTAGACATGACCTCTGTATTCTAGCTGATATTTTTTTCTATGGCAGTGTGCATGAACAGTCATAACACTACTATATGTATTGAACAAATCAGTAAATGGATGGTAAATGGAGAGAGCCAGATTTTTCTCTTTTGGAGTTGAAGATTGCAAATAAACAAGAGGAGAAAGATAGAATGTTCCTTGTGGTAATAGATCAGAATTTAGGTCATCAATATGAACTTATGTGTAGCTTAATATAAATACAGATACATGTAAAAATATGTGTAGTTTTTGTATATACTGAGTTTAGTATTCCTTTCTCTGTCACACATAATATTCCTTTCTCTGTCAGCTGACAATGCTTAGAAGCAAGGATATCCCAGTAGCTGTAAGCACAGATGGCAGTCAGATATTGTCTCTTAATATCATTGTATAATAAAAGGAACTGTGGCTTTTTGGGTAAATGACTGATTCTAAGACTGGGTCAAGAAATATACAAGAGAGCCTGACACATCCTGTAGTGCCGGAAAGTAATGATTTGCTACACACAGTCACACACACACGCACACTGATAGTGCTTTGTCAAAGGGACACTGAGGCTAATTGCAAGAATTTCCATTGAACAAAGTTAGAAAACAGAACAACAGAATTAAATATTAGATTATAACCAAAAATATAGAACATATTCATTATTTCATACTGACATAAAAGAGCAAATAAACAGATGTAGGTTTGTGGAACGATGTCAACAAAATGGTGGAAAAGAAGATTTCTAAGCATCAATCCCCCCCCAAAAAAATACAACTGGAAACTACACAAAGACAAGAATACCACTAGCGTTCACTAGAGCTCAAGGGAGAAGCAAAGAAACCCCTGTGCCCACAGGATTAAAACAAGCCATGACTAATCGCACGAATGGTCATTTCAAACTGTGCCACCCTTTCCCCAGGCCAGCCTAATGCCACTTACACATAATTTAACTAGACCCATGTTTTTGAGATGGCAGGCGGGAATTGGAGGTGGAGTTTAATTTTCCCATTGGTCTTAGAGTTTTTGTGGGAAGCCCACTCTGGTCCTATCCTACGGGAATCACTGAGAGTGTCAGGAGGACTGAACCAACTGGAGTGAATGCAAGACAAAGAGCAGGTACTAATCACAGCAATAGGCATGTGAATCTCGACAGCTACTCTGCACTCTGATCAGTGGGGATACCACATTGAAGAGGCTGTCCAGTCCTGTAGTGTGTCAGGAAGCACAATCCATGGCAAGACCCAAATCCCTGGCCAGATTTTCCATAAAGCCCAGATGTTTGTGGGAAGCCTTCTACTGACCAAGAATAAGCTGAAAGGTCAGTATTAAAATACAGTGCCTGCTTAAGTCACCCCGGATCAGAAAAGAATGGCAGGGCAGTAAGTTCCAATGCAGCATTTTAGTTCCACTGTTCACAGTAAGTCTTCCCAGAATTAAAAGAAACAACAAGTCAGCATTTAAATCTCAATATTAATTATTAAAGGTCTAACATCACAAAAGAACACCTAAAAAATCTGGAGGAGATGTCTGTCTCCTCAAATGCACAAGAATCAATGCAAAAATGCAAACACTGAAAAAATCCAGGATCATGTGACACCACCACCAAAATAAACCAATGAAGCTCCAGCAATGGACCCAGAAGAATTGAAAATCTGTAAAATGTCAGAGAGATAATTCAGAATATTCCCCTTAATGAATTTTAGTGAATTGCAAAAAAAATATATGTGAACAGAAAACAAAAGAAAATTTGAAACAAAATTCAAGAATAAAATAATACATTTGACAAATAGAAACAATTTTTAAAAATCCAAGAAATAAATAATACAATAGTTAAATTGAAAAACTCATTAGAAAATTTCAATAGCAGAATTGATCAGACAGAGAAAAAAGTGAGCTTGAAGACAGAAGATGAACAATTACAATGGCAGATATGATAAGATCTGCTGTCACTGGGGAGGGAATGTCCTGGGTCCAAAATCTGTGGCTCACATTGCCAAGTTGGAAAAGGTAAAGGATGAATAACTTGCCATTAAACTGGATTAAATGTACACTGTTGAGTTTTCTATATATAAAAATCACATAAAAAATAAACCTGTACAGACCAACAACAAGTAATGAGATCGAAGCAGTAACAAAACATATGCTATCAAAGAAAAGCCCAGAACGTGATTGGCTTACTACTTAATTCTACCAAACATTTAAAGAAGAGCCAATACTAGATTCTACTCAAACTGTTTCAAAAGATTGAAAAGGGAGGGTTACTTCCAATCTCATTTTATGAAGCTAGAATTACCATTATAACAAAATCAGGCAAGCACACAACAAAAGGAGAAAATATCAGGTCAATATCCCTTAAAAACATAGAGGCAAAAATCCTCCACAAAATACTAGCAAACTGAATTCAACGTTACATTAAAAAGTTTATCAATCATGATCAAGTAGGATGTATCTCAAGGATGCAAAGAAAGTTGGTTCAACGTACACAAATAAACATGATATATCATATTAACAAAATCAAGAAAATAAGTCTTATGCTTATTTAAATATAATTTTTAAAAAGCATTTAATAAAATTTAGCATCCATCATGATAAAAATTCTCAAAACTCTGGGTATAGAAGGCATATACTTCAAAGCAATATAGACCGTATATGACAAACTCACAACTAATATCATACTGAACGAGGAAAAATAGAAGGCCTTTCCTCTAATATCTAGAACAGCTATTAGACAACAGAAAGTAGACAAGGATGCTTACTTTACCTCTGTTATTTAACATAGTACTGGAAGTCCTAACCAGAGCAATTTGAAAAGATAAAGGAATAAAGGTTATCCAATCTGGAAAGAAAAAGTTAAATTATTATTGTTGCAGATGACATGATCCTATATTTAGAAAAACCTAAAGATTCGACTAAAAAATCTATTAGAACTGATAAATTCAGTAACATTATGGGATACAAAATCAATATACAAAAGTCAATATCTTTTCTATACACCAACAGCAAACTATCTGAAAAAAAGTCAAGAAGCTATCCAACTTACAATAACTACAAAATAAATACCTAGGAATAAACTTGACTGAAGAAGTAAAACATCTCTACAATGTAAACTATAAAGTGTTGATGAAAGAAATTGAAGAAGACACAAAAATGGGAAGATATCCCATGTTCATGGGTTGAAATTATTAATATTGTTAAAATATCCAGACACTCCCACCAGATGGATGACTAGAAGCAGCGAGTTTGCACTGTTCTCATGGAGAGGAGAGAGATTATTGAATAAACACTAGCTCTTCAAATGGATTGTTCAGGGGGGCATGGTGGGATTCAGCAAGCAAGCAATGACAACCCACAGAGAGCAGAGAGGAGCAAGGCAGGACAGCCACCCACTTGGACTGGCACAGAGTCAAGGGAGGCTCCCCACTGCTGGGAAAGTTTGAGTAGGTGAGAGCTCCCAAAGACCCAAACTTCTGCCATGGATCTTTGCAGCCCTGGCCACAGAAGATCTCCATTAACCACCCCTTCACTGGAGCCTCCACACTGACAGGGAGAGTTGCATGGAGTATGGGCAGCCCCACCACTCAGGGCCACATAGAGCCCCAAAGGCCTTGGATTCCTGAGCACCTCAGCACCAGCTGCCATAGCTCTGCCAAAAGGAAGGACAGGCTATGTTGTGTGCCCGCAGAATAGAGGCCTCATCCACAGTGCTGAAGAGTGGATGGACTACAGTCTTTGCCCCCATTGCACCTTGCCAGAAAAAAACCACTGGTCTGGGACTCCAGCACAGTTTCCCCACCCCCTTTTAGCACTCAAGCTGGTCACAGTTCCGCATTTCTCTAGGATGGAGCTCCCAGAGGTAATTGACATGCACACAGCTTCTGCTGCTGCCATAACCCCTGCCCCTACTGCCCTCAGGCTGGGGAGGGAGCAAAGAGCTGAAGGACTGTTGCAGACCTCCAGCATTCCGCAGCTGCCTTATAGAAAAGCAGCCAGACAATTTCCCGTGTGAATCCCTGCCCCTGCTACTTCTCACTGGGCAGGGCCTCCTGACCTGGGCCCCTGGTATAGCCACCCTACTGACACCTGAACACTTTGGTTGATGGTGGCTCTGCATTTCTCTGGGGTGGAGTTCCCAGAGACAGTCAACAGACCCTCTGTCATTTCTGCTCCAGCAGTACTGTCCTTGTTACTCTTGGCCTGGGGAAAGAACAAAGACCCTGCTCATTTTATTTGCACCTCCAGCACACCACAGCTGCCATACAAAGAGAAGCCCAGTCTCTCCTCCCTTTGATCCCCCAACCCCCTGCTCTTGACCAGGGAGGGCCTCCACTTTGGGCCCACAGCAAAGCCATCCCACACCCAGCTGAACATTCCCATTGGCGGCAGCTCTGTGTCACTCCAAGGTGGAATTGCCAGAGGCAACTGAGAGCTCCTCTATCACTGCCACTGCAATGGTGCCAGCTCTTTTTGCCACCAGGCTGGAGAAGGAATGAAGACCCTGAGTGCTTTACTTGTACCTCCACCATGCCACAGCTGCCCTATGGAGAAGAGGCCACACTGTCTTCCCTGCAAGCCCCTCTCCTCACTATTCACCAGGCAGTGCCCCCTGGCTTGGGCCCTTCTGGCAGCTACCTCACCCCAAGCTGATCATTCTGATTGGCAGTGGCTCTGCATTACTATGGATGGAGCTCCCAGAGATAAGTGACAAGCCCTTAGCCATTGTTACTGTCAGGGTCCCCAGCCCTGCTACCCCCAAGCTGAGGAGGGAACAAAATGCCTGAGCTTATGCTAGGGCTGTGGTGCAAAAGCTGGAGTGACAGGCTGAGATCTTTGGCTAGCATTTGATTAAAAGAGGAATTCACATTCTCAGAGCACTGAGACAGCACAGCTGCAAACAGGAAGAAATATAAAGGAGCCATGCAGCTGAGTGAGAGCCTACTTACTGCTGAGTAAGAGCCTACTTACTGGCCATTATGCTTAAGCAGTGTCTACTAGATTGCAAGCCCAAACTACAACACCAAAAATACCTTGCTAGTTTACTCCTAAGTGAAAACAAGGGCAAGAATTCAGCTACAAATAAAGTATCTGCACAAAGTCTCAGCCCTCTGAAAACATCCAGAAATGAAGCCAACTGAGTATACCCAAATTACACCACACTTAAAGGAACATCAGCCCACACAGATGAGAAAGAACCAGTGCAAGAACCCTAACAACCCAGAGTGTCTTCTTACCTCCAAATGACTGCACTAGCTACCCAGAAGTGGTTCTTAACCAGAATGAAATGTCTGAAATAAGAGACATAAAATTCAGATTCTAGCTGTCAGTACACATTACCAAGATTCAATAAAAAGTTGAATCCCAACACAAGGAATTTAAGGGATACAGTAAAATGATTTCATTTTACTAATTCATTATCAGCAAAATAAAATATCCATTTTAAGAAAGAGCCAAATTGATCTTATAGAAGTAAAAAACTCACTACAAGATTTCATAACACAATCGGAAGTATTAATAGAAGTATAGACCAAGCTGAGGAAAGAAGCTCAGAGGTGAAAGAATCGTTGTTCAAATTAACTCAGTCAGAAAAAAGTAAAAACAAATTTTTAAAAATGAATGAAACCTCTGAGAAATGTGAGATGACTTAGAGACCAAACCTATGACTTATTAGTGTCCCTGAAAGAGAGGGAGAAAGAGCTAGAAACATACAAAACATATTTGAGTATATTATCCATGAAAATTTTCCCAACCTTGCTAGATATGTCAACATTCAAATCCCAGGAAATTCAGAAAACCCCTGTGAGGTACTATACAAGACAACCACCGCCAAGACATATATTCATTAAATTGACTAAGGTCAATATGAAAGAAGAAATATTAAAGGCAGCTAGAGAGAAGTGGCAGGTCACTGACAAAGGAAACTCCATCAGGCTAATATCAGACCTTTCAGCAGAAATCCTATAAGCCAGATAAGATTGGGGGCCTATATTCAGCAATTCGTAAAGAGAATAAATTCTACATAAGAATTTCATATCCAGCCATACCAAGCTTCATAAGTGAAGGCTAAATAAAATCCTTTTCAGGTAAGAAAATGCTAAGGAAATTTTCACTACCAGACTTGTCTTATAAAAGGTCTTTGAGGGGGTGTAAACATGGAAATAAGACTTTTACTGGCCACCACATAAACACACTTAAGTACATGGACAATTAACGTAAAGGAACTACACAATGACATCTGCATAATAGCCACCTACAAACATGATGACAGGATCAAATCTGTGCATATTAATGTTAACCTTGAATGTAAATGGGGTAAATGCCCCAATTAAAAGGTACAGAGTAGCAAGACGGATTCAGAAGTAAGACCCAACTGTATGGTGTCTTCGGGAGACCCATCAACATGCAATGACACCCATAGGCTCAAAGTAAAGGGATAAAGAAAGATCTACCAAGAAAATGGAAAACAAAAAAGAACAGGGGTCTATTCTTACGTTAGACAAAGCAAACTTTAAGCCAATAGTGATCAAAAAAGGAAAAGAAGGGCATTTCTTTATCATTTCACAATGATAAAGGGTTCAGTTTAACAAGATGACTTAACTATCCTAAATATATATGCACCCAACACTGGAGAACCCAGATTTATAAAATAAATTCTTAGAGACCTATAAAGAGACTTAGATAAACACACAAAAATAGCAGAAGTCTTCAACACCCCACTAACAATATTGGACAGATTATTCAGGCAGAAAACTAATAAAAACATTCAGGACCTAAACTTAATACTTGACCAAAGGGACCTAACAGACATCTACACAACTGTTCACCCAACCACAGTGGAATATACACTCTTCTTAATTGCACATGTCATATGCTCTAAAATCAATCACACACTGGGCCATAAAATAATTCTCAAGAAATTAAAAAAAAATCATACCAACCACATTTTTGGACCATACTGTCAAAAATACAAACAAGAAGATATCTCAAAACTACATAATTATATGGAAATTTAGCAATCTGCTCCTGAATGACTTTTGGGTAAACAATGAAATTAAGGCAGAAATCAAGAAATTCTTTGAAATAAATTAAAACAGAGATACTACAACCAGGATCTCTAGGATACAACTAAAGCAGTGTTACAAGGAATGTTTACAGCATTACACACACCAAAAAGTTGTATCTCAAATTAACAACCTAAAATCACAGCTAGGGGAATTAGAAAAACAAGAGCAAATAAATCCCAAAGCTACCAAAAGAAATGAAATAACCAAAACCAGAGTTGAACTGAGCAAAATGGAGATGAGAAAAAAAAATCATGCAAAAAATCAAATAAACCAGAAGTTGGTTCTCTGATAGAACATATAAGATTGATACACCACTAGCTAGAATAATAAAGGGAAAAAAGAGAGAAGATCCAAATATACACAATGCTAATGGGGACATCACCACCAACTCCACAGAAATACAAAAAAAAAAAAAAACCCTCAAAGACTATTATAACAACCTATTTGCACACAAACCATAAAACCTAGAGGAAACTGATACATTCCTGGAAACATACATCCTCCTAAGATTGAATCAAGAAATTGAAATGCTGAACAGGCTAATAATGTCTTCCAAAAAAGAATAGGTAATTTTTAAAAACTTATTAAGAAGAAAAAGACATCGACCAGATGGATTCAGAGATAAATTTCAATAGACATGTAAAGAATTGCTGGTATGAGTCCTACTGTAACTATTCAAAAAAATCAAGGAGGAACTCTTCTCTAACTCATTCTATGAGGCCAGCATCATTGGGATACATAAAACCTGGCAAAGGCACAATAAAAAATAAATAGAACTTCAGGCCAATATCCCTGATGAACATAGAAGGAAAAAATTATTAGCAAAATAATAGCCAAGAGAATCCAACAGCACATCAAATAACTAATCCACCACGATCACATAGGCCTTATTCCTGGGATACAAAGCTGGTTCAACATACCCAAATCAATAAATGTGAATCATCACATAAACAGAAATATAAACAAAACCACATGATCTTCTCAATAAACGCAGAAAAGGCTTTCAGTAAAATTCAACATCCCTTCATGTTAAAAACCCTTGACAAACTAGTCATCGAAGAAACACCTCAAAATAATAAGAGCTATCTATGACATACTCACAGCCAACCCCATACTGAACATGAAAACGCTGGAAGCATTCTCCTTGAGAACCAAAACAAGACAAGGATGTCCTTTCTCACCACTCCGATTCAACATAATACTGGTTGTTCTACCCAGAGCAATCAGGCAAGAGAAAGAAATAAAAGGTATCCAAATAGGAAGAGAGGTAGTCAAACTATTTCTTTTCACAGTTGATACGATTCATACCTAGAAAAGCCAATAGTCTCTGCCCAAAAACTCCTAGCTCTGATAAACAACTTCAGCAAAGTTTCATGATACAAAATCCATGTATTATACAAAAATCAGTAACATTTCTATACATTAATAATGTCAAAGCTGGCAGCCAAATCAAGAATGTAATCCCGTCCACAATAGTCACAAAAGGAATAAAATACCTAGGAATACTGCTAACCAGGGAGGTGAAAGATCTAGACAATTAGAATTACAAAGAACTGCTGAAATAAATCAGAGCTGTTGCAAACAAATTTTTAAAAAGACATTTTTTATGAAATTGGAAAAAAAATCTAAAATTTATATGGAACCTAAACAGAGCCCAAATAGACAAAGCAATCCCAAACAAAAAGAACAAAACTGTAGGCATCACACTACTTAAATTCAAACTATACTTACAAGGCTACAGTAACCAAATCAGCATGGTACTGGTATAAAAACAGATATATATACCAACGGGACAGATTAGAGAATCAAAAATAAAACCACACACCCACCACCATCTTATTTCAACAGAGCTGACAATAAAAAGCAACAAAGAAAGGATTCCCTGATCGATAAATGATGCTGGGATAACTGGCTATGCAGAAGATTGAAACTGGACCCCTTCCTTTCACCATATACAATAATCAACTCAAGACAGATTAAAGACTTAAATATAAAACCTACAACTATAAAATCCCTGGAAGATAACCTAGGAAGTACCATTCTGTATTTTGGCTCTGTTAAAGATTTCATGAGAAAGTCTTCAAAAGCAATTGCAACAAAAAAAAATTGATAAGTGGTACCTAATTAAACTAAACAGCCTCTGCACCACAAAAGAAACTATCAACAGTAAACAGACAACGTAAAGGATAAGAGAAAATATTTGACAAACATACTTCCAGCAAAGGTCTAATATCCAGCATCTATAAGGAACTTAAACAAATCAGCAAGCAAAAAGCAAGTATCACCATTTAAAAGTAGGTGAAGGACATGAGCAGACACTTCTCAAAAGAAGACATACAAGTAGCCAAGAAACATGAAAAAATGGTCAACATCAATAATCATTAGATAAATGCAAATCAAAACCACAGTGAGATACCATCTCACAGCAGTCAGAATGTTTATTATTAAAAAGTCAAAAAATATCAGATGTTGGCAAGGTTGCAAAGAAAAGGGAACACATAGAGTGCCCGTGGGAATGTAAATTATTTCAGCTGCTGTGGAAAGCAGTTTAAAGATTTTTCAAGGAACTTTAAACAGCACTACCATTCGACTCAGTAGTCTCATTACTAGGTATGTACTCAACGGAATATAAATGGTTCCACTATAAAGACACATGCACATGCATTTTCATTACAGCACTATTCACAATAGCAAAGACATAGAATCAACCTAGATGCCCATCAGTGATGAACTGGATAAAGAAAACATGGTACATACACATTATGGAATACTAAGCAGCCATTAAAAAGAATGAAATCATGTCCTTTGCTACAACATGAATGAAGTTATAGGTCATTTTCCTAAGCAAATTAATGCAGGAACAGAAAACCAAAAACTGCATATTCTCACAAGTGGGAGCTAAACACTGCATACAAATAGACACAAAGACGGAAACAGCAGGCATCAGTGCCAAATCAAGGGTGGAGTGTGGGAGGAGGGTGAGTATCAAAAAACTACCTGTTGTGTACTATATTATTACCTCAGTGACAAAATAATTTGTACAACAAACCCCCTCAAAACACAATTTACCAGCATAACAAACCTGCATATGTACCACCAACTGAACTGAAAATAAAAGTTGAAAGGAATAAAATTGAAAATAATGTCCATATTATGTTAAACAATCTACATATTCAATGCAATTTTCATCCAAATATCAATATCATTCCTCATAGAAAGAGAAAAACTATCCCTAAAATTCATATGGAACCACAAGAGATTCTGAATAGCCAAAGCTTCCTTGAGAAAAAAGGAACAAAGCTGGAGGCATCACACTATCAGACTTCAAAATATACTACAAAGCTATAGTAAACAAAACAACATGGTACTGGCACAAAAACAGACACGTAGACCAATGAAACAGAACAGGAAACCCGGAAGGATGTCAAGGCATTTAATTCAACTCATCTTTTACAAAGGTGTCAAGAAGATACACTGGGGAGAGAACAGTTTTTTCAATAAATAGTACTAGGAAAAGTGTATGTTGTTGTGCAGAATTAAACTACACATATCTCACCATATACAAAAAATCAAATCAAAATAGATTAAAGGTGTAAATGAAACGCATGAAACTATTAAACTTCTAGAATAAAACACTGTTAAATCACTTCAGGACATTGGTCTAGGCAAAGCGTTTTTGGGTAAAACCTCAAAAGCAGAGGCGACAAAATCAAATACAGACTAATGGGATAACATGAACCTAAATAGCTTCTTCACAGCGAAGGAAACAATCAACCTAGTGAAAGGCACCTACAGAATGGGAAAAAATATATGCAAACTATCAATTTGATGAGGGAATAATAACCATCATATGTAAGCAACTTTCAAACAACTCAACAGCAAAAAAACAAATAATTGAATTTTTTAAATGGGCCAATGATCTGAATAGATATTTCACAAAAAAAGATATACAAATGGCCAACAGGTATATGAAAAAAATGCCCAACATCACTAATTATTAGGGAAATGCAAATCAAAACCACAATGAGATATCATTTCACTCCAGTTAACATGACTATTATCAAAAAGCCCAAAGATTATCAAATGCTGGCAATAATGTGGAGAAACGATAACGCTAGTAGATTGTTGGTAGGAAGCTAAATTAGTACAACCACTATAAAAAACAGTGTGAAGTTTCCTCAGAAAAATAAAAATAGATCTACCACATGATCTACCAATCCTATTGCTGGGTATATATCCAAATGAAATGAAATCAGTATATTGAAGAGATACCTGCACTCCCATGTTTATTGAAGCACTCATCATAGTATCCAACTATGGAGGCCACATAAATGGCCATAAATGGATGAATGGATAAATAAATATGGCATATGTACACAGTGGAATATTATTCAGCCATGGAAATGAATAAAATTCTGTCATTTGCAGCAACATGGATGGAACTGCTGGATGTTATGGTAAGTGAAATGCCAGGCATAGAAAGACAAATATTGGAGGCTCTCACTCATATATGGGAAGTAAAAAAGTTTATCTCAATGGCAGAGAGTAGAAGGATTATTACAAGAGCCTAAGAGAGGTAATTCAGAGAGGGATGATAAAGAGAGGTTGGCTAATGGGTACAAAAATAGATAGAATAAACAAATTCTAGTGTTCAGTAGCAAAATAGAGTGACAAAAGCTAACAAAAATTTAGTGGGTATTACAAAAGAGTTGGAAGAGAAGATGTGGAATGTTTCCAACACAAAGAAATGATAAATGCTTGAGGTGATGGATATTCCAATGATCCTGATTGCTCATTACTCACTGTATGCATATATCAAAATATCATATGTACTCCATAAATACGTACAATTATGTATCAATAAAAATATGAATGAATAAAAATAGACAAATCTCTTGTACAACATTTGAAGTAATTTATGTAGATATTTCTCCCTTGAGAAGGCCAGGGGTGATTCCCACACTTTAAGTGTGGGTGGTGAACAGTGATATCCTTCCAAAATTTATAGGACGGGCAGGGCAGGAGGAAAGTAACTTTATAGTGAAGAAAACTGAAAAACACTATCTCCAGCCAGCTGCTCAAGGCCATAATCAATAGTGATAAGACATGTTGATAATATGTACTCTTTGTATGATGTGATGAAAATGGTACTTAACCTCTGTGGTTTTCCTCTTAAAAATCCATAATCCGGCCGGGCGTGGTGACTCACTCCTGTAATCCCAGTACTTTGGGAGGCCGAGGAGGGCGGATCACGAGGTCAGGAGATTGAGACCATCCTGGCTAACACGGTGAAACCCCGTCTCTACTAAAAATACAAAAAAAAAAAAAATTAGCCAGGCTTGGTGGCCGGCGCCTGTAGTCCCAGCTACTCTCGGGAGGCTGAGGCAGGAGAATGGCGTGAACCTGGGAGGTGGAGCTGGCAGTGAGCCGAGATCGCGCCACTGCACTCCAGCCTGGGCGACAGAGCGAGACTCCGTCTCAAAAAAATAAAATAAAACAAAATAAAAACCATAATCCAACCCTAATCATGAGAAAAACATCAGACAAATCCTAATTGAGGAACATACTATAAATTATCTGACTCATACTCTTTAAAACTGTGCAAGTCATTAAAAACAAGAAAAATCTGAAACACTCTCATGGCCAAGAGGGGCCTAAGAAAACATTAAAGCTAAATGTAATGAGGTATCACAGATGGGAATTTGGAACACACAGACATTAGGTAAATACTAAGAATATCTGAAAAATATATCCACTTTGCTTAATAATAATATATCAATATTGGTTTATAAGTTGTAATAAATATGCTATACATTTGTAGGATGTTAATAGGGGAAGCTGGGTGTGGTATATATGACAACTCTCTGTACTATCTTCAAATTTTCTGTAATCTTTAACTGTTCTAAAATAAAACTTACTAAATTTAAAAAAGTTATTCTAGTAATAATGCACTACATTGGTAATGATAATAACAAGCAATAGGACTTACCATGTGCCCAGCACATGCAAGTAATACCATAGTACATATAATTACCACAGCTAACCCATAAAGGATATCTTAATAATTCCATTTTATGGATAAGAAAACTGGGGCTCAGATAAGTTAAATACCTTGACCAAGGTTACAGCAATTAAATTGCAAAGCCAAAACTCAAGTACATTTGGTCTGTCTCTAGGAGCTAGGCTCTTAATTACCTTACCGTTCTATCTCTTGAACATATTAATTTCATATTTCAATGTTTGGTTGAGTTTGAAAACATTGATGTGAAATGTTTTAGGAAACCCAAGAAACTGGGTCCTCTGAGAGACATCTGATAGAACAATCAGTGCCATTCCAGCAAATATGGGTTTTGTCCTGTTTTTTAAAAATGTTCTATACTCCTTTCTTCCAACTCTGCTTACTTTTTTTTAACCACATTCCTCAATTCCTGATCCTTTCCTCCCCTTTTCATTTCTCTGCTTCACTTTTGTCTGCTTAAACTTCACATAATTGACATTTTCCTTATTTTAAATTTTTCTTACTTTTTAAATAAATACAGTATAAATATAGTTGATATATCTCAGTGGCATATTGTTAATCTCTTTGGTGCCGCCAAAGAGTCATCATAGAATTAAGCAAAATAACTGTTGAATTTCTGCTTGATGAATTATACAATTCTGCATTCCCAAACTCCTTTTTGCTCATAGTTTCCACATCTTCTGCATATCTACATTGCCAGCATTTTTTATTTGTAGTTGATACGTAATGTTTGTACATATGTATAGGGTACATGTAATATTTTGTTACATGCATAGAATGTCTAATGATCAAGTCAGGATAGTTAGGATATACATCACTGTGAGCATTTATCATTCCTATGTGTTGAGAGCATTCCAAGTCCTCACTTCCAGCTATTTTGAAATGTATAGTACATTGTTAACAATAGTCGCTCTACTCTTGAACAAGCATACAGTTAGAGAGAAGAAATAAGTTATAATGTCCTATGGCAGTCTTTATTGATTACACCATTTAGGCATTTTATCCTATCAAAAATTAAAATAATCTCTTTCTATGCAAATGAGAATGTGGAGCGTGAAAAAATTCTAACATATCCTAAGGCCACAAAAAATGAAGACAGAATATTCATTAAAATGATTTGGCCTATATTTTTAATGCTTTCATATTTATACAATTTAAGAAATAGACTTAGTTTCAAATAAAGTTAATAAGACAGACTGCTAGAATTTATGGTCATATTTGCAAAGTAACCCCATAAAGTTCTTTAGGTCAATTTTAGTAGAAAAAAAATTCTTCTACCTATTATATTACTAAATTGTCTCAGCACCATCCTGAGACAAATACATAACAATATATAATATATAATCCATTTATATTTCCAATGCATATATATTTCCAATATAACCTCCGTGTCACTTATCATTGTTATATATTTTCTTTACAGGTTATATAATATAACATTTGTGCTGTTTCACAATAATTTTCCAGAGTTATATGGCCACCAGATTGGCCATAGGATAGTCAACTTAGTATTTTAAACTCTATGTTCAGCCAATTTTTGTACAATAGTTTGGATGGTCTGTTGTCAAGTTCATGTAGCTCTTAAGGTAATCAAATAAGCTCTAACTTTAAATTTTTTTCACATTAAAATATTATTCGTTATTATTTTTTTGAGATAGAGTCTCACTCTGTTGCCCAGGCTGGAGTGCAATGGTGCCATCTCGGCTCACTGCAACCTTCACCTCCCGGATTCAAACAATTCTCCTGCCTCAGCCTCCCAAGTAGCTGGGATTACAGGTGCCCACCACCATGCCTGGCTAATTTTTTTTTGTATTTTTAGCAGAGATGGGGTTTTACCATGTTGGCAAGGCTGGTCTTGAACTCCTGACCTCAGGTGATCTGTCCACCTTGGCCTCCCAAAGGCTGGGATTACAGGCTAAAATATTATTTTAAAAAGTAAATAATTACATGATATTTGAAATATATATTATATATACTCAACTTTGAAAAAGGCTATAGATCATCAATGAACTAAGCTGAAAGGAACTATCATCAGCCCTTTTCCTCTCTCTCTCTTTCTCTTTTCCTTTTTCTCCCTCTCTAACCTAGATTTGCAAATGCCAGCAAATAGGACAGAGCTCGTTATGAAGGCCATGCTGCCTATGTAATCAGTCCAATTAGATCTTTCCCACCAACAAATTTCTTCAAATAACAACATCCTCTATGAAAATCAATGCAAGAATCAACAAATAATCACTGAATACCTAGTAGAAATGGCTATAAATACATGAGGTTATTTTCCTTCTGATGATCTGAAAGGGAAGAATAATTACTGAGAACTCAGGCCTACATTTATGGGCTGTAACTTCAGCAGAGACGCAAACCGATAGCTCCTCAGCAGGGAATTTCATGAGCTGTGCTCATGTTTCAGAGATGAGTGCATATCTTTATCACTGTTTAATAGAGTTTAATAGTGTTTAAACCTGTTACAGCATGTAGTCTGGTGAAATGAAGCAGTTAAAAGTATATTGAATAGAAAAATAGTTCCCCTGGATATGTCTGTCCCAGATATATTGTCTATGGAATTCATCTCGTCATACCTTTAGTTAGAATTGTACATACCAAATGGACAATCCAAAGGAGGCCTGTGCAATTCTCCAAGTGGACTGCTTTCCATAAAGATTTTCAGGGTTCATCTGCTATGACTCACACTACTTTAGTTACTATGACTCACACTACTTTAGTTACTCTAGTAATCATTGCAAACATTTTCTTTTTCTTTCATCTTTCAGATTGCTGCACACTTGCACATATATTCTTTTTCTCATTTTCTCCTATCTTTTAATTTGGAAAAAAAATCATTCCTTTGTTTACTTCTCCTTTTGTGTGCATTGTATTCTGTTGGAACCTACACCATAACACCTTTAGTTGTTCGTCTACAGAAGCAGACATTTCTCTTGCCATCCCCAGCATTCTTACTTCTTTCTTGAGCATTAGCCAAATTTTCATTTGGTTATTCATTTCTACAGAACTCTGTTCAGGTGGGCCAAAAGAAAAGGTTTCACCTCCCACTATTCAGTTCCATGCATTGAGCATTATTTGACTGATAGCAAATCATAGTCCTCTAAACCCAACTGGTGGTTGAAGGTTGGGCATATCATGCAAGCCTATCAAATTGGAATTACTCTCAGAAATTTTACGGAAATTATTAAAAGACTGAACCCATCTTTGAAATAGTTTGTTTGTTTGTTTTTGAGATGGAGTCTTGCTCTGTCTCCTTGGCTGGAGTGCAGTGGCACGATCTCGGCTTGTTGCAACCTCCTCCTCCCGGGTTCAAGCAATTCTCTGCCTCAGCATCCCGAGTAGCTGGGATTACAGGCACCCACCACAACACCTGGCTAATTTTTCTATTTTTAGTAGAGATGGGGTTTCATCATCTTGGTCAGGCTGGTCTTGAACTCCTGACCTCATCATCCACCCACATCAGCCTCCGAAAGTGCTGGGATTACCAGCGTGAGCCACCGTGCTGGGCTTATGATAGTTTTATAGCAGCCATCTTCCTCCTACTACAGGATATATGTTTCTTACTAATTGGTGATACCATGTCATGCCTAGGAATGGAGAAAAATGTAAGAAGTAATAATATTTCAGAGAAATGAAATAAGAATATTTTCTAATTAGCCCCCAATTCAGTCATGCCTATACTGCCCTTAATCTCAGACTGTGTTATTATTTAAGACAGTAAAATCACTTTTAACTTTAAGCCATTTCAGGATGTGACTTGTTTCTCTTAAAAATTAAAGATAGCTGACCATTTAAATTTTTAGATTTTTAACATATTTAACTTTAAATGAAATAATAAGCCCTGTCCTATTTACTGTGTAAAGATGTGAGATAATGTTTGTACATTTGTTTTGTAAACAATGAAATACTATACAAAAGTAAGCACTATTATTACACTGTGAAATAAATATATTTACTATTAGCACTATTTGTTTGCCCTCAACACTAGATTTTTAGATACTAAGAATAACTTCCTCTGTATTCCAACATTTATAAATGCCTCAGCATTAACAATGCTTGTAAATTATACTAGCATTTTATTCTCTTCATTGCAAATACATGAAAACCTAAGACTCAGAAAGACTATGTTGCTTTCCCAAACTCACACTATTATGAGGTAGAATTTTGTGTAAAATACCAGTCTTCCATACTTTGAAATTAATGATCTTAACTGAGCTGACTCCTCTTGGGATATTTTTTCACCTTATCGTGACAACTGTTGGTGACTAGCTACCTAATGTAGAATTTATCATGGTATACAACATATACACTAACCTCAGTTATCAGCTTGGATTTTCCACCAGAAGCCAAAACTGGCAATACACTGTGCCTTTTAGATCCATACTACAGTCTGAGCTTATTGATCTATGGTCTGGGCTTTTGAGAATTGCCCCAACTGATATCAGAAACCCTAACCAGCAAGCCTTGCTCATAGTCCTAGAAATATTTCAAAGAATGTTCTTCCACATGTAGGTTATTTCAAATACATTACTGGATATCTTGTGAGACTAATCCATTTTTACTGACATGATTGGGAAATTCAAACATAAAAAGCCTAAGCCAAAGATCATATAGACATAGTTTTAAAAAGAGAAGGATAAGAAAAATGGCAGCAAGAGCTTCCTAAAACTTTTTATCTTTATAAATTTAAAATATTGGTCTAAAATCAAAATCTATAATTTAATCATTCTAAACAGAAATAAAGTCTTAGTAAATTAAAGATACATATTGGAACAAAGATACATATTGGCACAATGGTACACCTAGTGGAGTACCAGCAGTTAGCAACAAGCATGGTAGTTAGGGGCGAGTATCAGCCAAGCATACTCAATGACAGCATTCTCAGAACTCACAAGACCAAGCATGTAAAGACATTCTTGACTACAACAGTCTTAGGGTCAGAGAACTTGTTGATCTTATGCCATAAGGAAAGTATTATTTTTCCACCTTGGACAAATTTCAGTGATAAAGGTTGGGAAGGCAAGCTGTATACTAGAGAATGAAATGGGAGAAATTGAGGACATCTTTGTAAGCCAATTCCTTAGACAAAATGAAGACTCTTATAAAAACAGAAGGAAGATCCCAGAGAGAAAGAGAGAAGACGAAACAAAACAAAACAAAATAGGCAGAAAAAGAAATAGAAACCACTGTTGAATTGTTAATGAATGGAAGAAATTAATACAAGAAAAACTAAACAATAGTTATAGAACCTCTTTACAAAGCCCATTCGGAGCCTATCTTATTTTTCTTATCCTTCTGCCATTTTTCTTATCCTACTCCTTTTAAAACTATATCTACATGATCTTTGCGTAGACTTTTTATGACTGAATTTCCCAGTCATGTCAGTGAAAATGGATGTTTCACAAGCTATCCAATAATGTATTGGAAATAATCTAGGTGTGGAAGAGCAATCTTTGAAACATTTCTAGGCATATGACCAAGCCTTACTGGTTAGGGTTTCTGACATCAACTGGGTCAAGGCTCAAAAGCCCAGACCACAGATTAATAAGTTCAGACTCTAGGATAGGGTTTCTTCTCATTGGTAGTTAATCTGGCCACTCTTGGTCTTGGAACTGACAGTTAGCCTGTTTAATGATAAATCATAGGGTTTGTATCCTTCAGGAATTCACAGACAGGTGGAAACAAATCTAAACAAGGAAGTTATACTAAAATGAGATTAAAGTATGCATTGTATTCACAGGGAGGACCACTTGAAAAAATCTTCAAGGACGTATTTCTCCAAATGGCCTGCATAGCACATTTTCTTATGTCTTTATACATTTTCACCTGCCTGAACCATGCTACCAATGCTTGCTGAATACAAATTTATGACCACAGTTTTCTACATGCTAATGCATAGCCAAGCCAATTAGAAATCCAAAGGAGGCTTGAAATGGGAACAATCTGAATCTTGCAGCTATCAAACAGAATTAATGTGATATGATTTCCTAGAACTTAACAATTGGCATGTATACTTTTTCAAAGATAAAGCATAAAATATAGTAAGAGGTCAAGTTCCCTCATGGTATTATGCCCATGTAGAATTCTAAAATGTTACATATTATTAATAGCCTTTTAACATAAAATATTTTTATGATATTATGATTATTGGTTTTATGATATTATTTTTTTCTTCTCTGATAAGAGTGCAAGAAGGAAGCTATCTTTTCCTGTGTTGCTTACCTATGGCTGTCAAATACCAGAACAATACCTGGAACATGGCAGGCACTCAATAAATATTTATAGTTAAATAAAATAATACCTTAATTTGAGGGTAGAATCATGAAACTAAAGAAGGGGAAAACAAGGTGTATTGATATACATACACACACACACTCCTCATTAAGGGGAAGATATGGTCGAATTTCATTTTTTCAAATATAAATTATAAAAGTAAAATTTGGTTGATGGTGTTTGGAGGCTAGAAAGAACAGTTTAGCCTTTTTCTTATTTTATATTTCTTGAACACAAATGTAAAAAACATTTATATTATTTGGAATTCCTATTTAATTTTACTATGATTACTTTTCCTAGTTCTACTTTTGCCTACTGCAACTCCCAACTCCTTGTCATTTTTATCATTATGTGCATTTGAGTCATACCGCTACAAATTAGCAACCAAGAGAGCACATTCCATTTTATTCACCTGCTGATGGATTACATATCATTCTACATCATAAATGTATCTTGCACATGGTAGTCTCTGTCTCTTTATCTCACACCATACGCCTTTGCAGATATATTTTTATATTTTTTTCCATTACAGTTGACTAAGGAATTGTTCTAATTACCTATTTTTACTGATTCTCTCTTAACATTGAATGTTGTGCAATACAAACTCCCTGCTCTTAAATAGTGACTTTTTTTTTTGTCTTTTTTTTTTGGCTTAGTATAGAAAATAAATAATATCTTCTCCTTATGCTATCAGCCTTTAAGTGAGCCCTAATGGGATGCTAGGCAATTCATCAGAGCCATTGAGCTTTTCTTGGTGCAGTTTAAGAGGTGACAAAGGTAACAAATATCTGCAACCAACAGAATTTGAAGCAAATATATTGCAATTCAGAGTAGATGCTCACCGGAAGGAGACTGGACATGATGATGATGATGATAATGACAATAATTATTATTTACTGAGCACTTATATGCCCAGTACCATTTTTTAAATAATAGTCTCATATAATACTTGCACTATCATTCTGAGGTAGGTGTTATTTTATTTTCATCTCCATTTTTGAATGAGGGACCTAAATTTAAGAAGATTAAATAATAAAGGCAAACATTTGCTGTGTATGTATTGTGTGACAGATATAATGCTAAGTACTTTACATGTATACATATCTCATCTAAACCTAAAAACAGCTCCATAAAGTAAGTTCCACTTTAATCCCCATTTATCAATGAAGAAATATACACATGCAAAGGGAACTTGCCCAAGATCACACACCTAGTATTAGAGTAAGACTCAAATCCATTTGTGTCTTGCTGTTGAAACTTAGCTATTAATGACTTCATAATGCCTTTCTTTGATTTGTTTTTTATATGCCAAATTGACTTTGATGTCAAATAGAACTGGCTTTGAATCTTGGTTCTTAAATCCAGCAGCTGTCATTTTAATGTCCCTGAGACCCATTTTCTTCTATAAAATTAAATAGCAATAATAGCTACCTTATAGGATTGTTTAAGGGTTAAATGTAACACTGATATGCATAACATTTAGCTCAGGGCTTGGTACATACTAAATACTCCATAAAGAATAGTTACTATTATTATTTTTAAGATTTAGAACAAAAATAATTATTTACCTTAATAAATTGCTTAAGGTAAATATTAAAGCATGCTCAATACTAGTGCAGAAAATGACAATAATCATATCATAAAAGGAAATACAATTTTAGAAAGATAGTAAATTGTCTTACATCTGTATAGTGCTATGGAGTATGTACATTGGTGTTGTACAACTTTTTTCCACTTAATCCTAATTATTTTCCTTGGATTGAGTAAGGCAGTCTGCTCTTCCTCTACCACATGGGTAAAACAGAGGTTCTGAGTGATTATCCAAAGCAAAAAAATGACTAGCGGTTGAGCTGGGACTCTTCCAATCAACTCTCTCAATAAAAATCCACAATTCTCTCTATATTAAGTAAAGTGTACAAGAATACACACCACCCTACTAGTTTTATGTATAGTTGAATTTCTAAGTACAAAATCATTTTACATACTTATGTATTAGTTTCACAATATAAAAACTTAATGTGTATACAAACACCAGGTCCCATCAAGAAACAGACTGTATAGCACTAATAAAATTTTACAAACACTCATTCTAAAAGTCATACTCACTGCTACTTAAGAGAATAAATCTGACACTATCATACAGGAAGGAGAAAAATATACATATTTAAAATAAGAGAGGTCTTTGAAAAGTGCTATGGTTGGAGGAAGTTGATTTTCTTCCATTCATCTAAGTCAAAGCAATTGAAAATAACTCGCATCTAAAGAGAAAAAAAGATGCATATTAAAAAGCATAAGTGTATTCACTTTTAGGAAATAAGAGCTATCTTCCTTGAACAGACATCTTCATGTGGAATAATAAATCAAAATCAATTAGGTAGATATTTATATTTTAAAATATGATGCTTAGTTTTAGTTTCTGTATGTGAAAATGTTAAGTATTATTCCAGGACACTATTTTAAAAGTTTCAGATTTTTTAAAAATCAAAAATTAAAAAGAGACATGCTGAACTGTGTAAGTTACTTGTTGATTCTGGATATCAGATCTTTGTTTGATGCATAGTTTGTGAGGTTGTCACAAACCTGTAAGTTGCCAGTTTACTCCATTGATAGTTTCTTTTGCTGTGCAAAATCTCTTTAGTTTAATCAGGTCGCACTTGTCAATTTTTGTTTTTGTTGCAATTGCTGCTGAGGATTTAGTCATAAATCCTCTGTCCAGAATGGTATTTTCTAGGTTTTCCTCTAGAACTTTTATAGTTTGAGCTCTTACATATAAATATTTAATCCACCTTGAGTCAATTTTTGTGTATGGTGAAAGGTAAAAATCCAATTTCATTCTTCTGCGTCTGGCTAGCCAGTAATCCCAGTACCATTTATTGAATAGGAGTTCTTCCCCATTGTTTTTTATAAATCAAGAAACAAAAAACAAGTGACCACCTTAAAAAGTGAACCAAAGACATGAGCAGACACATCTCAAAAGAAGACGCATAAGCAGCCAATGAACAGGAAAAAATGCTCAACATCACTAATCATTAGAGAAGTGCAAATCGAAACCACAATCAGACACCATCTCATGCCAGTCAGAATAGCTATTATTAAAAAGTCAAAAAATAACAGATGCTGGAGAGGTTGCATAGAAAAGGGAATGCTTATACATTGTTGGTGGGAGTCTAAATTAGTTCAACCATGGTGAAAAGAAGTTTGGAGATTTCTCAAGGGTCTTAGAACTACCATGTGACACAGGAATCCCATTACTGGGTGTATATACCTAAAGGAAAATTAACAGTTCTACCAAAAAGATACATGAACTTACATATTCATTGCAGCACTATCTGCAATAGCAAAGACATAAAATCAACATACATGAATTGGATAAAGAAAATGTGGTACATATACACTGTAGAATACTGTACAGCTGTCAAAAAGAATAAAATCATGTCCTTTGCAACTACAAGGATGC
Source organism: Homo sapiens (assembly GCF_000001405.40). Lineage (NCBI taxonomy): Eukaryota > Metazoa > Chordata > Mammalia > Primates > Hominidae > Homo > Homo sapiens. Next base: position 31,511,843 of record NC_000004.12, on the reverse strand, counting down.
AGATGGAGGCCATTATTCTAAGAAAATTAACTCAGGACCAAGAACAAACTACCACATGTTCTCACTTATAAGTGGGAGTCAAACAACGGGGTACACATGGACATAAAGAAAGGAGTATACACTGGGGACTACTAAAGGGGATACCAAAAAAGTGAGGGAAGGACTGAGAAACTGCCTCTTGGCTACTATGCTCACTACCCAGGTAACGAGATCATTTGTATCCCGAACGTCAGCATCACGCAATATACTCATGTAACGAACCTGCATGTGTACTCCCTGAATCTAAAATAAAAGTTGACCTTATATTTAAAAAAGATATGCTGTTTATCAAACAAAACAAATGAACAAACATCTTCTCCCACCAGGCTCTGTTAACTAGGAAATATTAACACTTAGCAACTTCTGAATCTCAACACTGAGGAAAGTTGGAAAATGGCCATCACACACAAAAACGCAAGTACATTGGTAATAACTAAAAAGATAAAAAAGAAGTAATGCAAAAACACCTACTAAGTGTGTCATATTCTGCTTTTACTTTTTATTAAATCAGGCTCATAGAACATATTGAAAAATCCCACATGACACTTTCTTTTCATTGCCACCTAATCTTTTCCAAACATACATGCCTTTCTGGTACTCACTCTGAGATTAATCAGCCTCTCACTCAGTACCAAAAATGGAGGTCTTTAATAAGAAATTCCTCTACTCTCACTACTGTGTTTCTCTCTTCACTCAAACCTTTTTCCTTCCTTTTTATTTCAGAATAATTTTATTGATCCCATTCACTCAAACCTCCTCTGGGCTTTTAAAAAACTTTTCTTAGTGTTTTTACATATAATTTTTTATTTTTTCTTGAGTTTTGCACATCCTAATGTTATGCTTAAATTTCCTTCATGAAAAAAACATGTTTTTACTCCTTCTTAATGCCTTTTCAAGGAACCCTGTGAGCTTGGACACTGTAGCATGATGAAACGATCAAAAGATAATTCTCTAGATATTCTGGACTATGTAATAGTTACTGGTCACTTGATATGTGTTGGACATAGGGCTACATACTTTCAAGTACTTATTAAATTATCAGAAAACATTATGTATTTCTAATGTTTAAGTCTTAGATTGGATTTCTAAATTGAATACATTTTTAATTTGCATTTCTTACAAATGTATACTTGGAAATATTATACATGCTAGTCTAAATACAAGGCTAAATAGGATTAGTATGTCAAAATTTTATTCCATATCATTTTGATTTTTTCTACCTTAATTGGGCTTAGGTAAAAAGTTTGAAATGTCCTTGCAGAAAAACGTATAACAATAAAATTCTTAATCATTATTAACAATAACAATAATAGGTATCCCTGGAGTCCTGAATAAGAACGAAAGGAAACCTAGAATAAAGCTAATGGATTAATAGAAGACAGATTGATCCAGAAACAAAAAGCCTCCATGAGGTTTAAAATGTGTCTGTATTTAAAGAGAAAAACTGAGAGCTGGAAAAATGTCTGATCAGGTAATAGAATGTTGTAGTGTAAGACTTTATTCATTGTTCATTTTTGGATTATGACAAAGTTCTAGGTGTGGCCTTCAATATATGAAGGCATATGTGGCATGAAACTAAAGCCGTTGGAGTTGAAGAGGAGAAACAATTATAAAACATGGGGATTCAGGATGGGTGCAGTGGCTCATGCCTGTAATCCCAGCGCTTTGGGAGGCTGAGGCAGGCGGATCACCTGAGGTCCGGAGTTTGAGACCAGACTGGCTAATATGGTGAAACCCCATTTCTACTAAAAGTACAAAAAATTATCTGGGCATGGTAGCATGTGCCTGTATTCCCAGCTACTCGGGAGGCTGAGGCAGAAGAATTGCTTGAACCCGGGAGGCCGAGGTTGCAGTGAGCTGAGATCATGCCGTTGCACTCCAGCCTGGGCGACAAGAGCAATACTCCATCTCAAAACAAAACAAAACAAAGCATGTGGATTCAATTATTATGAATTCCCAAAGACACTATTATAGCCTAGGATAATGATGGCTCCAAGGACAGCCATGAAGTCAGTGACAAAATCTTTTGGTGAATAACTGAGAGTGATTATAACAATTCAGCTTATCTGAATTCAACAGTGTTTTTATCTAAGAATAAAGGATTAATAATTTGGAATGGTAATTATAACAAGGAAAAATATCCTTATTCCTGTTCTTGAAGGTTTCCTTCTTACCATCAATGTGTGGTGGCTAGAAGATCAACATAATTTTTCAGGGACCACAGGGGAGTCCATGTATTCTGTGGAGACCAGGATTTATTTAAGAAAAGAAAATAATGGGCAGAAAGAGTATTCATTGTAGTTAATTGTGGTGGAGCTAGTTAATAGATCAAAGAATCCAGATTTGGCAGAGAGGGCAGAAATAGAAGTGTGAGTTAAAGGAACATTGGATACCATTTCAAAGAGAGTATATTATTAAACTAGCTTAGCATCTCAAGGTAGTGAGTTGACAGAAACAAGAGGTGTGTTGGAATTATCTGCTATCAAGATACTTACAGGGACTTTCGGCAAAGGTCCATTCAAATTGGTAATAACACAGCCAGAAGTTTTGGTGCTGTTTGATGGTAAACAATGTTTTTTGCTTGTCGGCCAGTCACATTTATCATTTTGCTTATATTTTCACATACAAGTTTTGCTGGAAAAATTGTGAGTTTCCTATTTACTTGTCTTCCAAGGAGAAAGATATGTATTCCAAAAAGGAAAAGGGAGCAGAGAACAATGATTAAGTCCCTTAAATAATTTTTTTACCTATAAGATATTCTTTATAAAGAAACTCTAAATTATTTTTCAAGTGGAAGTGTATTTTCTTTATTATTTTGATACTTCCATATCTATTTTCCCATATTATTTTCTACTATTTCTGTAAATCATCCAGAAGCAGCTTATATCTGTTACTCTAAGCTACATATGTTTCTTATTATTGAATATTATCCTTGATCTTTTTCTGATAAAGCTAAATTGAACTGATATGACAAAAAAAACACACCTCTTACTGGAAATATTAATTATTCACAGACAGCATTCCAGTATCAGGCACCAAATAAATAAAGAAAAAATATCCCTAATTCTGCACAAGGCAATTTTGGGAAAAACAACATTCACAGTATTAGTCGTGTTAATAGTCAGAACTATGAGCAGTTTTAAAGGACAGATGTTATTCTTCTTTCTCCAATGCTGTTTAATGATTTCTCATAGGCATCCTTATAAGGCCATAGAGGTTAGAGTGGGGCAGACATGGGCTCTTCAGTCAAGCAGTCTTGAGTCGGCTTAACTCATTGATTGACATTTATTGGTGGTATTGGACTGTTTAATTTCAGAGCCTCCACTGTTAATACTACACTATATTACCTCTCATAGGATCAACTCACTTGGTGGTGATGAGAAATAAATGAAATATTTATCTTTTCTATGCTTTTCATTTATTTTATAGTATAGGACAATGAAGCAATTTTTTCAGGTTCCTGAAGCTATCAGGTGGTAGAACTGAGATTAAAAACAAATAAGCAAAAACAAAAACAAAGAAAAAACACTGTCTTAACTTCATATCTAGTGCAATGTCTTAATATAACATTTTTTCTCATCCTTGAGAACATGTTTTAAAGTATAATTGCTTTACTTAAGAAAAAAATCAATGAGGTCTATAATCATTCTGTTTTGAGTCCTGGAATTTTTTTTTCATAGTCGAAGAAACTAGTGATCTTGAGAACGGTGTTGTGCTTATACTGCAATCTGATAGTAATTATATGTATACTGCAAATTCATATAATTTTTCTCTATTTTTTGTTTCACATAGTTTTAAATAATATGCAGAAATCACAGAGGTACATTATTGCCAAGATATAAAGATCATCTGTTGAAATGATTAATTATTAATGTATTCACATGCTAGCTGATTAAAAATATTTAGTGTAAGTGTATGTATTAGGGTTCTCTAAAGGGACAGAACTAATGGAATATATATATATTTATATATATATATACATATATATGTATGTATGAATTTGTTAAGTATTAACTTACACGATCACAAGGTCCCACAGTAGCCCGTCTGCAGGCCGAGGAGCAAGGAGAGACAGTCCGAGTTCCAAAACTAAAGAATCTGGAGTCCAATGTTTGAGGGCAGGAAGCATCCAGCACAGGAGAAAGATGTAGGCTGGGAGGCTAGGCCAGTCTCTTTTCACATTTTTCTGCCGGTTTATATTCTAGATGTGTTGGCAGCTGATTAGACTGTGCCCAGGCAGATTAAGGGTGGGTCTGCCTTTCCCATCCCGCTGACTCAAATGTTAATCTCCTTTGGCAACACCCTCACAGACTCAACAAAGATTCAGTACTTTGTATCCTTCAATCCAATCAAGTTGACACTCAGTATTAACCATCACAAGTCCACCCCTTGTCAACATGAACCCACACACATCTCCTGATATCAGACATAATCTTCAAATAAAGACAATTAATAAGGTTGTAATTATGCCTAACGTAATACAACTATCCTTCATACAATCAGAAACGCACCACTCCCCAACCCAAATACTATTACATAAAGTTAACAATACACAAATGCTAATATGAAGGCAATAAATCTTATGTCGCATGATAAAGGAGAAAGGAAATAAAATGAAGATATTTTTTAGTAAAAGTGTATACATGCACAGACATGCTTTTAACAAAATAAGGAGGAAATACTCATGACAATTACAGTCCTCATTGCTGCAGCTGTTCATGTGGTCATAGCTGGTATTGATGACTACCTTCTTCTACTACCCATTCTGTATTCCCTTTGCCTTTAACAGGCACCTCAGCAGGTCGTGTGTTTTTTTCCTGGTGGAGTGACCCAAACCTTCATTCCTGAAAGGTCTGGGTCATTTGTGGTCCTGCCTGGATTGGACTATTGTAGTTTCTGATTGACCTTAATCACAGGCCATCATAATACTAACAGACACCCTAATGGATCTCCTGTATTCCATGCATACTCTTCCTTACCTCAGTTGTGGAGTAGTAGACTGATTTCATCTTGATAATCTGGGTCAATCGCCCCAGCCAAGTAACTCTCTTCTTAGCCTGTTGACTTCAAGGTAGGAGAAGCCCAAAGTGTCCAAGTGGCAATCTTAACTTCTAATTGAATGGAATCGTTGTTGTGTCTCCTGGCGGCAGTGTTTCTCCCTCTGGAACTAAGACCTTTAGGCCAGCAAAATATAATGTCATGGGAACAGGAAGCAAAAATTTTGCCAGTGGATCTCTAGGGGTGTTGGTGAGTCGTGCCACTTCCATTTCCACCCCTTGATTCCTGGACTCCTGAATCTTGGCTATGGGAGAAACAGTACCATATATCGGCCACTGATTCAGAGCATACACAGCCTTCTGGAGCACTTTGCCCCAGCCCTGCAAAGTATTGTCACCTAGTTACCATTGTAATTGTGACTTCAAAAGGGCATTCCAGCGTTCTGTCAATCCAGCTGCTTCAGGGTGTTAAGGAACATGATAAGACCAGTAAATTCCATGAACGTGAGCCCATTGCCGCACTTCTTTACCCATAAGTGAGTGCCTTGGTCAAAGGCAATGCTGTGTGAAATACTATGACAGTGGATAAGGCATTCTGTGAGTCCATGGATGGTAGTCTTGGCAGAAGAATTGTGTGCAGGATAGGCAAACACATATCCAGAGTAAGTGTCTATTCCAGTAAGGACAAACCTCTGCCCTTTCCATGATGGAAAATGTCCAATATAATTAACCTGCCACTAAGTAGCTTGCTGATCACCTCAAGGAATGGTGCCATATCAAGGGTTTGATGTTGGTCTCTATTGCTGGGAAATTGGGCAATCAGCAGTAGTCACAGCCAGGTCAGCCTTGGTAAGCCCATGTTGCTGAGCCCATGCATAACCTCCATCCCTGCCACAATGGCCACTTTGTTCATAGGCCCATTGGGCTGTGACAGGGTGGCTGGAGAAAGAGGCTGAGTGGTGGCCACAAAACTGATCATCCTTTTCACTTGATTATTAAAATCCTTCTCTGCTGAGGTGACCCCTTGGTGACCACTCACATGGGATACAAATAACTTCACAATTTTTGACCACTCAGAGAGGTCCATTCACATACCTCTTCCCCAAATTTCTTTATCACCAATTCTCCAATCATGCTTCCTCCAAGTTCCTGACCATCCAGCCAAACCATTGGTTGAAGCCCATGAATCAGTACATAATCGCATATCTGGCCATTTCTCCTTCCTTGCACAGTGCACAACAAGGTGCACTGCTCGAAGTTCTGCCCACTGGGAAGATTTCCCTTCATAGCTGTCCTTCAGGGATGTCCTAGAAAAAGATTGTAGTGCTGCAGCTGTCCACTTTTGGGTAATGCCTGAATATTGTGAAGAACCTGTGAACCAGGCCCTAGTCTTCTTTTCCTCTGTCAACTGATCACAGGGAACACCCCATGTAGCCATCGGTGCAGGCTAGGGAAGAAAAGGCAGAGTGGCAGGAGTGGAGACCATGGGCATTTGAGCCACTTCCTCTTGTAACTTACTTGTGCCTTCAGGACCTGCTCGAGCCTGATCACGCATATACCACTTTCATTTGATGATGGACGGCTGCTGTGCACAACCTACTTTATGGCTAGATGGGCCAGAAAGAACCCAGTTCATGATAGGCAGTTCAGGTTACATGGTGCCTTGATGACCCACAGTCAAATGTTCAGTTTCCACCAAAGCCTAGTAATGAGCTAAGAGTTGTCTCTCAAAAGGAGAGTAGTTATCTGCAGAAGATGGCAGGGCCTTGCTCCAAAATCCTACAGGCCTCTGCTGTGATTCACCTATGAGGGCCTGTCAAAGGCTCCAAACAACATCCCTACCTGCAACTGAAACCTCAAACACCATAAACACCATTGGATCTTCTGGGTCATATGGCCCAAGTGGCAGAGCAGCTTGCACAGCAGCCTGGACCTGTTGCAGAGCCTTCTCCTGTTCTGGACCCTACTCAAAACTGGCCACCTTTTGGGTCACTGGATAAATGGGCTACAGTAACACACCCAAATGAGCAATGCATTGCCTCCAAAATCCAAATAGACCCACTAGGCATTGTGCCTCTTTCTTGATTATAGGAGGGGCCAAATGCAGCAACTTATCCTTCACCTTAGAAGGAATATCTTGGCAGGCTCCACACCACTGGACCCCTAGAAATTTCCCTGAGGTAGAAGGTCTCTGAATTTATTTGGATTTATTTCCCATCCTCTGGCATGCAAATGTCTCACCAATAAGTTTAGCGTGTTTGCTACTTCTTGCTCACTTTATCCAATCAACATAATGTCATTAATGTAATGGACCAGTGTGATATCTTGTGAAAGTGAAAAACTATCAAAGTCACTCCAAATAAGATTATGACACAAAGCCGGAGAGTTGATATACCCCTGAGGTAGGACAGTAAAGGTATATTGCTGGCCTTGCCAGCTGAAGGCAAATTGCTTCTGGTGAGCCTTATGGACAGGAATGGAGAAAAAGCATTTGCCAAGTCAATGGCTGCATACCAGGTACCAGGTGTTAATTAGCTCAAGTAATGAAACCACATCTGGTACAGCAGCTGCAATTGGAGTCACCACTTGGTTAAGCTTACAATAATCCACTGTCATTCTCCAGGATCCATCTGTCTTCTGCACAGGCCAAATGGGAGAGTTGAACGGGATGTGGTGAGAATCACCACCCCTGCGTCTTTCAAATCCTTGATGGTGGCACTAATCTCTGCAATCCCTCCAGGGATGCGATATTGTTTTTGATTTACTATTTTTATAGGAAGAAGCGGCTCAAATGGCTTCCATTTGGCCTTTCCCACCATAATAGCTTTCACCCTACCAGTCAGGGAGTCAATGTGGGGGTTCTGCCAGCTGTTAAGTATGTCTATGTCAATTATGCATTCTGGCACTGGGGAAATGACCACAGGATGAGTCTGGGGACTGACTGGACCCACTGTAAGTCGAACCTGAACTACAACTCCATTAATTATCCGACCTCCAAAAGCCTCTACTTTAACTAGAGGACTACAATGACATTTTGGGTCCCCTGGAATCAACGTCAGCTCAGAACTAGTGTCCAGTAGTCCCCAAAATGTCTGACCATTTCCCTTTTCCCAATGCACCGTTACCTAGGTTAAAGACCAGAGATCTCTTTGGTGAAGGATGGGAGAAAGATTCATTGCATAAATTGTTGGTAATGCAGCGAGGTCCTTCCTCAAGGGGACACAGCCTCCTCTTCATTCAAGGTGTTCTTTGTCTGTAAACTGCCTTAAGCCTGGAAATTGATTGAGGGGCCATGATTCTCTATTTTTATAATTCAAATTAGTCTTTTGTCTATTTGATCTAGAAGTTTTCTGCTTATATAAACTAAGTATAAATGCAGTAGGCTTCCTACCAATTTCACTTCTAGGAACACCATTATTAATTAGCCAATGCCAGAGCTCTACAGGAGTCAGACTATTCTGATTGCCGCTTGCCTCTGCTGCCCATTATGGTAGCTATGCCTACCTTGCCTTTGATGATTGAGTGCTGCCACTTGGCCCCTGCCACCTTGGGATCTAATTATTCCTATTGTATTTAAATTTTGCAGTTGAGGGACTGTAGTTCCCATTGTTAGATATGACATACACAGAAAAGCAATTACAAGCCTCTTCAAAGATGCAGAAGCTGCCCTCACAAATCTATTTTTCAAGGCATTGTTCAAAGATATATCTTCTGGACCCTCTCAGCTGGGATGAGTAGGTCTAAAGTGACTAATCTACTCCACTATCCCAATCTCCCTAAGCCTTTGGATCTCTTCCTTTACATTAAACCAAGCGAGATCAGGCATTTCCAGCTCACTCAGAGTGGGCTATCTTTTAATCCATATTTTAGATAACCAAGCAAATAAACTACTAAAACCATCTTAACTCCCTGAGCTGCAATATTAAATATAGAGTCCCTACTTAGTGGGCCTAAATCAATAAATTCAGCCTGATCCAACTCTATGTTCCTTCCACCATTATCCCACACCCTTAATATCCATTCCCATGCCTGTTTTCCAGATTTCTGGTAATACAAATTAGAAAACTCAAACAGTTATTTTTAAGTGTAGCACCCCTCCTCATGGGTCACACTCTCAACCTCACCTCTAGGGGCCCACTGGGACTTTAGTCTAGTTATAGGTCTAGAAGCAAACAAGAGTGTTGGGGGTGACTCCTGAGGAGAATCAACATTATCTTGCCTGACAACTAACTTAGGAGAGGCAAGCACTGTTGTCTCAGGCAACACAGGGTTTATCTCCTCAGACAAAAGTGGAAAAGTTGATGGCAGCATGGGTCGGGGAGGGAATGTTGTCACTACTGGTGAGGGGGAAGCTATTTCTTCTGGCAAAAAAAATGTTCAATCAGAGTTTACAAACTCAGTGTCCCCAGCTTCATCAGGTCCTCCCACACATCCCCATTCCAAATTGCAGGGTCCCATTCTTTTCCAGACAATGCCCTCACTTTAACAGTAGACAACTAGCGAGACTGTGCATGCACCTTTCATTGCAGGTCAGCCACTCGCATGATAAGATCTTGTGTCTGTTTTTTCATAATTTCAGCTCTTTCTCTACAGGAGATAAGACTCTCACTCAGGGCAATCTTAGCAGATTTCAGCCTCAATAATTTTAGGGATAGAATCCCTGAGTTCATCATTTTCTTTCATCACTTTGTCCAGTAAACTGAGGAGCAACCAATCAGCTTCATTACATTCCTCAGTTCCCCATATATGGTCAAAGGTATCATGTACAGAGTCACTAAACTCCTTGGCTCTCACAAGCAATGAATCATGAGGGTCAAATGCATTTATTTTGCATAACTCTCTAAACAGTTCATGCCAAAGACTACCAGCGTACTCCATACTACTAGAAATAGAGTCCTTAGCATTTTGGAGTCTAATCATATTAAGCAACCAACTCCAGAAACCCCAAAACTAATGAAAGAACTCCATCCTTAATATTCTGTTCCTCTAGAACCACGCCTGGTACCAAAATCTATATTATTCAGGGTTCTCTAGAGGGATAGAACTAATGGAAAACGTGTGTGTGTGTGTGTGTGTGTGTAAAGGGGAGTTTATTAAGCATTAACTTACACAATCACAAGGTCCCACAATAGAACATCTGTAGGCTGAGGAGCAAGGAGAGCCAATCTGAATTCCAAAACTGAAGAACTTGGAGTCTGATGTTCAGGGGCAGGAAGCATCCAGCAACGGACAAAGATGACAAAGATATAGGCTGGGAAGCTAGGCCAGTCTCTCTTTTCACATTTTTCTGCCTGCTTATATATTCTAGCCATGTTGGCAGCTGATTAGACTGTGCCCACCCAGATTAAGGGTGGGTTTGTCTTTCCCAGCCAATTGACTCAAATGTTAATCTCTTTTGGCAACACCCTCACAGACACACCCAAGATCAATACTTTGTATCCTTCAATCCAATCAAGTTGACACTCAGTATTAACCATCAGAGTGTATTTTCTTTATCCAAAACTACATTGAGTGCTAGGATAAGACACAAACTCTGATTTCAAAAATAATTTTTTTTCTCAAATTTAATTTTGGATATATATACATATATGCACCACTATGTATACATATACACATATATATAATCCATTACAAATATTTTTTTACTCGTGTAAGATCTAAATTCTTTTACTTTTCAAATTTCTTACTCCTTATAACAGTAGGAAATTGAAGCATTGCCAAGGTCATCTCCTGGCCGACTGCCTCTTTTCTATAGTCCCATAAGCAGGGTTCATTGACCTGTCTCCTAGATACAGTTTCCCTAGATTCCAGCTTTTCTTGTTTTCTCTACTTAACAATAACCTAAATTTACACTTTGATAAATATCCTTCAGAAATTGGATTAGGACAGGAATAGGAATTCTGGTACCAGAATACAGTTAGCTACTGTGTATCTTGAATTCCAAAGAGATATTTACTAAATACAATCAGATAAATATAAGACTCTATTATCATACAGTGGAAATCTCTTGAGTGCCCACTAGGTTACAGGCATATGTTCCTAAAGATGATCTATTCATATTTTAAAGCTTTAATCATCTAAATGTTTCTGCCTTGGCTCATCTTCAATTAAATGCATCCTTTACTCCCCTTCGAGAGGATACAAATTCTACTCAGTTCTATTTACTTCAAAGATACATTTAAAAGATATAAGGATGGGGGACGGATCTCTGTTTTGAAATTTTGAACTCATGGGCTCACTTCCAACCATATTATTGTCACTTTGTGTCTGCTGAAGAAATTAATACCGTAAAGTTATAGGACTTTTTAAAATGTAATTAATCTGTGAAATGTTCCTGTATACAAATACATTAACTAATTTCATGAAGTCTATCTGAAAGCTTCATTTTTTGACACCATTCCAAGACTCATTAATAGCGTGCTCTCTTTAGTATATGAAAATGGTACATTGGTGCCTGTAATGCTCAGCATTGTTTGTAGGATTTTTTATCCCACATCACCTTATTGGCAGTGAACATCTACTAAATTATTCTTCTCTCTAACTTGACATCTTTTATTTTTAGCATTAACTATTTAACATGCAGTTCAATTGATGTATTTTCAATTTTTGGAAGCATATATATATATATATACAATTACATATAACAATAATATTTATCAAATATCAATAACACATTTTCATTAGAAAATCATTATGCTCTTTTTTATTTTTGTATTTTATAGTTTTTACAAAACTGAAAGATTTACCAGTATACTAAGATTGTTATAAATGGATGAAGATTCATAAATATAAAACAACATTACCACTCTCTGGTTTGCAAGGTAAGGGAAATGTCCTCAAAACAACAATAATAGTAGTAATATTAATAATACAATTTATGTTTTTACTAGTACTTTTCAATTCACAGGTATTTACAAAGACATTTGGAGAGATATTATCAACATTTTATAGAAAAGGACCCTCATCCTGACTATGCTATGTGAGTACATAAAAAAATTGAATCCAGACATTCCAACTGTAAGTTGAGTGCATTTTCCACTACAGTGAAAAGACAACAGGTGCTGGAGAGGATGTGGAGAAATAGAAACGCTTTTACACTGTTGGTGGGAGTGTAAATTAGTTCAACCATTGTGGAAGTCAGTGTGGCAATTCCTCAAGGATATAGAACTAGAAATACCATTTAACCCAGCGATCCCATTTCTGGGTATATATACCCAAAGGATTATAAATCATTCCACTATAAAGATGCATGCACACGTATGTTTATTGTGGCACTGTTCACAATAGCAAAGACTTGGAATCAACCCAAATGCCCATCAGTGGTAGACTGGATAAAGAAAATGTGTCATATATACACCATGGGATACTGGGCAGCCATAAAAAAGGATGAGTTATTGCCCTTTGTAGGGACATGGATGAAGCTGGAAACTATCATTCTCGGCAAATTAACACAAGAACAGAAAAGCAAACACCGCATGTTCTCACTCATAAGTGGGAGTTGAACAATGAGAACACATGGACACAGGGAGGGGAGCATCACACTCCATGGCCTGTCAGTGGATGGGGGGTTAGGGGAGGGCTAGCATTAGGAGAAATACCTAATGTAGATGACGGGTTGATGGGTGCAGCAAACCATCATGGCAGGCATATACCTATGTAACAAACCTTCACGTTCTGCACATCTACCCCAGAACTTAAAGTATAATAAAAAATTTTTTTAAAAAAGAGAGAGATTCAACCTCTGTCTTGCAACACAGCTAGGATCTGGGTAAACTGGAATTGGAAAGGGTGGAAGGGTGGGTGAGTTTCTGGGCAAGAGTTGGAACCAGGAAAGAGAAAGCTATGGGAAAAATAATAATAATATTCAAAGTACAAATGATTTTCATTTATTTTAGTAACTTTTAGCATAAAGACTCGTACATTGAGGAAATTTGTACTTCAATGACTTCATAGTTAAAAAGTATTGTAACTCAGTTCTAAATGTTCATTAGAAGTACTTTTTACTATCACTATATAATCTTTGTAAATGTCATTTGTGTATATTCTAATGAAGCAAGTTATGTAAAACCACAGTATTACTTTGCAATATAATCCATATAAAAACCTTAATTAGAAAGTCATGTAAATTTCCTTGTTACTAATTATCAAAAATTTGCTTCTTTAAAACTATCAGCTATTCATACTTGCTCTTCCAAAAAGGTCAGACATCTTTGTTTGGGAAAATTCAGTTACTACTATGATAACCCGGGACCACGAAATTTGTGGTTTTTCTTTTTAAACACACCATACACATTATTCATTCACGGCTATAACTGTAAATATCTAATATCTTCAGCTATTATCAAAAGGGTTTGCAAAGGGAATATTGGAAAAAGTATTTGTGTTTTCTGTTCCTTATTCAACATATATAGCCGCCTGATGTCAAGTGACTGAAAATAAATCTGCATAGTATGTTCAATATGAAATGAAGACATGAGTTTGAAATTAAAACACACATTATGAACATTGTAATTTTAAATTTTGCATTTCAAGTTTGAATGTTAAATTGCTACAACTATAAGAGTGACTAATCTTTTCATTTGAGAATGGTGCCTAATAACATTTAAAAAACAATACCTAGCTCTCTAGTTATTTTCTTGTCTAATGATCAGCCTTGCTGGCAATTAAAACTTTTTAGTAATAGAAAATTTTACAAATTAAAATAGTCCTAACCACTCCCTATTAATCAAATTTCTTTACACTTAGCAAGGCAGTCAATAATAAATAACTTCTTATTTGACCAGAAACTACTAGAGAAAAAAAGAATGTATTTTAGTGCATTAAAAAATAGAACATTTTATTCATTTATTTCAATGTTTTTACTCATTGTTTAATGAATATTTTATTGAATAACTTTTATTGAATACAATGCACTAGGGATACAGCAAGCAGCACAGAAAAATCTACTCTGGTAAAGCTTACGTTTCTGAAATAGACACAAGGGAAAAAAGTCAAATATATGGGAAAATCAAGTAAAAATAAGCATTATGCAGAAAAATAAAGAATGAAAGAAAGAGAGAGAGAGATGCATATTGTGTGGCTAGTTAAATATAGTGGTCAGGGAAGACACTGTTTATAAAGTGACATTTGAGCACATACCTGAAGAAGGAAGAGAACAAGACAAGGAGCTCTCTGGGGAAAGATTTCAGACAATAAAAGCCAAGGTACGGGGGTGGCTGACAAGGAGAGAGTAAGTAAAGGATTTGCGGGAGATAACGTCAGACATATGGAGAAGAGCAATCAGGTAAGGACTAATAGAATGTTCTAGGGACTTTCGTTTTTAAGCTGTATGATATAGGGACATATTAGAGGATTCCAAATAGGTAAGTAGTGTACTATAGCAAATTTTAGAGCAAACTGCTGACTGCTGTGTTGTGAATTGACCATAGAAGGCAGATAAGGGGTAGTAGATTACTTCTGAGCCAACTGGAAAATACCAGGCAAAATGATTAAAGCCACACTGGAATGTGACTTGGTAGGTGTTCATCTTTACAACTGAAAATGACAAGTAGACACGCTGAATCTGTTTTGTTTTGTTTGAGACGAAGTCTCGCTCTGTCACCTAGGCTGGAGTTCAGTGATGCGATCTCAGCTCACCACAGCCTCCGCCTCCCGGGTTCAAGAGATTCTCCTGCCTCAGCCTTCCTAGTAGCTGGGACTAAGGCTCACACCACCACACCCAGATAATTTTTTTGTATTTTTAGTAGAGACGGGGTGTCACCATGTTGGCTAAGATGCTGTCGATATCTTGACTTCATGATCCGCCCACCTCGGCCTCCCAAGGTGCTGGGATTACAGGCGTGAGCCACCGCGCCCGGCCCACACTGGATCTATTGCTTTGGTAGCACCAATAAGCTTTTCTGGCAGATTAGATGTGGTGAGGGAGATAACAAGAAAATCCAAGAATTCCTTCCCAAATTCGAGCAACTGGATGCGGAAGATATTTGTAAAGAAGAGTAACATTGCAGAGGATATTAGGATTTGATTCTGGAAACACGTTAAATTTAAACTGCCTGTCATATATGTAACTGGAAATATTGAGTAAGTAGTTGGATACATGAAGCTGGAGTTCAGGGACATGTTCTGGGCTGAAGATGTAAATTTGGAAGTTGCCATTGTATAAATTGAATTTCGTGTAATAAAACTAGATGAAACAATAAACTGGGTGGAAATAGGCAAGAAGATCAAGAAACATGGTCTGGGGTACCCCAACATTAATCGCTCAGGGGGTAAAAACCGAAGAGTTAACAAAGAAGAGTAAGAAGGTAAATTTAGGAGGATATATTTTCCTTAAAGCCAAATAAAGAAAATGTTTCAAGGAAAAGGGAGTGATCCACTGCTAATGTTTGGGTTAAGATGAGGACTGAGAGCTAGTCCTTAGATTTCGGAATTAGGAGGTTGTTGATGATTTTGACCAGAACATTCTTACTAGAGTTTCAGGGATGAAAGTTTGATTGCCATGGATTCGATAAAGAAATAAGGAAGGATTAGAGAGAGTGTGTATAAACATTCATGTTGGGGCATTTTCTTATGCGAGAGCAGAGGAATAGGATATTGGAGGAAAGTAAATATAAAGAGGATATTTTGTTTATTTGCTTTTTTTTTTTTTTTTTTTTTTTTTAGATGGAGTGTCGCTCTGTCGCCCAGGCTGGAATGCAGTGGAATGACCTCGGCTCACTGAGACCTCCGCCTCCCAGGTTCAAGCGATTCTCCTGCCTCAGCCTCCGGAGTAGCTGGGATTACAGGCACGTGCCACCACACCCAGCTAATTTTTTGTATTTTTAGTAGAGATGGGGTTTCACGGTGTTAGCCAGGATGGTCTCGATCTCCTGACCTCATGATCTGCCCGCCTCGGCCTCCCGAAGTGCTGGTATTACAGGCTATTTATTTACTTTTATGATGGTATATTCTTATGTCGATGGGATTGATCCAACAGACAAGAAAAACAAATTATGGCATCAAAGAGAAAGGAAAATTGCCAGAATAATGTTCTTGGCTCACTATTACGGATCTAGCACAGGAGAGGAGTTGGCTTTTAATAGCAGTACAGATTTTTTTTTTTTCATAATAATAGGAGGAAAGGTAGAGTACTTAAGTCCAAGTGTAGCTACACCGGTACATGTTTTGATGGGAGCTTATGTAAATTCTCTTTTGATTGGTTATATTTTCTCAGTGAAACACTATTTGAGCTTGAAAATGAGAGGTTTCAGTGGTTTTAAGAGAGAGAAGAAGGTATTAATTAATTAATAAAGTCATCAAAGAGAGTAGAAGAATGGTTAAGGAAATTTAGTAGGACTAAAATACTACTAAAGTACTAAGTAGGACTGTCAGCCAACTGAAATTATTGGCTACGATTTTAGTTTGAAATTAACCTGACTTGTGTAATTTTCAGATACAGGTAGTGCACTCCTAATCCAAAAATTCAAAATCTGAAATGCTCTAAAGTCTGAAACTTTATGAATATCAACATGATGTCACAGTGGAAAATGCCACACCTTACCAATGTGATAGAACAGTAATAACTGTGTCACATGCACAGAATTATTAAAAATATTACATAAAATTATCTTAAGGCTAGGTGTATAAGGTGTATATGAAACATAGTTGAATGGAATATTTGAACTTGGGTCTCATATCTAAGATATCTCATTACATACATGCAAATGCTCAAAATTTTGAAAAATATTTAAGTCTGAAACCATTATTGTCCTAAACATTTTAAATGAGGGATACTCAACATTTATTTCTGAAAGTCAAAATAAATAATTTGAACAGAAAAGAATCATGGCCTGGTATTAAAACAGTTAGGTGTTAGCCAAAAATAGCAGACTCACCAGAAAGTCCTCAAAGCCAAGTTTCACACTGACCGTAGAGATCTCAAGACAATCATGATTTTGGATTTTTACATGTAGGATATAAGTGCTTATGTAACAAACTCCAGTTTGAAATTACTTTCTGTGTTCTAGATAATGTGGTCCAAACATTTTTAATACCATGATTCTCTAATATTGAGTAGAGCTTTAATAGATGTATATTAATTTATCATATGTGATCTATATGTTATATACATTTTTATACATGTATTAAGACAATTATGTGGTAATTATATACAATATATAAAACAAAAATAAAAATAAATATATAAAATATATGATATATTGTATCATATATATATCTATATATACACAGTATATAGCATAACAAAAATAGAAATATTTATTTTAAGTATTCTACATTTTATATATAACTTTTTCACTAAAATATAGCATTAATCACATATTAAAGAGGAAATTATGTGTGTGCTTCATTTTAAAAAAAATTTCAATAAACATGCAATCATAAAGCAATTTAGAAGCCTGACTCTAAATTCTCTTTCCATATTTGATTATACTGACTCTCAGAGCTGAAAAGAAAACCACTTCAGAAAATTATAGTTTTGATGAAAGAATTATAAACTAATTATTTTTAAATTATGTTAAAATAGACATAACAAAATTTGCCATCTTAATTATTTTTGAGTGTACATTTCAGTAGCATTAAGTACATTCACGTTATTGTGCAACCAATCTCCAGAAGTTTTTTCATCCTGCAAAAACTGAAAGTCTGTACTTATTAAACAACTCTTTTTTTTTCCTACCCAGCCCCTGGCAATTATCATTCTACTCTGTACTTAGAAATTTGACTATTCTACGTACCTCACATAAATAGAATTATTCAAAATTTGTCTTTTTCTGACTGGCTAATTTGATTTAAGGTAATATTCTCAGGCATCATTCTTTTCATTGCTTTTGTCATCATTGCCTTTCTGTTTAAAGGCTGAATAATATTCCTTTGTATACATAGACCACACTGTGTCCACTCACTCATGAATGGACATTTGGGTTGTGTCTACCTTTTTGCTATTAGGAATTATGCTACTGTAAACATGGGTGTACAAATATCTTCTCAAGAACCTGCTTTCAATTTGGGGAGTATACACCCAGAATTAAAAACTGTAAATTCTATTCTGAATTTTATTTTATTCTATTTTTAATTTTTGAGGAACTACCATATTGTTTTACACTGAAGCTGTAGCATTTTACATTCCTACCAACAGAACACAAGGGCTCCAATTTTTCCACATCCTCACTAACACTTGTTATTTTTATTTATTATTTTTGATAGTAGCCATACTAACGGTGTGAATTGGAATCTCATTACAGTTTGGCTTGGTATCTCCCTAGCATGTGGTGATGTTGAGCATTTTCTCATGTGCTAATTGGTCATTTTGTATATCTTCTTTGAAGAAATGTCTATTCAACTCTTTCACTCATTTAACAAAATATTTTTATTTTTTTAAGAGATGGGGTCTCATTCTATCACCGAGTCTGGAGTGCAGTGGCATGATTACAGCTCACTGCAACCTTGAACCTCTGGGTTCAAGTGACCCTCCCATCTCAGCCTCCGAAGTAGCCAAGACTATAGGCATGTGTCACCACGTCTGACTATTTACAGAAATTTTTTGTAGATCTCCTTATGTTGCCCAGGCTGATCTCAAACTCCTGGCCTCAAGTGATCCACCCACCTTGGCCTCCCAAAGTTTGGGATTACAGGTGTGAGCCATCATGCCTGGCCATACACCCATTTTTCAATCAGGTTGTTTGTTTCACGGTTTTTGAACTGTATGAGTTCTTTATATATTCTAGATATTATCCTTTTATCAGATATGTCATTTACAAATATTATCTCTTATTCCAAAGATTGCCTTTTCATTCTTTTGATTTTTAAAATTATGCTTCAATTATTTAAAGATTTTATTCAAAATTCAGGCTTTTTCAATTTCCCTGATATCCATGCATTATTTCTTCTCGCTAATTGAATTTTGTTGCATATTAATATTTTTATCAAATGCATTCAAAATCTAATGACACTCTTATTTTGAAAGATGTTTAAACAGGTTGAAAATCTCCTTTTAAGTGTTGTATGTGGACAAAGAACTTTACAAGTGACAGAATTTCTGGAAGAAAATTAAATAATGATAGAAATATTTCCAAATATTTGTTTCAAAAATATTCTCTCCATGACATTTGTTTTATCAAAAAATAAAACACCTTATTTTAAAACTTTATCTTAACTTCAAAGGAATTTATTTTATGTTTTTTGTAACTATCTGCTTAATAGTGTCTAGTAATGGCCACTTGAAGGCCTGCAAATTTCTGACACATATTTTGGAAAACAAAATCTCAACTTTATATTTGACAACTCTTAAGAACGTTACCAAGAACTACGCAGTGAAGTCCTATGTGCTACAAATACTGCTTAATATAAAAGTATTTCATGAATTTCAAGATCTATATTATTTAAGATTATTTTTCTCAAATAAAATGGATTTGATGAAATAGACTTTTAATGCTTTCTGCAGTGAACGATGATGCAGTGCATGCATTTTACATGTTGTATTATATCTATAAGCTTACCACTGTGATATGGTTTGGCTGTGTCCCCATCCAAATCTCATCTTGAATCATAACTCCCACAGTTCCCACGTGTTGTAGTAGGAACCCAGTGGGAGGTGACTGAATTATGGGGGCGGGTCTTTCTTGCCCTGTTCTCGTGATAGTGAATGAGGCTTACAAGAGCTGATGGTTTTAAAAATGGGAGTTTCCCTACACAAGCTCTGTCTTTGCCTGCTGCTATCCATGTAAGACTTGACTTGCTCCTCCTTACCTTCCACCATGATTGTGAGGCCTCTCCAGCCATGTGGAACTGTAAGTGCATTAAATCTCTCTTTCTTTTGTAAATTGCCCAGTCTCGGGTGTGTCTTTATCAGCAGTGTGAAAATGGACTAATATACACTGTTTTTCTTCTTTGGTTCCCAAATACAATACCTCATCAATGACTAAAATGGTTAAACTAATATGGCTTTTATTAAAGAAAAAAATGTTATTGAGAATATAATTTATGGTACATAGTTTCTTTGATATTTCAAAAAAAAATGTGACCTTTTTGTATTTCCTCACAGAAGTAGAATCTAGCAAATACTGTATGGTGAGACATACTAAACACCTGTACTTCCATCTAGTTTTATATATTTGCCATCACAAAAAAGAAAAGAGCCCGCATTGCCAAGTCAATCCTAAGCCAAAAGAACAAAGCTGGAGGCATCACACTACCTGACTTCAAACTATACTACAAGGCTACAGTAACCAAAACAGCATGGTACTGGTGCCAAAACAGAGATATAGATCAATGGAACAGAACAGAGCCCTCAGAAATAATGCCGCATATCTACAACTATCTGATCTTTGACAAACCTGAGAAAAACAAGCAATGGGGAAAGGATTCCCTATTTAATAAATGGTGCTGGGAAAACTGGCTAGCCATATGTAGAAAGCTGAAACTGGATCCCTTCCTTACACCTTATACAAAAATCAATTCAAGATGGATTAAAGATTTAAACGTTAAACCTAAAACCATAAAAACCCTAGAAGAAAACCTAGGCATTACCATTCAGGACATAGGCGTGGGCAAGGACTTCATGTCCGAAATTGATTTCTCAATGATATTTGGATTATATTTCTTACACCATTAAGTAAGAAATTGAAACTATTATTTGACGGAGTATCTAACAACTGAAATAGTTCAGTTACCACACTGGTTAGTGCTTTTCTACCAGAATAAAACACTATCAATAAGTTTAATTACCACCAAATTTTTGGTAATTATAATTAAAACATCTTTTTAAAATAAACTGATAAAAATAGAATTCTATATTATTAAAATGTTAATACCATTAATTCAATTTGATAGATTTGTCAGCTTATATGGATTATTTTTTAAAAGTACAATTCAGTTAGCTTAGTTAATTTTGACAGTTTTGTCCACTTCCTTGATTCAATTTTGACAAGTTTGTCCATCACGAATTTGCAAAATCTAATGAAAAATTGTGACAATATGTTTTTCACAAATGAAATTTATTTAAATATTAATCAATGTAAATTTTTTAAGTAAATACAAAGCTATTCTATTAGAATATACGTTTGTTTTTTAAGACAGAAGTACTATTTTGGTCTATAGCAATTGTTGAATATCTTTAAAATAGGAAGTGGTGGGTTTTTTTTAAAACTATTTTTCTTATTCAGATTAAGAAAAAGTGATTTATGTAGGATGAACCTAATCTATTGAAACATCTATTTTTTAACTACAATATTGTACAATATTTTATAATATTAGATTTGATTGAATATTTAAACCCAACTGAATCCAGTCACTACAAAGTCTTTAAACTGTGGTAAAATATTCAACATACCACAAAAAATCAATTCTAATCATGACAATATTTAAGTAGACTTTTATTTTAGAATATTTTTATGTTTACGAAAATGTTGCAGATAGTACACATAGTTCCCACATGCCCTGCATGCCCAATTTTCTCAAAGGTTGTTACCTTATATAACCATAGTAAAATTGTCATAACTAAGCAACTAATATTGGTATATTACCATCACCTGTATTCCAGAATTCATTCAGATTTCACTGGTTCTTCAACTGATATGTTTTTTTCAATTCCAGGATTTAATTTAAGGTACCACATTGAATATTCATTGTGCCTTCATAATCTCCTGTGTTCTATGACAGTTCCTCAATCTTTTCCTGTAAAACATATTTGAAAGCAAACAATCTAGAATTCTCCAATTTGCGGAGATATATTAGTAGTTAGTTAATATCTTTATTTACCAAAGCATTTGAGTCTTGTCAAATCAACTTATTTCTTCGAACAATGTAGAATTTCCTGCATTGTCTATAGCAAGAAGTAAAATAACAATTAAAATTTGTGCACAAATGTATAAACTTCTAACCTGATATGAGAACAGACATAATTTTCAGACTCAAAAATATGCAAAAAATAGAGTTTGATTCGGGCATGTAAATGAAAAAATCCATTTTTCTGGTGAAAAAATGATGAAAGGGGAAGAAGTAGTCCTAAGGGAGATTATAATTTTCAGATAAGTTTTAGTAAACTCTATGCTTTCCCCCCTCAAGAAATAAATCTAAGAAAGTCAAAGTAAGTTTGCTTTAGAATGGCCAAGACTTTTATAAATTTTTATTAGGAATTTGATTTGAAAGAAGCAACCAATCAGAGGCAATAATTATAATTTATAAAATTTATCTTGAAGTAATATTTTAAATGGAGTTATAGAAATGAGGAGCAGGAAATAATCTTAATTTTAATTATCACTAAATCTATTTTTTTATTTTATAGAAGAATAAATGAATATTTTATAGATGAATAAATCGAGATCCCAGAAGTCTTAGTGACTTTAAAACTAGGAACAAAAGAAAAACTTAGTAAAGACTTCAGAAAATACTCAGTTTTTTGTTGTTTGTTTGTTTTGTTTTTTATTGACAAGGAAAGACATGGTGCTCTTTATCCTTCTACCAAATGAGTAGCCTTGCAGGTTTTGAAAACACAGAGCTAGAGTAATATAAATTGCCCAAGTTGTTAGGAATAATACTGAAATATGTGTGGAGACAGAGAACTAGCTGAATATACAAAGGAAGAACACAGATCCACAGAGAACAGGTAGCAATTTACGACAGTTGAGCAACAGACACAGAAATGAGACTTAGCTTAAGTGAACCAAACCACAAGATATGTGTACTCAGCATACTTTCTTTTCTTCAGAATTGGCTTGTTGCAAAATGCGACTCTTGCAGTGATAAAAACTCTTTTTGTTTGAACTGTTTGAGAGAAATGATTTACAGATTCACATATTAGGAGTTTTTTACTGTGGAGTTTACATTCTTGTTATTTAATTCAATTTTGGTTGGTTAATAGGTTGGTGATCATGGAATACCTTGAGAAAGTCAAAGATGAAAAGGTAGAATAAACATTTCCCAAAGGACACTGTGGAGTCATGCACAGTCTTAAAATCAGAAACAGAAGATCTTTCTGAGGCCAGCTCTACCGCTCTTGCAATCAAACACCTCGATTGGCAAGATGGAAATAAAACAACAGGCTTATAATTATTCTGAGATCTTGTTTAACAAAGAGTAAAACTGGGAAAGAAAAGATGGGGGAAAAAAAAAGGGAAAGACAGCCAAATACTCCAATTAACTCAAGAGCCAGGGAAGGAAGAGAAAATGAACAAATTCCAATTTTGGTCTATCCATAAATAGGTGGCATCTCAATTCATTTCGGAAGGGACATTAAACTCTATACATTCTCTATCCAATTATAAGGACATTTCAGACCAAGGACAAACCTCCCAGGAAGATACCAAAAAATACTTGCTCATGAAAATCAACAGTTGTTAGTGGGGTGGTGGGGGTGGCAGTGGGTGGAAGAAAAACATGGTATGTTGCAGAAATAACTCAACACTATTTCTTATCCTGAAGACAAATTAATATTTGGTTTTTGCAAGAATAACTCTATGAAATTGGAACATTTTTGCCGTGTTTGCTTCACAATTTCTCCTTAAGTGGAGGAATCTACGTAAATTATTTGGAATTTTTCTGCTCCAGAGATTTGTCTATTCTCACATATTATTTATTTAATAATTTATTTGTGTTAGTATAGATAATTGTTTTTATTAACTTGGATTATAATCCAATACTACTTTATTTATTTTCTTTCACTAATTATTCCAACTTAACCATTGGGAACACTTTCATTTGGCTCCTGGATCTCTTTGACATGCTGGATCATTGTGGAAGTAGAGCACTGGTGTGTGGACATCTTCATTTTCTGTCACTAGTAGATGTCCAGGCCTCTGGTAATTTTGTTGGAGAATGGTATTAGAACCCAAGATCCTGGGGACAATGTATGCCAATTGCTAGTGAAGTCTCATTGTCTCTAGGTGCTTGCAACTGACATACACATATCCATAAATAATTCCATATGAAAATTATATTCAGATCAAGCTAAACATGAGTTCATACTGATGACAACTCTAATCTATTACTACAGGTATAATTCTAGCCTCTTCTTCCTGCTTATCGGTAACCTCCCATTAAACCAGTGAAAAACCTGGCTCCGACTAGCCACTATTCATTTACTCAATAGTTTAATTGCATATGCATATACATTGGTAACAGAAATGTCAACGTGAATCCACATGGAGAACAAATTTTTCAACTAAACTATGCTGATTTTGTAACACTCCATTTATTTCCAGAGTTACTTAGATTAGCACCTTTTCCCCCAACCCTTCAGTGAGCTGTTTCATGCATTTAATACAGTGAGATTCTTATGTTAAATCCTTCATTCCCAACTGGGGTCTCTGAATTCCTAAATATACTTTTAAATTTACATACACTAAGGTTTACTTTAGTGCTGTAATGATCTATGGGTTGTGAAAAAAATTACTATTGTATATACACCATTATGGTATCATGCATAACAGTTTCAACATCATAATAACAATCCTGTGCTCCCTATATTCAGTCTACTCTGCCTTCTGCCTTAAACGCCTGTCACCTCCGACAGGAGGTACCTCCTGTGTACCATCTGTATAGTTTGCCCTTTTCAGAAGGTCATGTATTTGGAGTTATAAAGTATGGCTTTTTCAGACTGGCTTCTTTCACTTAGATATATACATTTGAGATTCATTTATATCTTTTTGCGTCAGGATTCAGCACGTACACTGTCTATATGCCATTAAATATATCCTGATTACTATAGCATTGTATGGATGTACCACAGTTTGTTTATCCACTCACCTATTGAAGGACATCTTGGTTGCTTCAGCTTCAGGAGATTGTAAATAACACTGTTATAAAATGCATGTGTAGATTTTTGCATGGAAATGTTTTCAAATCATATGCATAAATGCATTATGCAATTGTTAAATGTCTTACAAACTGCCCGTACCATTTTGTGTTTTTACCAGCGATAAATAAGAGTTGCTGTTATTTCTCATACTCACAAGTAGTAGATATTGTCAGTTTTAAGATTTTTGCCATTTTATAGGTATATAGTAATATGTCATTGTCATTTTAATTTACAATTTCCTAATGACAAATGATATTGTGTATTTTTTGTATGCTTATATGACACCTGTATATCTTTTTTGGTGAGATGTCTGATCAGATTTTTTGCTCATTTCTTAATTGGCTCTTCTGATTTTGTATTGTTAATTTTTAAAAGTTATTTGCATCTTTTGGATACATAGTTTTACATATTTGTGTTTTCCAAATAATTTCTGATCCAAGTTTTTCACAGAGTAGAAAATTTTAATTTCAATATAATCCAACTTACCAATTATAGAAGATCTCAGCCCTGACTCTTTGGATTCATCTATCTTTCCAGATGGAGGGTGCCAGCTCTCCCTACTACAAAGTCATGTATTTAATGGATCCAAGAAAAGTTGTTAATTTTCATTTCATTTATACTATTATTTTCACAAGGACAGGATTGATGGTTTCTAAGCCTCCACATGTTGGAGCTGAAATTGGAAATAAATTTTATGGATTTGTATTTAAAATTGAAAACATTAAAATAAATCTTTTCTGCTATAAGGTGTGGACAAATTAAGAACTGCGGTGAAATATTTTGGACTATAAAATTCTAATAATAATATATTCTCAGAAAAAAATTATTTGATATGGTCTGAGTTTTAAAAATGATGGTATTTTTGTGGTAGCTTGGTGAGAGCTCCATGGAAAGTATCTTCATAGCCATTCTGGTCTGCTTTCCATGTAGCACTTAATTATATGCTTTTTTTCATAATGAAATTTTATAATGGATTGTTTGCTGAACATAGCATATATCTGCCCATGGAATTACACCAACAGTGCTTGTATACTCCTTATCCACATGTTGTTTACATATGTTGATGTAAAAAAAATGATTAGTAGTTGTGCTCATAGCTTTTAAATCTTCACAAAAAGACAATACTGAAGTGGCACTATAAAATTACATTTTTCCCAATCTCTAAGAAATTTTATAACTGAATTGTGCCTGAAAAATAAAAAGTTTATGTGTTTATTTACTCAGTATTTATTGAGTAACTTCTGTATGTCAAGACTAGTAAAAATATAAACAGAGGATTTATACAATTTAATATTAGAGAGAATATATCTATGTCACCAAATTCTTGTAAACAAATATACCTCTAGTGGTCGACAGTACAGTGAAATAACTAATTACCATCAAGGGGATATTGTGAGTAATGCTTAACAGAAAAATTATTCTGAAAATAATTTAATATTATCATATATGTAGAGAGAGAGACAGAGTTCAGATAATCATCTAATATTTGGACAAACTGGGACACTTTGGATGGTGAAAAGATTCGTCTTTTAATAATTATTCTGATACAGCAGGCATAACCAGAGAACGTCCTAGTAAATGGGGTTGTTTTGTCATTCTACATATAGTAAACACCATATTTCCTTTCTTAATCTATAATTGGTCATTGTATTAGGATAATGAGAGAAATAGCACCAATAGGAGATATATTCCCATTTAAACAGTTTTTGGTACATATTAAAAACTGAGTAAATGCTTATTCAATAAATAAATAGAGAATAATTACTCCT
Organism: Homo sapiens; assembly: GCF_000001405.40. Lineage (NCBI taxonomy): Eukaryota > Metazoa > Chordata > Mammalia > Primates > Hominidae > Homo > Homo sapiens. The sequence continues at coordinate 31,485,246 of NC_000004.12, read as the reverse complement.
GTAATCCCAGCATTTTCGAGGCCGAAGCAGGTGGATCACCTGAGCTCAGGAGTTCAAGACCATCCTGGGCAACTTGGTGAAACCCCGTCTCTACTAAAATACAAAAAAATTAGCTGGGTGTGGTGGTGTGTGCCTGTAGTCCCAGCTACTTCGGAGGCTGAGGCACAAGAATCACTTGAGCCTGGGAGGCGGAGGTGGCAGTGAGCTGGGATCATACCACTGCACTCCAGCTTGGGTTCCAGAGTGAGATTCTGTCCCCCCCAAAAAAATCAGTTAAAAAAGGTGTTATTTGTGAATAAGGATTACATATTAATAAATAAAATGTATTGCTACTCTAAATATTTCAGCTAGGTAAATAATTTTAACCACCTCACTAAGGAATCAAGCTGAGTTTCACATCATTTCTTTCTTAAATTCTTTTTTACCCTTAGTAAACAAGCTAATGTGGAGAAAAAATGATGTAAAGTAGGAAATTACGTGGAAAATGGTCTGAATAGTTAACAATTAGAATAACACTCCCAGTAGAGATGTCAATATCACTTGCCTTTCACATTAAAATTTAGATAAACCATAGTCAACTAGCTAGCATATTGCATGGAATACAAGTGTCATCAACTATAAGCTTCAACCTACTTTATGCAAGAGTAGGAAAGAAAAAGTACTGACTAGTATACAATAATGTTTTTATATGATTTTTACATTTTACTTTATTGAAAGAGTTTTTAGTTGTTAAAATTACTGTGATAGTTTCTAAGATTGTGTATCATTTTTATGTATGCACAAAGAAGAAAATAAGAGCAAAATAAATTGGTTAATTTATTCCTAGGTTGTCTTTGTATCCAACAGTAATTTTTCTGAATCTATTTTTTTTTCTTTTTTCTTTTTCCTTTTTTATTTTCCTGCCTCAGCCTCCTGAGTGCTGGGATTACAGGTGCATGCCCAGCTAATTTTTGTATTTTTAGTAGAGATGGGGTTTCACCATGTTGGTCAGGCAGGCTGGTCTCAAACCCCTGATCTTGTGACCTGCCTGCCTTGGCCTCCCAAAGTGCTGGGATTATAGGCATGAGCCATCACGCACGGGCCTCTGCATCTATTTTTGATGGAACATTATCACTAAATTACAACACATAACATTGGTTACTGTGCCATCAAGAGCGTTAGTGATACAGTATTTCTTAAGAGTGCTCTTCTCTTGTCTCCAATATTTTCTTTCGAGCCACCAATAGCTATTCTGTACTTTTTTTTCTTTTTCTTTTTCTTCTTCTTTTTTTTTTTTTTTTTTTTTTTTGAGATGGAGTCTTGCTCTGTCATCCAGGCTGGAGCACAGTGGCGCGAGCTCCACTCAATGCAACCTCCGCCTCCCACATTCCAGTGATTCTCCTGCCTCAGCCTCCTGAGTAGCTAGGACTACAGGCATGAGTCACCACGCCTGGTTAATTTTTGTATTTTTTAGTAGAGACAGGGTTTCACCATGTTGGCCAGGCTGGTCTTGAACTCCTGATCTTGTGATTCACCCGCCTCAGCCTCCCAAAGTGCTGGGATTACAGGCATGAGCCACCACGCTCCGCCTTCTGTACATTTTTAATGCTGGCATATTTATGATCTATTGAAGATATCAATTGAAGCTTCTCATACCAGGGTTCTCATTCCTTTCTCAAACAGACTTAGTTTGTTGACTGACATAATGAGGCTCCAATTTTCCAATTATGTCACCACGTACAACAACCAAGTTATTACGCATGTAGGAAATGGCAAAAAAAAATTCCAAGACAACTACAGCAGTGATTTTTCATCTATTTTAAAACATGTCTCAATTTCAGAGATATTTAAATATTAAATGTTTATGTTGGTGAATGTGTCTACATACATTAATATGTGAGTTATATATGTATATATACATATACGCACACATACTTTTTGTATTTTCCTTTAATGCAATGATATATACAGTAAATGAAGTAAAACACTATAAATCTGTGCAATTATGTTTGTCGTCAATACGAGAAAAGCTCTAATTCACTGTATAGGTATGAATGATTGGTTTCAAAAGTAGGACATCTATTGATTAATTTCAAATTCATGTGCTTATCTAAAAAGCAATATTTAGAGGGGAAAAGTGCCCTTAAAATATTCCTAAAATATATTTAAAAGCATGTCGCATTTTAGATTATCCAGAGGAAAGCTCAGGTATTGTGTTACTTGTTTAGTTATGTACCATAATAAAATTGATTTTAATACAATCTTATTGCAAAGAGAAAAAATATCCCATTTTGCAGCATTGGCTTTCTATTTCCTATCTACTTGGCCACATGAAACTTGGGTGCCTGTAAAGGCAGGATAATAACTAATCCTCTTTGGTGTTTAGCTTCACTTAATCCTTTCTGGTACTTATCCTATTAACATTTTTTTTTCCTCTTGTATTTAAATGCCAGTGCAGAGTACTCAAATTACTTGCATTTATTTCTGTGCTTCTGAATTTCCCAGTTAGAGAAAGTACCTTCAGAAATGTTAGACTAAATATATGCATTTATCTGAGTCTATATTCATTTTCAAGTGCTTATTCTAGTTTAGTGACTTTTAGCTTGGGTATTTTTAAGCTACTAGTTTATGTTTACCATTATTTTCTAACTAAAATTCATCTGCAATGTAATGTAAGCTCTTTAACTGGAGTTTCAAAAATTTTTTATAAAACTTTTGCATATTTTTCAATTTTAGTTAAAATCCCATTTGAGGTACATTAATACTTAAAACATATTACTGGGCATTTATAGTATCAAAGGTTGCAAAACAATAAATCTTATCTTTTGAAGAAATGTAGTAGTCAGACAAGGCTAAATATGCTGCACTAACTAGCAAGAACAAAATCACATTGGTTTGGAAAAATATAAGCTTATTTCTCACTCAATACTCATCTCCGTTACAGGTTGCTAGAATAGTCTGTTGCAGATGGAATTGTACATCCAGATTACCAAGGCAAAAGAAATAGAATGCGGCAAATCATGCCTAGTTTTTTGAACTTTAGTCTTTAAGCATCACATTTTACTCCGTTCTCCTCTCCTCTGGCAAAGCACGTCACGCCACAGCAAATAATTGCAACATGGTTAAGGAAGTAGAGTTATATTATATGCCAGAAAGGGAATAGGGAATATTTGTAATTAGCCAAAAATGACTACTACATTCACATTAATGAAGCTTCCTTTAAAGGAACAGAGTAACAATAATATAAAATCAAAATGTTAAGGCACCAGTATGTTTATCTTTCTTTGGCAAAAAAAGGAAATATAATGTATATACAATGTTGTTAGTTTATATGCAATGAAGAAATGATTACATATGTGTATGTGTTTTGATTGCGACTGTGCATTTTTATGTCATTTAATTTGGTACTTCAACAAACATGTATAAATATCTTTGTTCTCTTCCAGTGTTGTGATTGAGGAAGCTTAGATCAGAAAATTTAAGTAAAGTTTTGTAAGTTACACAACTACTAAGTCAACATGTTAAAAGCTAGTCCTACTGATTTGTGCTTTTCCCATTACAAAATGCTACCTCTTCCAAAAGTACCATTTAATTAGTAAGGAGACATTTGTTTTTGTAGGTATAGACTTTAAAATTATGCTCAGTTTTCTCCTACTTACCTGCCTTCAAGTGAGATTCAAATATAAAGTATCAAAATTTGGGCACTTTCGTATGAAGTAAAAAGTTTGGCAAATCCTCTTCCTGTAGCACAACTATAAAACGGCACAATTATCAACAACAATTTAAGGGCTCTGGCAATGTACAAAAAATATATAACTTATGTCATGTACATACATACATTTATGCATTGCATAATAGGGTTATACTGTGGAAATGCATCATTAGGTGATTTTATCATTGTACAAACATCATAGTGTACCTACATGAACCTAGATGGCACAACCCAGTACACAACTAGGCTATATGGTACAGCCTATTGTTCCTAGGTTACAAACTTGTACAGCATGTGACAGTACTGAATACGGTAGGAAACTATAACACAATGGTAAGTTTTGTGTATTTAAACATATGTAAACATAGGAAAGCTACAGTAAAAATATGGTAGTATAATCTCAGGAAACCACCATCATAAATGTGGTTCATTGTTGACTGAAATGTCATTATGCAGCAGCACATGACTGTATCTTTCTGTATACATTTGCAATCAATGAAGGAATATATATTTTCTTTTCCTGCTGCTTTGGTCTAACTATTCCCTCCAAATGTATATGTTGATATTCTAACCCCAAGGTGATGGCATTAGGAGTCAGAATTTTGGGGAGGTGATGAGAACATGAGGATATAGTCCTCATGAAGTACATTACTGCCCTTATAACAAAATGCCTTGCAGAAGGCCCCTGGCATCTTTCAGCATCTGAAGACACAGCAAGAAAACACTATCTATGAGGAAGATGGCCCTCACCAGACACTGAATCTACCGTCATCTTGATCTCGGACTTTCCAGCTTCCAGAAATGTAAGAAGTAAGTTTATGTTGTTTGTAAGCTACTCATTTTATGGTATTTTGCTATAGCAGCCTAAATGAACTAAGATACTAGCATTGAGAATTTACTGACATTCTATTTGTTGATTTAAGGTGTGCCACTGTTGTTATTTATAAATTATTTTAAACATGCATGAATTTTGCTTTGCTCTGTGACTTTATTTTCCATGACCATACCAAGAGTGAATAATAGGATTTTTTCTGAAGAGTTTAGGGTAACCCAAAAGCTTTTGGTGCTAAATTCACTGGATAATATTTCATGGCAGTCTTTCATTTTATTTTACTACAGGGTTAAAAATTGGTGTCTTCATTATTTTCCCCAACATAGCAGATGTATTACTCAAATTTTTTCCAAGATGTTTAATATCATAAATTCCAAAACAAGAAATAATCTTAAACCACTGTTCTTATTTTCATTTAGTCTCATATTAAAAATCAAGTTCCCAACCAGGTTTTGACCCAGGTTGGTTGTCTAGACCTTACTCAAGCTCTGTCCTTAACATCCACTTTTTTGTTTTCCAACAGCATTCAAAGAGATTTTCATATAAGGTCACTTCTAGGTACCAAATGGCACAGTTTCTTTGCAATCTGACACTTGTGTAGTTTATATTTTTCATTTTGTTAAGTCTTAATCAAAAGAAGTTTGCACATATATATTGTGATAAGGATTTAATTCAAGAAAAAGAGATATTTTTTTAAATGGCCAAACTCCCTTTTCAGGCCAAAGAGTTATTTGCAGAATTTTTTCACATATCAATAACATGATAGAATTGAATGCATATGCATTTGCTTCTTGTACTCATAAAAAAAATCTATCACTCATAAGTAATGTCACAGATATTTTATACTCGAGTACCTCTTAAATTCATAGGTCTATGAACAAATTATATTGGTAGAATATAAAGTATGAAGGACATTTTGGCATAACCTTATGTTTTGAGTAAAAACGTTCTAACTAGTATTCAAGGTTTTAAGGCAATGTGTAATTGAAATCTTAAGTATAACCATGTGCTTTATCCTAAGTGAAAACATTAATATTGGATATTTGGTAGATGAAAAATCTGGCTTAATGTTAAGTTTATATTAGTCTGAAGAGAAAAATAAAGTGAGGGAAAAAAGTGTATGTAGTTTTCATAATGTAGTCTACTTCTGTAAAATGATAAGTGGACCAAATAATTTTGAAGGATACCTACATCAAAAAAAATGCTCACCTTTTTGGTAGTATTTTCCAGATTTAATTCCTACATACACAATTTACTCTAATATTTCAATGATCTACAATCTCTCCATAAAGCCCAACAGTTCCATCCAATTAAGAATTATACCTATAGAGAAGCCATAATTATGTGTGAAACTGTATTTTAAAATATTTTCTGTAGAAGGCTTATGATATTACAAATATTTATTATAAATAATGGCTATCAGAAGGTGAAAGCTTTTAAAACCACACTTTTCTAATTATTTTCCTGCCATGGTTTATGAATTTTGTGAAAGTAGAAAATATGATAAAACTTCTGGACCTGTGGTATGTAGGGGGTTCTCCAAGACAAAGTAGGATCAAGAGTGCAGAAAGTGAATTTGGGTTTATCCAAATAGACAAAAGAGAAATCAGACTATCTCTTTTTGCTGATGATATGATTCTATACTTAGAAAATCCTAAATACTCTGCCAAAAGATAACTAGAACTAATACAAAATTTTATCAAGGGTTAAGGATACAAAATCAATGTGTGAACATCAGTGGGATGTCTATACACCAACAATGTCCAGGCTGAGAGTCAAAGTAAGAACAGAATTCCATTTACAATAGCCACAAAGAATATAAAATATCTTGAAATACAGATAATTAAAGAGGTGAAAGATCTCTCTAAGGAGAACTAGAACACACACTGAAAGATATCAGAAATGACACAACTAAATGAAAAGACATCCCATGTTCATGGATTGAAAGAATCAATGTGATTTAAATGGCCATAATGCCCAAAGTGATTTACAGACTCAGTGATATTCCTGTTAAATCACCAATGTCATTCTTCACGGAATTAGAAAAAAAAACCATTCTAATATTCATATTGAACCAAAATATCCGAAATAAACAAAACAAACCTAAGAAAAAAGAAAAAAGCCTGAGGCATCACACTACCCAACTTCAAACTATACTCTAAGGCTATTGTAACCAAAACAGCACAGTAATGGTACAAAAACAGATACATTGATCAATGGTACAAAATAGAAAACTCAGAAATAAAGCCTCACACTTAAAACTGTCTAATCTTTGATAAGGCTGACAAAAAAAGCAATGGGGAAATGATTCCCTATTCAGTACATGGTGCTGAGAAAACTACTTGCCAAATGTAGAAGAATGAAAGTGGACTCTTACATTTCACCATATGCAAAAACTAATTCCAGATAGATTTATAGATATAAATAAAGAGTAAACCTCAAACTATAAAAATCATAAAAGAAAACCTAGGAAAGACCCCTCTTGACATCAGCCATGGCAAATAATTTTTGACTACACTCCCAAAAACAATTGCAATAAAAACAAAAAAATTGACAAGTGGGACACAATTAAACAAAAGAGCTCTGTATAACAAAAGAAACTGTCAATAGAGTAAACAATCTACAGAATGGAAAAAAAAATATTCACAAACTGTGCATCTGACAAAAGTCTAATATCCAGAATCTATAAGAAACTTAATAAGCAAAAAACAAACAATTCCATTTAAAATAAGCCAAAGACATGTATTAGTCCATTTTCACACTGCTGATAAAGATATACCCGAGACTGGGAAATTTACAAAAGAAAGAGGTTTAATGTACTTACAGCTCCATATGCCTGGGAGGCCTCACAATCATGGCAGAAGGCAAGGAGGAGCAAGTCAAATCTTACTCAGATGTTGGCAGGCAAACAGAGAGCTTGTGCAGAGAAACTCCCATTTTTAAAACCATCAGATCTTGTAAGACTTATTCACTATCACAAGAACAGTGCAGGAAAGACCAGTTACCTCCCACAACATGTGAGATTTATGGGAGCTACAAGATGAGGTTTGTGTGGGGACACAGAGCCAAACCATATCATTTATCATTCCTCTCCTGACCCCTCCTAAATCTCATATCTTCACATTTCAAAACCAATCATGCCTTCCCAACAGTCCCCCAAAGTCTAAATTCATTTCAGCATTAACTCAAATGTCCACAGGTCAAAGTCTCATGCAAGACAAGGCAAGTTCCTTCCACCTATGAGCCTGCAACATCAAAAGCAAGTTAGTTACTTCCTAGATAAAATGGGGGTACAGGCATTGGGTAAATACAGCCATTCAAAATGGGAGAAATTGGGCAAAACAAACGGGCTAGTGGCCCCATATAAGTTCTAAATCTAGAGGAGAAGTCAATCTTAGAGCTCCAAAATGATCTCCTTTGACTCCATGGCTCACATGCAGGTCATGCTGATACAAGAGGTGGGTTCCCATGGTCTTGGGCAGCTCTGCCCCTGTGGGTTTGCAGGGTACAGCCTCCCTCCTAGCTGCCTTCACAGGCTGGCGTTGAGTGTCTGCAGCCTTTCCAGGTGCATGATGCAAGCTATCAGTGGATCTACCATTCTGGGGTCTGCAGAACGGTGGCCCTCTTCTCACAGATCCACTAGGCAATGCCCAAGTCGGGGACTCCAACCCCATATTTCCCTTCTTCACTGCTCTAGCAGAGGTTCTGCATGAGGACCTTACCCCTACACAAACTTCTGCGTAGGTATCTAGGCATTTCCATACATGTATGTTCCATACATCTGAAATGTAGGCAGAGGTTACCCCAGTGCTTGACTTCTGTGCACTCACAGGCTCAACACCACATGGATGTTGGCAAGGCTTGTGGCTTGCACCTTCTGAAGCCATGGCCTGAGCTCTATGTTGGCACCTATCAGCCATGGTTGGAGTGGCTGGGAGACAGAGCATAAAAGTTTGAAACATTTGCAGCCTGACAATGCAATAGAAAATAAAATTCCATTTTCTGAAGAGAAATTCAAGCCAGCTGAAGAAATTTGCATAAGTAACAAGGAGCCAAATGCTAATCCCCAAGACAATGGGGGAAATGTCACCAGAACATATCAGAGACCTTTGCAGCATCCCCTCCCATGACAGGCCTGTAGGTCTAGGAGGGAAAAGTGGTTTCATGGGCCAGGTCCAGGATCCCCATGCTGTGTGCAGCCAAGGGACTTGGTGACCCATGTCCCAGCCACTCCAACCATGACTTTTTAATGAAGTCATTCTAACTAGTATTTCATTATGGTTTTGATTTGCATTTCTTTGATGATTAGTGATGCTGAGTAGTTTTTAATACATTTGTTTTCCACTTGAATGTCTTATTTTGAGAAGTATCTGTTTATGTCCTGATATGGTTTGGCTCTGTGTCTCCACCCAAATCTCATCTTGTAGCTCCCATAATTCCCATGTGTTGTAAGACAGACCCCGTGGGAGATGAATGAATCACAGAGGCAGGTCTTTCCCATGCTGTTCTCATGATAGTGATTACGTCTCACAAGATCTGATGATGTTAAAAATGGGAGTTTCCCTGCACAAGCTCTCCTTTCTGCCTGCTGCCATCCCTGTAAGATGTGACTTGCTCCTTCATGTCTTCTGCCATGATTATGAGGCCTCCTCAGCCATGTGGAACTGGAACTCCAATAAATCCCTTTTTCCTGTGTAAATTGCCCAGTCCCAGGTATGTCATTATCAGCAGTGTGAAAATCAACTAATACAGTAAATTGGTACCAGCAGAGTGGGGTGCTGCTGAAAAGATACTTGAAAATGTGGAAGTGACTTGTAACTGGGTAACAGACAGAGGTTGGAACAGTTTGGAGGGCTCAGAAGAAGACAGGAAAATATGGGAAAGTTTGGAACTTCCTTAGAGACTTGTTGAATGGTTTTGACAAAAACGCTGATAGTGATATGAATAATAAGCCCCAGGTCGAAGTAGTCTCAGATGGAGATGAGAAACTTGCTGGAAACTGGAGCAAAGATGATTCTTGTTATGTTTTAACAAAGATGCCCCTACCCTAGAGATTTATGGAAATTTGAAGTTGATAAAGATGATTTAGGGTAACTGGTGAAGAAATTTAAAAGCAGAAAAGCATTCAAGAGGTGACTTGGGTGCTGCTAAAGCATTCAGTTTCAAAAGGGAGACAGAGCATAAAAGTTTGAAACATTTGCAGCCTGACAATGCAATAGAAAATAAAATTCCATTTTCTGAGGAGAAATTCAAGCCAGCTGAAGAAATTTGCATAATGCTAATCTCCAAATGCTAATCCCCAAGACAATGGGGAAAATGTCTCCAGGGCATATCAGAGACCTTGGAACACTACACAGCCTTAAAAAAAAAAATGAAGTCATGTCCTTTGCAGCAACATGGATGGAACTGCAGGTCATAATCCTGGGTGAATTAATGCAGGAACAGAAAAATAAATATCACATATTCTCATTTATAAGTGAGAGCTCAACATTGAGCATGCACAGACATAAACATGGGAACAATAGACACTGAGGACTCCAAAAGAGGGACCTAGGAAATGGGAATGGGTCAAAAAACTACCTGTTGTGTACTATGCTCACTACCTGAGTGCAATATACTCATGTAACAAACCTGTACAAATACCCCCATCTAAAATAAAAGTTTGAAAAAGAAAAAGAGTGAACAAAGAAAATGTTGGTTTTAAAGAGGGCTACCACGTGGTCAATAAATGTTAAGAACTTAGCCATAAGCTAGGAGAAAGTAAAGCCAAATAAATCTAACTAAAAAGAAAAACTATAGTTTTGCATGTTGGGCTCGGCAATTTGATAGTTACCTCCTTCGAATTTTCTGATTTTAGGACACTCTTAAGTAATGGAACCAATGGCCTCACATATTTGTTCAGATTAATTATGCCAAATAATATACCCTAGAGCTCAGCACTAGCACGAAATATGTACTGGCTAGAACACGTGACTTGTTTTGTTAATGGGTTGATTTTTTCTATGGTAATAGCCACTCCCCTACTAAATGTACAAGATTAACATGGGAGCTTTCACGTAACACAACATTATCTCACCCAATGCCTACAGTTGATTTGTTCTGGTACAAACACCTGGGTCAACCTAGACAAAGAAAAATTTTTCTGTGGATTTTTAGACTCCAAAAAGAGCTACAACATTCTCTTTACTAACATTTAAATTGTAAGATGTAATATTCTGCAGCTGTTAGCAACTATATTTTATGACATGTGAAAAAGCATAAACCAACCTCCACAGAGAATAAAAACAAGAAACAGGGAAAGATTTGCATTCTTTGCTCCATCCCTGACTTCTAGAAGTCTGTAAAACTCTTCCTTGCGTTTCCAGAGATGCCCTAGTTTCATTCACATAAAGCTCAAGTTCCTTTTTCCTTGGGTTGTTTCCCTTTGAACTTTTGTAAAGTTCAACCCAAATTTTCTCAGCTCATGGATGAGTTATTTATGGGTAGAGTACATACAACTATGGGTTTGCAATTTTTTTCCCTTAACTTATTTTTTTTTCCTAACTCATAAATAAAAGAACTAAAATTATCTCCTTAATATGTCTTTCCATAGGGAAATCAGGGCAACAAAGTGTGAGACAAAAGGAGAGGCTTCTTTTTTTTTTATTATACTTTAAGTTTTAGGGTACATGTGCACAATGTGCAGGTTAGTTACATATGTATACATGTGAAAACAAAACAATAGTTATAGAAATACTTAAAATTATCCTTGTATCATAACCATTACTGACGAACATCTTTAGTAGTTCTCATCTCATGTCTCTACATGAGCTTGCCTATCTTTAATCTGAGAGGATGAATGAGAGAAAATGGGCAATGAAAAAGAAATTCAAGTCATAATTAATATAATTGGAAGTTTAGGATATTAGGAAGTGCTATTTCTACCTGGTAGCTACATATAAGCTAAGGAGGACATCAGTCAGTACTCTAAAATCAATAGTCACTACTTCTGGGATCCAAAACGTTATCTAACCAGGAACTGCAGTAATGAAGCCTGGTCATACATACTGTGTGTTCCAAACGTGCTTCACATTTAAAGTGAAGACTCTAATAATGTATTTCTATTAAGCTGTTGACTACATTATAGAATATAATATTCACAAGACAAATAATATTTTGTCTTGTGACAAAATAAAATTTATTTTTTCTAGGCTTCCTTAGAGGTAGCTCGCATGTGATCTTGAATACATAGGCTTAGTCTACACGGACTGCCCATTAGACTACATCTTTCACTGCCCATAAAGATACAAAGATGTCTCAACACTGTCATTAAAACCGGATATTAAGAAACGTATTACTGATGTTTGGGACAAGAAATGTATCCTCTCAAAAGATGTTGATGCTATTACCAGTGCCTCTCTCTAATCTTAAAACAGTTGTTACCTAATCTAATATTCCTGCCACATCTGATTGTAACTAGACATGTAGATCTTACAGACAATGAAGTTGCACCCAGTATAGTGAGTGGTTATATTTCCCAAATTTGAAGTCTCACTCAGTGTGAGGTTGAAACTCAGCTCTCTCTAGCTGCTTGACTTTGAGCAAGTCATACACCCTGTGTGTTCATAGGTGTTTCATATTTAAATTAAAGACTTTAATAATGTGTTTCTATTGAGCTGTTGATGACATTAGAGCATGCAATGCAATGTAGCATACAGTGGACTAAGCCATGCTGTGTTCCAAACAGAAGTGAGAATAGTATATTATATTTTCTACAGCTTCACAGTTACTAGTTTGTGAAACTATTTGTCCATTTTAACATGCCTTCATTTGCTTATATACTTATATGTTTATTGAAACAGGTATCCATGGACGTAGAACACTGTTGAGTGAGTGACAGACACCATGTTTTGTTTTATTAAGAACTGATTTTGCATGTATATTATAAGCCATTATATTTTGACTATGTCTCTCTCCCATTAGGGGATTGCATTCTTTGTCCTTCTGGTAAAAAGCCTCCTGGATACTGTTTCACCTTATAAAACACTCATTATCATCACAACCACTATCAGACCCACCTTCCCCTTCACACATACACACATCTGACATCTCTATCCCAATCAAACAACCATTTACCAGATGTTCCCCTAAGACATCTAAATCTATATGAAAGCATCATTTTAGTTCAAGCTAGGACACGTACATATAAGCACACATGCAATTATATGCATACAAATTATGTGCTAAAATCCTGAATGGCCTCATCTCCTACCACAAACAAACAAAAATATTATCTATGGCAAAGAAAGGCAATATCACATCATCTCACATTTGGGAAAGATCTGTCAGGATCAGGAAATGCAATTAAGTAATTTCATAAGTGCTGATAGCATTCCACTCAATATACCCTTAGAACATCTTAACAATGAAATTAACACTCTTAAAATCCCTAAATTATTTTTTGTCCTAAATGGCTTGTTATCTTGGAACATTTATCAGGCTGCAGATTACAAATGGGATGCATCTAAAAATTCCACAGACAAGTAAATTGAAACCTCTTGTTTGAAACAGTAACTACTGCCTTTGCCTAGCAATGATGATTTGGTATTCTACACTTCGAAGAAGTTTTATGTAATACAAATGTATATATACTTTAGCAGGAAGCTGGAATTGATAGGAAATTTCTGTGGTCCAAGAATCCATGAGTTAGTTCCATGATTTATCACTGGGACTAACTGGAGGAGCTGGAGTAACCTTTCCCAAAGGAAGAACATGAACTATGAAGAAAGACAAAGAAGGTAGTACGTAAGGTGATTGTATGCCCCAACTTAATAGTCATATCCTGCCCAAGTTGAGCTAAACCTCAATTCTACCACTAACAAGCTGTTCACTGTTGACAAGTCACAAAACAGCTCTAATCCTTAAGAATTTCATAGGTAAAATGGATATTATAACGGTTGAAATTCTTGTGTTTTTTATGTAGTTGCTGTAGGTTTTAGGGGATAAATTGGGCATGGTGATCCAACATAGTACCAGCATGGTAAGCTATGACACAGTGTCAAATGAAGAAAGAGGACTTTTCAGAGAATTTTTTAGCATTGTGGGACAGTAATGTGAATGCAGTTAAGTTTGAATATATCAGATGATCCTATATTTAGCAACTTTAAACTCATTTTCTTCCAGATATCTACATTCTTTCATTTCCTATTTGTTTCCGGATAAAGCATCTATCAATAAACCACTTTTTGATTAGAGTTTTGTAGACAGGATCCATTAAATCCCTCAACAAATTTGCAGCCACTGTCCAGAGTGAAGTGCTTTGCACACTGGATAAGAGGCTGAGTACACTGCGTTGCATTGAAATAGCCAGAAATCCTGTCCTTGTGGAGCTTTCAGACTAATGGGGAAATTATTTTTCAAATAATTACCCAAGCAATCATCCAATGATATAAGTGCTATGAGAAGAAACATACAGGGTATCATGGCAAGATATAATAAGAAGACTTAATTTAAATTAGGAGGTTACAAAAGGCTTTTCTTTTTTAATTTGTTTAAATTAAAAATGTACAAGTGCAATTTTGTTACACGAATATATTGTATTGTGGTAAAGTCTTAGCCTTTAGTGTATCCATCACCTGAATAATGTATATTGTACCCATTAAGTATTTTCTCACCCACTATCCTTCCACTCTCACCCTTCTGAGTCTTCAGTGTCTATAATTCCACGCTCTATGTCCTTGTGTACACATTATTTAGCTCCCATTTATACGGTAGAGCATGCAGTATTTGACTTTCTGTTTCTGAGTTGTTTCAATTAAGATAACGGCCTCCAGTTCCATCCATGTTGCTGCAAAAGACATGATTTTACCTTTTTATGGCTAAATATTGTTCCATTGTGGGTGTGTGTGTGTGTGTGTGTGTGTGTGTGTGTATATATACACATTGTATATGTATATATACACATTGTATATGTATATATACAATGAAAGACATATATATATAGTGTGTGTGTATATATATATATACTGCATGTTCTACCTTATAAATGGGAACTATATATATATATATATACACATACACACACACTATATATATGTCTCTCATTGTAATATATATTTATATTATATATTGTATGTTATGTAATATATATTATATGAGAGATATACATTATAGGATGTACATCATATTTTATATATAATATTAAATATAATTATGTGTATCATATTATATATGGTATATATGTCATATAATCTATACAATATATAATGATATATATATCATATCTCTTTGATGTATGTCTCATATATTGTCTCATATAATATATATAATATATATATATCATATAATATATATCTCTCTCTCTTTGTAATCCAGTCATCCAACAATGGACACTTAGGTTGATTTCACATCTTTCCTATTGTGAGTAGTGCTGTGATAAACATACAATTGTGGATGTCTTTTTGATATAATGATTTGTTTTCCTTTGAATAGATACCCAGTAGAAGGATTGCTGAATTGAATGGTAGATCTATTTTTAGTTCTTTGAGAAATTTCCATGTTTTCCATAGAGGTTGTATTAATTTACATTTCCACCAACAGTGTATGAGCATTTCCTTTTCCCTGCATCCTCACCAACATTTGTTATTTTTTTACTTTTTAATAATGATAATTCTGACTCATGTAAGATGGTATCTCTTGATGGTTTTATTTTGCATTTATCTGATTACCAATGATGTTAGCATTTTTTTATGTGCTTGTCGTTCATTAGTATGCCTTCTTTTGAAAAATAGAATAGAATGAGAATCCAGAAATAAAGTCAGGTATCTATACCCAAGTGATCTTTGACAAAGTTGACAAAATACACTAGGAAAATGATACCTTCTTCAGCAAATGGTACTGGGAAAAAAATGTATTGCAATATGCAAAAGAATTGGATGCCTATACCTTATGACATACAAAAATCAACTCAGTATGAATTAAATGCCTACATGTAAGACATGAAACTACAAAAATACTAGAAGAAAACCAAGGGAACAACTCTTCTAGATATTTGTCTAGGCAAAGAATTAATGACTAAGACCTCAAAAGCACCAACATCAAAAGCAAAAATAGCCAAATGAGACTTAAACAATAAAAGCTTCTGTACAGCAAAAGAAATAATCAACAGAGTGAACAGACAACCTGAAGAATAGGGCAACATATTAGCAAACTATGCATCCAACAAGAGACTGATATGCAGAATTTATAAGTCAAACAACTCAACAAAGAGGCACAAATAACCTCATTAAAAAGTAGACAAAGGAAAGGATTTTTATATGACCGATGAAATTAAAAAATGATTTGTATTTTCTAAAGAATTAAAAAATAATCAAAAGAAAACTAATATTTCATGATACATTGAAAGTATCAAAATATATATTTCAGTGTTCAAAAATAAAATGTTATTGTGACACAGTCATGCTCATTTATTCACATAGTGTTTATGGCCACTTTCATGCTACATGAATAGACTTGAGCAGTTACATCAAAGACTGCACGGCCCACAAAGCCTAATATATTTACCATATGACCCTTCACAGAAAATATTTGCTGATTCCTGATTTAGAACTTTACAAGCCCCCTTAAGAATATTTTTTTTCTGTAAGTTAAATGAGATGCTGTTGCATAATACTATTTAAATATTTTAAAGTTACTATTAGGATTGACTAGATTTATATTTTCAAGATCTCACTGGCTGATATGCTTTTTTTTCAGGTTTATTTTCACCTTAATATGAAAAAGTTAAGGATTCAAAATCACATATTTTGAAAAAGCTTGGAAGCAGGTATTTGGACCATGCTATGCACTGAATGTTTGCACATCACAAAAATCCATATATTGAATTTATAACCCCCAAATGATTACTATGCATATTACTCCTGTGATGGTATTAGGAGAAAGGGTCTTTGGGAGGTACTTAGATTATGAGAAAGCCCTTGTGAATGGGATTAGTGCCCTTATAAGAAGAGACAGGAGAGCATGTTCTCTTTCTCTCTCTGCTCTTATACCTATGAAGACTCAAAAATAAGAGCGTTATCTATGAATCAGAAAGTGAGAACTTACCAGATATTATTTCAACCTACGACTTGATCTTGGATATCCCAGCCTCCAGAAGTGTGAGAAATAAATTTCTGCTTTTTTTAAGGATCCCAAATTTCTGTTTTTTAAGATCTGTTAAAGCAACCTGAACTGACAAGGACAGGCCAAGTAATAAAACCCAAGCAACCTCACTACTGCTCAATTAAACCATCACCTTTGAGCACATACCATACCCAGAGACTGTGCTAAGTGCTAGATAAGCAAAAAATGAATTATATATAGTTCTTGCCCTCAACTTACTTATAGTCTACTCAATATCAAGTATTAGCCTGCTGGCAGATTTAGGTATTTGGTTGTTTTAACTCTTTCTCCCTATCCTCTTGTAGAGACTAAATAAAAGAAAGCATAGCATACAACTCAGGAAAGGCTCTGACTCCTAGGATTTAAATAAGTATTTATTAACAATTGTTTACTTAAGACACATATCATTTCTAATTTAGCCCATACCCATCTGAAGTGAGCATGTTACCACCATTGTGGAAAAACATTACGGTACAGAAAATCTAAGTCACTTGCCTAATGTCACAGAAATAATAGCAATAGAACTTTCATTTGAGCCAAGGCCAATTCACTGCAAAGTTTGTGTTTTGACACTATGCCAGCGTTTGCTAAATTATGAATCATGAACCACTGGGGATACTCAAGATGAAGACCACAGATGTCACCCACATGTCGAATTTCAAATAAAAAAGCTATTGTTTTTTCAATTTTCTTTCAACCCCAAATCAAGGAAACAGATGTAATGCTAGTCTCTCATTTTTATCAAGAAAGAGAAAACTCCAGATTCAGAGCCTTCAGTAGGCAACAAAAGTAGGTAGAATTCAATAATACTTGTGTTCTATTGTTTATATTATATTTATTTGGCTTCTGCAAATGTATTCAACTGATAAAAAGTTCTAGAATTTCTATTTAAAATGGTTATATATTTTTCTCTTAATTTAATTCTGATAAGGTAAAAAGCAGAAATGACTTGATTTGAAGAAAACTATTAAGTTAGAAACTTTTCAAATGGTACCTAGAATTGGAAAAATATGAATACCACAGCTAGGAAAATACTGCACCATAATATGCTGCCTTATGATTTTGAGGTGGGATCCAAGTCTTAGTGTTGTTTGTATTTTAATTTTTAAACAATAAATCTCAGGACTAAGAGGAATTTTCAAGAACATCATATGGGAGATTTATCTGAGTAATAATAAAACTGGTCTCCCACACAGCAGGCTCTGCGTCAATTATTCTTTCTCTATTGCAATTCCCCTGTCTTGATGAACTGGCTCTGTCTAGGAAGCAGGCAAGGTGAACCCCTTTGGTGGTTACAAATTTGGGGACTTGTCCAGGATTGCCCTTGTGGTTACCTGCCCATGATTCAGCAGCCCCCACCTCCAGCAATGGATCCAGAAGCCACCTCAAGCAGCCTCCTAGTTCTCTTGACCTGGGGGCCAACTCTGGTACTCTCTCTACTGGAGGGGCACTGCCGACCCAATGTGCATGGATTTAATTGCAATGGAGAAACAGTCATGAAGAGACATCCATTAACTGTAGCCCTATCACAGGGTGTCTGTCTGTAGCCTCATCATGGGGGGTCTGGATTGGTGAGTATCCCAGGCATTGCCAACGCCTCCTTCCTTCTCTCAACTGGTTCTGTAGCCCTATGGTGTGGTGTCTGCAGCCCCATTATGGGGTCTCTGTTTGTAGCTCCACCACGGGGTGTCTGTGTCTGTAGTGCCATTGTGGGGTGTCTGTTCGGCTCCTGGGGCATGTCGGTTGGCTCTTTCTAACTAGTAGGAAGAGTCTTGGTTTGGGAGACTTATCTTCAATCAGGAAGATTTCTAGGAGGTTTCTCAGATGGAGAATAGAAGGATAGTTTGGAAGGGATACTCTTGGAGTCCTTGGTTAGGGATGTGATTTGGAAGGCCTTTTGTCTGTCTTGTCTTTGTGAGTATTTGTATATGTGGAAGGGATCTCAGAAGGGGTTGCTAATGGAAGTCCAGCAGGCCTAACTCAGAACCCTCCTTATTTGTCTGATTACATTCAGCGAACCCTAATGAAAGCTCAACACTCCTGACTCTCAGGGTAACTAACTGCTCTTCACCCTGCCCAGAGACCTCATTATGAATTATCATATTAGAGGTCATCCCTCCTCACCTGGAGTGGATCCAAAACAGAGAACAATGGGAAAAAGTTTGAGCTTTGCCAGGCTGATATTGGGTGCTGAACGAGGTGACTAATGTCTGTTTTGTTATGTGTATTTTGCTGGGATGGAAAATGTTAATTCAGTTCCCCATGCAGCCCATTGGGCAGCATCTTGCAAATTAACAATCTTGCCTATGGTTTCATAAAACAGTAAAGGGTGATTTTCTCTTGTAAAGTGGCTTGAACCCCACAGCAATAGCACAAATGAGCAGGGTCATCAGAAGCCGCTCCGTTCTTCTGGAAGCTGCAGAGAAAGGGAACTCAGAAACCTGGTACGCCAGACGAAAGGGTAAGAAATTCTTACCGGCTAACTTTCTGCTCTCTCTCTCTCTCTGTGTGTGTCTGTCTCTTTGTCTGGGTAAAACAGTAAACTATCGGTCTGCTCTGCAAGGGTCTGATGAATAGAAAAATGGATTTGTGAGACTACTCTTAAGTTGTAGCAAATCTGGTGTGCTTTGTGCTAAGAATTTGTCTTCCTGTGTTCTGTAGTGGAGAAAGGAGTATCATAGGATAGAATGTGGGTTTAGGACCCCTATAAGCCCACTTTTCAAGCCAGCCCTGCAGGCTGGTCAGTTACAAACTTTGCTGCGGGGCCCTGAAAGCAATACCAGATGACATTTCTGTGTCTTGTTTTGTGTCCTTAAGAGCTTAACCTTGTGACCATGTGGGAATACTTTCTCTTGGTTTCCATCATGTAGAGACAGGAATTTGTGGCTTCATGTCATAGTTGGACCTCAACATTTTATTGAGCAGTTAAAAGCCTGTGCAAGCTTGAAATTGGCTTCTCTGGGTTCCCTCTGGGGAGAGCAATAGAAACTGCTCAATGCTGTAACTCAGTAGCTGAGGCTTTGCCTTTTGACAATGGTGGCCTGGGTTGATTCCTTTCTGGGTTTTATTTATGTAAATTTGCCATTTATTGGGGCTCCCCCACTCCCCATGAATAGCTTCTGATTTCTTGTCTTGAATTTTCCTTTCTGTAAAATACCCTGAAGGAGATTCTAAATCTTGTGAAAAAAAAAAAAAAATCTTGCAAAAAAAATCCTGTAAAAAAAGAAACCATATCTTTGAGACACCTATGTGTCCATGGTTAAGTTATAACCTTAGTTAAAACTTATAAATTTCATGTGGGAAGTTACCTGTGGTAGAATTCAAAAGCCAAAAATATTGGCTGGTTGGCATGGCTAAAGTTGAGTAATAAAATTTTTAAAGGATTTTTTTTTAAAGAGTGCTATGGTTAAAAGTCAGTGTAATTAAAAGTGGATAAACAAGTTTTAAGTATATTTAAAAGGCCTTTATATTTTTCTCTTCTTAGAGCATTTTTTCCATTTTTATTTTTCTTCTGAAAAGAGGTTTTTTCTTCTCATTCAACTGAATTATTTTTTTCCATTTTTTTTTTGTCTTGTCAACCTTAATGCAAACATGAAAGGCCCTGAGATAACTTCTGGTAGCCTGGGACTCCTTGGAAAAAACAGGAGGCACCACAGACCCCATTTTGGAAAAAAGCTCTGTTTTCCTCATGGAACCCCAGGAATTAAAAGCGAATAGATCCCTCTCAAAATCAAAAGCTGTTTTCTGTTTTGCATTGGGTTATCTGATGGTTTTGAGTTTTGGGGGTATCAGAAATTACTTCTCATTATGAGAGAGCTTAGGTGTGTAATAAGTATGTAGGAAATATAATGTAGTGGATGGCAAATAGTAGTTACAGAGGAATACTTGACTATGCACACTTGAATCAGAGAACCATGCTCTTGGCCACCTGGAAGATAAGGAAACATCCCCACTCCTCACTGGGGGATGAGACTCCCATGGGGGATGGGCTGATTACAAAATGGGCTGATTGGCTTTGAGTGGCCTTGGAATGAAAATCAGGGTAGAAGCACTGCACTGTCTTTTCCCGTAGTATTTCTTTGGGATATATTTGGGTCAGTGTATTATTGGCATATATTCCAAAATTATGTAAAACTCCTATAATTCTAATATGACTTAGTATATCTTATCAGTAATAATTATAATTATGTTAAATGGCTGTGTGCCATAGTTAACAAATTTTCTGGTAAATTGTGTCTTTAACTGTAGCTACCCTAAAATGTTTTTGTCATCCACAGACAATTGTTGTCTCATTTTGATCCTCTTAAAAGACGGTTTTATAATCTGCCATAAAATTTAACAAGTGCTCTTAAATGCAGGTTTCTGATTAATAACTCTGCAGATTGTAACATTAGAATAGAATGAAAATTTTCAAATAGAAGAGTGAATGATGTTTGATTTTCTTTGGGCTGTATTTGTATAAATATGTTATTAGTATGTGTTCCAAAATTTGTGGGAAACTTCTATAATTCTGATATGATTTAGTATACATTATTAATTATAATAGTTATGTAAAATTGTTATATGCCACATAAGCAACAAAAATTCCTAGTCAACTATAGCATTAATAGTGGCTATTGACTTTTGTCATCCACAGACATTTTGTCTTGCTTTGGTCCTTTTCAAAAGGCACTTTATAATCGGATATAAGACTGAGTGCAGGTCTTAGATAACTTTAAAAATTGTGCTATTGGAACAGAGGAAAAAAGGAAACTTCTAGGACTCTCGTGGAAAGCTGATGTGTTAAACATTGCTAATCCTTTTGTTTTCAGAGTCAAGATAACTTATTTCTTTTAAACATTGCTAATCCTTTCGTTTTCAGAGTCAAGATAACTTATTTCTTTTAAACATTGCTAATCCTTTTGCTTTCAGTGTCAAGATAACTTATTTCTTTAGTGCTATTTGCAACTTTAAACAAGTGAGTAAAATACACTCCTGTGAAAAATTTTGGAGCATATTTGTTTCTCTCTACCTGATTTCTCTAGAATTTGAGAACCATTTGTGAGTATTCTCAATTTATGGCAGTATAATTAATTGCATAAGTGCAATAAGAATGTTTTCTTTTGTAACAGGACACCATTGGAGAAACTGGTCATTTTACCAAGGCTTTGATTGGAATGGCATGCTTCCTTTAAAGAATCAAAGTTGACTTATAGAGCCAATTAAAGTCTGTTGGGGAATCTGGCCTCATACCTTGTCCACATAGAGTCCCTGGACAAGGTTCCTGCACTGTGGTAAGTAAAGAATGTCACTTTCTAACAGGCCCAGGAACCCCAAATTATCTTGGGACCTCAAGAGGAGAGGACTTTACTCAACTCATAGGTATTTGAGGGTGCCGAGACCAGCTTGGTCGGGGAGACCCTAACCCAGCGGCGCTAGAGGAGTTAACGCACACACACACAGAAATATAGAGGTATGAAGTGGGAAATCAGGGGTCTCACAGCCTTCAGAGCTGAGAGCCCTGAACAGAGATTTACCCACATATTTATTAACAGCAATCCAGTCATTAGCATTGTTTCTATAGATATTAAATTAACTAAAAGTATCCCATATGGGAAATGAAGGGATGTGCCGAATTAAAGGAATAGGTTGGGTTAGTTAACTGCAGCAGAAGCATGTTCTTAAGGCACAGATCGCTCATGCTATTGTTTGTGGCTTAAGAATGCCTTTAAGTGGTTTTCCATCCTGGGCGGGCCAGGTGTTCCTTGCCCTCATTCTGGTAAACCCACAACCTTCCAGCATGGGTGTTAGGGCCATTATGAACATGTTACAGTGCTGCAGAGATTTTGTTTATGGACAGTTTTGGGGCCAGTTTATGGCCAGATTTTGGGGGACCTGCTCCCAACATGAGGGTACAAATCCATGGCTGGGCTCAGCTTTTAAAAAGTCTTATCTGAGATTCTTCGTGGAACAGAGTTTCATCAAAGCCATTTTAAAAAGCCTAAGTGAAAAATAATTTTTCTTGCTGTATTTTGTGCAAATAATCAGGCCACATACAGTAAAACTAAAATTTATTTTGTAAACTGTAAATCAGTTCTATCATGATTTGTTTTTAATAAAAATGGGGACTGGAGAGATAAAAATAATGCTTCCAAAGAAAAACTATGGTACGCTGCTGTTAGCTGTTCTTGAGGGTTTTTTCTGCAGTTCACACTAAATTCTAAATTCTTTTTGGGTTAAAAGTCCCCAAACGATTGCTTTCAAATCTTTGCTTTTAAAATTGTGAATTGTACTCCTCATCTTAGGACTCGTTATTTACCTTACAGTGTACTGCTCACGTAAATACTGTATTAAAACTATAGCTGAGAGTACGAATGTTTTTGCCACGCAAGTCTTGGAAGCCCAGCGAGGCCTGCATGAGTACACTCAAAAGACAGTTGCAAAGCAGTTCCATTCTTCTCACTTTGGGCTTCACTCCCATTCCCACTACATCCCCCGTCAGCAGGAAGAAGCCAGAGTGATCAATGGCCTTTTCCCATCTTTATAGCCTACACCTTAAGATTAAGGTGTTATAAAACCGAAAAGGAGGGATTGAAATTGCCTTGGCAAAATTATGACTGAGACAGTGAAAGACATCTAACTTAACTGACTCTATCTTGCTTCTAAACTCGAAGCTGTCTCTGTTTATTCTTGGGCATAGGCTGAACTAACGTTGGGGAAAAACTTAATTTGTAGTTCATAATTTAAACAAAGGCAGTAATAGCCCTTTCCAAAAGCAGACCTCCTTCCTGCCTGGGGACTAGATTTCCTTTATAGGACTAACATTAGCCACAGGATTAGAAATTATGGCTTTGGAGTCATGCAGCTGGAGGCTACAAGATTCTGACCTGTCCTAAACTGCTCCTAAGATCAGTGCTTGACATATTTTGCAGACTCCGCACTTGATGAGTCAGCTGGCCCCACCCAGATTTATAAACTGGCTCATCTGATCTTGTGGCCCCCACCCAGGAACTGACTCAGTGCAAGAAGACATCTTCGACTCCCTAGGATTTCATCCGTGACCAATTAGCACTCCTGGTCACTGGCTCTCCACCTACCCACCAAGTTATCCTTAAACCTCTGTTCCCAGAATGCTCGGGGAGACGGATTTGAGTAATGAAACTCCAGTCTCCTGCAAAAAAAGAAAAAAAAAAAAGAACATCATATGTATCCTCCCATCTGATACTAGAATCCCCTTTGTACTTAGTAGGCCATCCAGAACAGTTTTATATTGCTAGTGTAACAAATTACCACCAATTTAGTAACTTAACATCAATGTATTATCTTACAGTTCTGGGGATTAGAAATTCTAATATCAAGTTTGTTGGGCTCTGTTCTTTCTGGAGATCTAGGAAATAATCTGCTTCCTCACCTTTTTCAGCCTTTCAAGGGTCCTAAATTCGTTTTTTATTTATTTATTTATTTATTTATTTATTTATTTATTTATTTGTTTATTTATTGAAACGGAGTTTTGCTCTTATTGCCCAGGCTGGAGCACAATGGCATGATCTTGGCTCACCGCAACCTCTGCCACCTGGGTTCAAGTGATTCTCCTGCCTCAGCCTCCCAACTAGCTGGGATTACAGGCATGAACCACCATGCTGGGCTAATTTTGTATTTTTAGAAGAGACGGGGTTTCTCCATGTTGGTCAGGCTGGTCTTGAACTCCCAACCTCAGGTGATCCACCCACCTCGGCCTCCCAAAGTGCTGGGATTACAGGCGTGAGCCACCGTGCCTGGCCGGGTCCTGAATTCTATGGCTTAGGGCCCTACAAACCTATGACCTCTGATTCTTGGTTACAGCTTCTTCTCTATTTCTTATATGGAGGCTTGTGATTACATTGACCCACCTGTATAATCTAGGATAATCTTCCCATTTCAAGATCCTTTCTGTCACATGTGCTAAGTCCCTTTGGCCATGTAAGGTAACATATTCACAGGTTTGGGGGTTAGAACGTGGGCATATTTTAGGGCTATTATTCTGTCTATACATCATCTTACAGTTCAATATTTCGAGTGATGATAGTACAGGTCTCAGCTTGTAAAAATTTTTTGCACTAAACTATTTCAGGTCAAATTCCTTCAAGTCCATATAAAATCTAATAGTTCTTAAAATTTGAAGACTGATCAATTTCCTTCCAGTCTTCTATTTACTGGGATAAACTCCTTCAGAGAAATTACTTACTTCACCTCCGAAATAATGTTTTAAAGTTGGCATCAGTTTTTATAGATATTTCTTTTAAGTATGAAGCACAGAACATAATATCTTCCAAGTATGAGCTTTCTTTCTATAGAAGTATCCCAAGTTTGCACTGTCTTTTTTTTCTAGTCAAATCATGATATTAGTTTATGTTGAGTTTCCTGTTGACTATGGAATTCAAAGTTATTTTGTTAGATTCTCAACTAATCTTTCTTCAGCTTTGTTTTTGAATCCTGAGTCCTACATTTTCAGTTTTGTTCCTTCAGTTTTTAGATGACCCTTAACAATACTAGTGTCATAGGACAATTATGAAAAGTAATAGTATTCTATGTAAATTGCTTAGTATATGACAACATTAGCTGTTTCTTATCCTCCAGTCTTAACATTCATCAGTCATATATTTCTAATGTGGCTAAGTAAAAAGCCATACCAGAACGGAATAAATTGGTAGCTTGTGGGTTAAAGATTTAAATGTTTACAGGAGCCAGTCAAGGGCATTTATGTATAAAACCCGGACTAGCTTTAAGGTGGCACAGAGAAGAAGGACTCTGGCAAACCATAAGCAGCTACACTCAGATGCATGAGCTTCCCACAGTTCAAGCAGGCATCACAAAACCAGTCAGGCTACAACCACATTACTTACTGTTTTATGTTGAGTTCCCCAGAGCAGAGCCTGAGACAAGGTTTCTTGTTAAATGGATACATTAGAGGTGTGTGCTCAAGAAAATATAAGTGAAAGAAACAAGATAGTGTACTAGATCTAGAGTAAGCAAGAACTTGGTCTCAGTTGAAAACTCACTTCATCTAATCCAGGCAAAGGGACTTTGCACATGTGACTGATTCAGGTGAGTCCAGGATTGGGCTCACCTTAAGACAAAGGGGTGACTTTTATACCGCATTATCGGTTAGTTACAGCTGAAGTCAGTGCCCTTCTGGGCAGAAAGGGACACGGGGAAGAAATGGTTCATAGCCTCCAGGATGAGGGAGCTCCACTTTGGCCAAGGACAATTCACCAAAAGGGTGCGGCTGTACCCTGTTAACTGCTAATTCTCCCAGGGCATGGGGGTAGGCACATAAGCCAGCTAGTTAGTGGATCTGGATGGAGCATCACATATCCAGTATGCTTTTACTGTACCCTAAAAGGCTGGCAAGTCTGCTCCAGCAGCAAGAAATTGGGAGTATATTGCTGGAGGTGGTTGTTTAAAGCAGAGAATCAAAAAAAAAAAAAAAAACAATCTAGGAAATTTGCCAGTGGGGAAACTCCTTAGAACCCTCTCAGGAATTCTCACATGTGCCCAGTGGGAGAATTAGAGCATGACTAGCCGTTGTACAGAAAGCAAAGAAAACAGTTCTGCGTTAGCCAAGAGAAGCAGAAACAATCAACAGAAAGGATTTCAATGGTAACTTACTAGCCTAGAGAGCTTTGTCATGTTCGCGCAACCAATTCCCTGTCCCATCACTGTTATGAAGCCAAGGCCCCAGTGAGAAAATCAAAGGGGGCAGACCAGCTTCAAAGTGAGGGATGAGGAAATCTTCAGTTGCTGAGCCTCAAGCCTGATGGAGGAAAAGAAAATTAAACCAGACACAATATGGACATTTTAACTGCATGAATGTTTAATAATTTTTTTTTTTTTTAAAAAAAAACAGGAAGGTAAAAAACATAAGGGAATGGAGACTTGGAACATCAGGAAGTAGTGGGGAAGAATAAACTCTGAGTTCTGTGTGCTTCATCCAGTTGATATTGCTTAGACAAATACGATGCCTCATTTCCATGGCTGGATTTAGAGCCAGCCATGCCATAATGCCTGTCCATACATTTTAGGGAAGCAAAATTTATCTATGCACCTATAATCCAATTAAGCCACAAGTAAGGTTTAGAGGGAGAAAAATCCTTCTTATGAAGGCCTGTAAATGTGGCTTAGGAACGCTAGTAAGCCATTCAAAATGCTGGTTTATTTTTTTTTCTGCATAACAGTTTGAAGAAACGTAGAAAAGATCACAAATCATAAAGAGAAATAACAGTGTGCTGCCAAAAATTTCCCTCCAAAACTGTTCTTGACATTGATGGAGAAACTGTGTTTTATGTCTGTACATCACTGTATTTCTAGTAATAAACACAGTACCTGAAGTTCAATAGAAGAACACATTTGCAGTAAATGAATAGGTTAATTTTTATTTTAAATCTTTTGCATAAGATAATTTCACTGTGTGGTAGCCTTATTAAATGTAAACAGTGCTGATTTTAAGATAGCAAAAATCGGGCCATTCAAAGTGGTGCAGTAAAGAAGTGTGTATAGCAGCAATAATACAGCTATTATAAACCTGTATTTATTATTTATGTTCTTGTGAAAAGTACTATTAATAGACTATTACTAATAGATAGTGAACTATTCTAAGATCAAAAAAAGAATATTTATATATTTACATGACTGAGTTGCATGCAACTTTTCAATGAAATTTAGAAAGCATTCTATTACATTATTCTATTAAATTCTTACAGGAATCTCGTGCAATTAATATTATTTACTCCATTTCACAGTTGATAATACTAAGGCTCAGAGAAGTTACATATCATGTTTAATGTGACAGAACTTATAAATGATAGAAACACGATTCTAACGCAGGTCCATCTGTTGTCAAGCATAAGAAATCCTTAAAAGTCCCGTTTTTTGGATAAGCATGAAAATCACACACTCCCACACTTTAGCTTTCCCAAAGAAACTTCTTGGTTAGTGTAAATTCACAGACTTTCAATTAAACATTCGAAACACATTTTTTTTTGACATTTCTTTTCTGTATTTGGCATTACAAAAATAATCCGGGTTTAAAAAATTATTCACATATAAATAGAATGTGCTATTCCAAACTATTCCTAACTTAGGTTTCAGATACATGTCGCTACCACTGCAGAGATGAGAAACGCTTTAAGCAAACTTCCATGATTCTTGGGCAATGTTGGGTGAAAGCTAAATGGATGGATGGATGGATGGATGGATGGAAGAAAATGCATAATTGTTCGTAGTGTCTGGAAAAGGGTCATAAATGTGTTCTCCTTAATAAAATTTAGGATGAAGTTTATCACACTTACTACAAATAAAGAAAACAATTGTCTCTTTAAGAGGTCTCAGACTCTGGTTATTTGTTCTACTTTCAACAGCTGTGGCTACCAAATGAGAAATTTAATTTCCAATTGATAGAACTGACTTACTGAACTTGTTTTTCATATAAAGATATTTTCTGGAAACACAAAACTTTATCTTAAAATAATCTCCTTATTTTTCTTAAAGTCTGAGAGAAAAAGCAAGTATTTCTGGGGGAACATAATAGGAAATCTTCTATAGATAGCATCCTCAACAATAATGTCCTTTCATTATCATCTGCTAATTAACACACTGAATTTGTCTATCTTCATTAGAGTTATCACTTTTGAATTATCTGGAGAAAATCAAGTGGGAAATGTATACTATATATCTGAATTTGCTAATTAGATAATGATGTCTTTTCTTCCATGACATAATTGTTCTGGAAAAAAAAATCATTATTTATAAATTTGACACAGATATTTGAGCAAAGTGTAAAATCATTTTAATTTATGTATGTAAATAATCCATATCTATTAAAATTCAGCTTCTACCATGAATTGGCAAGTCCGGGTAATACTAACTTCAAATATAACCAAAATTTATCATTTCACATATACCCCACTACTAACTGAGACCAACACATCATCATTTCTTGCTGAGACTACTGAAAAAGCCTCCTAATTGGTGTCTCTGCTTCTCCCCGTGCCCATCTGCAGGTGTTCTTCCACACAGAGGTTAGATAGTTTCTTTGAAAATATGTCATATTCCTCTTCTCGCCCCAAAGCCTCTAACGGATTTCCAATTCACTCTAAGTTAAATCCAGAGTATCATAGATTACAAGCTTTAATGTGGACAGACTCCCGTCTAATACCTCTGACTTTGTGTCCTACTCCTGTCAAGTATAACATGGCTGGACATTAGTTAAAGCAAGCGGTGAAAATCGACTTTATTCATTAGCTACTGACAGTGGAGGGAAGAGCTGAGCTCCATTCCAATTTGTGCAGAGGTGACTGAGCATTTAAAGGGTTAATCAAAACGTATGCAGGGACAAGAACTGAGTCAGGGAAGTGAACAGTTACAAAAAGCAGGGACGAGGGGTTGGTTGAGTGAAATCCATCTGGATTTGCTAATTGGCATGCATTGAAGTTAGGCTTGTATCCTGCCATCTCACAGAGGCAGGGAGACAGGAGCTCTCGCTTCAGATGTTAGCTCAAACAAATAGTAAATTCTTTAGGTAGCCTTGACTTTTCTCAGGCAGGCATTTTAATGGGGGTGATGTGGGGCTGGTGAACAGGAGTGATCCTAGGGACAAAGCCTTGAACTATTATAAACCTGAGCTATTATAATAGCTTTGAGCTATTATAAATGTTAGTGTTTGTTCAGGTCTTTACAAGCCAAGTAAAGGTCTTTACCAGATCTTTACTAGGCTTTGTTGAGAAGAGGGGTCAGAGGAGGCTGGCTAGAGTTTGGTGAAGGACAGGATCTTTGTCACTGCTCTTATTACTATGCTGTTGCACCCACACTGGCATCCTGCTGTCCCTGGAATATGCCAAGCACACATCTTTGCCTAGGGTGCTTTCATGAGGGCACTTGTTCTTTCTTCCACCTAGATTGCTCTACTCACAGATAACTATGCAGCTTTTCTTCACTCTCATTAAAGTCTCTGCTTATTTTTAAACTTCTCAAGTAGGTGCCTTCACTATGACAGGATCATACCTTTGCTTATATTTTTACTTTTATGGTGAACTTTTAACACCCCACCACTACCTTAACCCATATTCGAAGCAGGCTAGTTTCTTTTCACAAAGGAGATCTATTCATACTCTTCTCCCTTACTCTCTCACCCTCTCTTCTTCTCCAGATAGCATGAGTATCTTATGACTAGAATAAATATTTTATTTTGGATTGACAAATGATAATTGTATATATTTGTGGGGTACATAGTGATGCTTTGATACATACAATGTATAGTAATCAGATCAGATTAATTAGCTTATCCATCATCTCAAACATTTATCATTTCTTTGTGTTGGGAAGGTTCATACTCCTTCTAGCTATTTGAAACTGTATAATATATTACAGTTAAGTATTGTCATTCTATAATGGTATCAAACACCAGAACTTATTCCTCCTATCTAGCTGTAATTTTGTAAGTTTTATATATTGTAAATTCTAATATCACCACATTTGTGTCTTTCTTAGCACATTAGTCACTGAGGAAATTTTTCATTAATTTGGAATTTTATCCAATTAAAATTTGCTTTATTTTTCTCATGTAAAAGTCTGTAAGAATCTGACCTTAACTGATGTTTTTCTCATAGAGCCGCAGTACATAACTGACTCGACATGTTTTTAAAAAATTTATTAATGGCTACTAAGTCTAAATTATATTGTAAAATTATAATATTTACAAAATACTAATCAAACTTTCATCTCTTGGCTCAAATTGGGATGCAGGCTCAGGAAGAATAAAAGGTTATATAAGTGGATGTGGGCATGTATGAATATACTGAAACATGTTCTGGTCCTCTAAGAAAAAGGGGTGTTGTGGCTTAATTGTGTCTCATTCATCCTCTTTAAATGTAGCTAAGAAAATATCCTATTTTAAAGGGTACATATGTAAACTAACAAAGTGTTAACAAAGCAGTTTACAGATTTAGTTCTATTCAATAACTAAACAACAAAAACATAAAATGGTTCTGATTTCCATCATTTACTTTGAAAGGCAATGACTCCCTGAGGATCAGTCATCTTGCAACTTGTTACCTTGATTTTCCCCACTGGACAAACAACAACAGCAACAAAAAATGCCATTATGCCATGATAATTGGCCACTCCTGTCTTATCAAATTAATTCTAGTATGTGCCTGAGGTATTTTCACACTTTTCCTTTTCTCAGCCAATAGAAGGCATATGTAGATGTTTGCCTAAAATAGGCAGTAAGTAGTACATCTAGAGAAATAAGTGGGGCATTGTATAGAACTAGAATAAGAAAAATAGGGAAGAAGAACTTTCTGTTTTTATTTTTCAAATTAACTCTTAGTGGTATTAAAACCCATGAATACATTCTAATACTGTAAGGTTACATGTGCCTTAAATGGTTCCCAAATGAATATAACATTAACAAACAGAAATGCTTTAAAATTGATCAGAATGTGCAGTCAACCAGTTCTTACACTTCATATATTTGATTTAAAACCTCACCTAAGACACAAGGAAAGGAGACAAGAGCCTGTCATTGCAGCTAAAGCATGGAGTTTGGCCTGATCTTATACATTAATGTAGGATAGAAAATTAATTTCCCTGACAACCCAGCACAGCAAGACGGAAATGCAGCAGCACAGCCAGGGAAAGATGATGGCCTCTGTTTTGGTGGTCTTGCCCAATTTCTTCCATTGTTATCATTTACATACTTTTACAGTGGGAGCAAGCACCAACTCTAGAGTTTGCTGTGTGACCTTAGGCAAATTACTTAATCTTGCTGTGCTTCTACTTCTACATTTGTAAAACAGGAATAATAGCATTAAAGTAGCTCCCTCTTATCCACAGGGGATATATTCCAAGACCCTCAATCTATGCCTGAAACCAGGGATAGAACCAAACTCTCTCTATATTATTGTTTTCTACAAATATATACTTATGACAAAGATGAATTTATAAATTAGTCACAGTGAGAGATTAATGAAAATAACTAATAATAAAAATAGAATATAACAATATACTTTAATAAAAATTATGTGAAAATGGTCTCTCTCCTTCTCTTTCTCTCCCTCAATATTTTGTGGTACTATATATCAACCTATTTTGAACCATGGTTGACCAACAGTAACTAAACCCACAGAAAGTAAAACTACAGACAAGGGGGAACTACTGCATATTACAAAATAATAAATATGTTATATTAGTGACCTAAATTTCACCTTAAGAAAAAAGGAAAAAAGAGCAATCTAAACTCAAAGCAAGCAAGCAAAAAAAAAAAAAGGAAATAAAAAGACTAGAAAAGAAATAAATGAAATTGAGGATAGAATAAAAGAAAATTTGATAAAAACAAGTTGTTTTTTAAGAAATCAGCAAAATTGACAAAAAGACTTGTTAAGTCTTTTATCTAGACTTACCAATAAAAAAAGAGAGATGAATCAAACTATAAAAACCACAACTAAATGAGGTGTCTATCAATTTCACAAAATATAAACGACTACAAAGGGCCAGGTGTGGTGGCTTATGCCTATAATATCAGCACTTTGGGAGGCTAAGGTGGGTGGATCACTTGAGGTCAGGAGTTTGAGACCAGCCTGGCCAACATGGTGAAACCCTGTCTCTATTATAATAAAAATTTAAAAATAGGTGTGGTGGCACATGCCTCAAGTCCCAGCTACTCAGGAGGCTGAGGCATGAGAATCGCTTGAACCTTGGAGGCAGAGGTTTCAGTGAGCTAAGATTTTGCCACTGGAAAAAAAAAACAACAAAAAACTATAGGGGATGTATTCATTCGTTTTCTCACTGCTATAAAGAAATGCCTGAGATGGAATAATTTATATACAAAAGAGGTTCAATTGGCTCATAGTTCTGCAGGCTGTATAGGAACACATAGCAGCTTCTGTTTCTGGGAAGGCCTCAGGAAGAAGCTTCCATGGTGGAAGGCAAAAGGGGAGCAAGGCATCTCACATGGCAGGAGCAGAGGTGGAGAGGTGGTAGGGGAGATGCCACAAACTTTTAGATGACCAGCGCTCATGAAAACTCAGGAAAACTTGCTATTGCTAGGACAGTGTCAAGAGGAGATGGTTCTAAACCATTCATGAGAAATCAGCCTCCATAATCCAGCCACCTCCTATCAGGCCCCACCTCCAACATTGGGGATTACAATTCAACATGAGATTTTGGGGGGACACAGATCCAAACCATATCAGAGAATAATATAAGCAATCGTATGTCAATAAATTAGATAATGTAAATGAAATGGACAAATTTTTATAAAGACACAAATTATTAAAACACCAAGAGAAAGTATAGAAAATCTGAATAGGCCTATACAAGTTAAGAGACTGAATTATTAATCTAAAACCTTTCACGAAGAAAAGCCCTGATGCAGATGCTTTCCCTGGCGAGTTCTACAAACTTCCAACCTCATTCTAAGAGGCCTGTATTACCCAGACACCAAAACCAGACAAAAATATTGTAAGAAATTTTCAGACCAATATCTCTTTGAATAAAATGACCAAAATCACCAACAAAATACCTACAAACTGAAGCTAGCAACATATTAAAAGGATTATACACCTCAACCAAATGAGACATTTTCTGGGAATGCAAGGTTGGTTTAACACACACACACACACACACACACACACACACACACACCACACACACACACACACACACACACTAACAGTGTAATATACCATATTATATTATAAAGGGCAAAAAACCATAAGATTATATCCCTAGGCATAGGAAAAGTATTTTGCAAAATCCAATACACTTTCATTACATAATCTCCCAATAAATTAAGACAAGACAGGAACTTTTTCAACTTTATACAGGACTTAAAAACAAATCCACAGCCAATATCACGGTTAATGGTTAAAGACTGAATACTTTCTATGATCAGGAACAAGGCAAAAATGTCTGCTCTTGCAAATTCTATATGAATGTCATAAAGTTTACAGGCAGGGAAATTTGGAAAACAAAATTAAAAATAAAGATTGAGTATCCCTTATCCAAAATGTATGGTACCAGAAATTCTTTGGATTTGGGATTTTTTGAATTTTGGAATATGTGCATATATGTAATGAGATCTCTTGGGGATGGAACCCAAGTCTAAACATGAACTTCATTTGTGTTTTATATATACTTTATACACAGAGGCTGGAGGTAATTTTATACAATATTTAAATAATTTTGTGCATGAAACAAAGTTTACATACATTGAACCAACAGAAAACAATGGTGTCACTGTCTCTGCCACTCACACAGTCTGTGGTTGTTTGGCGTCACTATCATTCCTGAGTTTGAGTTCATATGTTACCATAAGCAATTATTTTCTTACACCTATTCACACTTAAGTACTTAACAGTAAAAAAATGTGGCATACCATTAACATAGTGACACAATAGAGTGTTCAAAATAACTAAGCAGCACAGTAGCATCACAGATTAGGGACGCTCAACCTGTAAAAGGTTTTGAGATTGGAAAGGAAGAAGTATAACTATCTCAAGTCACAGATGACAAGTTATTATATATAAAAATTATAACCTACATAAAACTACTATTAGACTCACAAATATTACTATTAGGACTAAGAAATAAGTTCCACAAGGTGACAGGATACAAGATCACTATACAAAAATTAACTTTATTTCTCTATAGTCACAGTAAAAATTCTGAAAACTAAATTGAGAAAACAATGCCTTGTACAATAGTACCAAAAAAATGAAAAAAGGAAGAAATTTAACAAAAGAGGTGCAAGACTTGTATATTGAAAATGATAAAACATTATTGATATAAACTAAACAAGATCTAAATATTTTTAAAAATCTTATACTTATGAATTGGAACACATACTATTTTTTAAATAGCAGTTGTATTAATTTGTTTTGGCTGTTATAACAAAATACCATAACTGAATAGCTTGTAAACAACAGAAATTTATTTCTTACAGTTTTGGAGGCTGTGAAGTCCAATACCAAGATGTCAGATTTTGTGTCTGGTGAGGGCCTGTTTTCTGATTCACAAATGGCAACTTCTCTTTTTAACTTCCAAATGCAATGTGTTCTCACAGGATAAAGGGGATGAACAAGGTCCCTCAGGCTTCTTCTATAAGGGCACCAGTCCCATTTGTCAAGGTTGAGCCTCATGACCTAATCACCTACCATGAGTCCCCATGTCCTAATAATATTGCATTGGGGATTAGGTTTCAACAAATAAATTTTGGAGCGAGACAAACATTCAAACCATGGCAGTAATACTCTGCAATCTTATCTACAAATTCAACACAATCCCTGTGAAAATTCCAACTGCCTTTTTTCCCAGAAATTGACAAGATTACTCTAAAATTCATATGGAATTTCAAGAAACCCAGAATAGCCAAAATAATCTACAACAAGAAGTCAAAGTTAGAAGACAGACTTTCCTATTTAAAAATTTAATGCAAAGCCAGGACAATCAACATATTTGTGAAATCTGCAAAACAACAGACATATAAATTGATGAAATAAAATTGAAAACTCAGAAAAATACAACCTTAAATCTTATGGTCAATTAATTTTCAATGGGAATATTTAGACAATTAACTAGATAGTCTTTTCAACAAATGGTGCTAGGACAACTGAATATCCACACGCAAAAGAATAAAAGTGGACAGTTCTCTCACACCATATATGAGAATTAACTCAAAACACTAAAGACCTAAATGTAAAAATTGAAAGTACAAAACTCTTTAAAAAGTACATAGTAGTATATTATTCTTACCATGGATTAGCCAATGGTTTCTCAGATATGACACTAAAAGCACAAGTCATAAAAGAAAACAAATAAAACTTGGATTTTATATATTACAAAATTTTGCTTCAAAGGACAACATCTAGAAAATGAAAAACAACAAAATAATATAAATATTTAAAATCAGGTATTTGATAAAGGTATCCAAACTGGTATCCAAAATACATAAAAAACTTAAATCTTCGTAATAAAAAGACAATCCAATTAAATTTTTTCAAAAGATTTGAATAAATATTTCTCCAAACAAATACCGCAAAGGCCAATATGCTATTTTATACAGTGGCCAATATAAATGATGTTTAACATCATTCATCATTAGGGAAATGCAAATTAAAACTACGATGGTATCCTACTTCACACCTACCAGAATGGAGATAATAAAAAGGGCAGATAATAACATGTACTGGCAAATATGGAATACTTTTAATGCTCATAAACAACTGTGGGAATGTAAAATGACGTAGACATATCAGAAAACTGTCATTTTCTCAAACACATAGGCAGTTACTATATGACCCAACAATTCCACTACTAAGTGTATACTCAGGAAAAATAAAAACATTTATCACCACAAAACTTGTACATAAATATTTGTAGAAGTAACATTATTTGTAGTAGACAAAAAGTGGAGGAAAACAACCGATGTTCATCAGTTGCTGAATTAATGAACAAAAGTACCCTGTCCATGCAATGGAATATTATCCTTCCATAAAAGAAAAGAAGTACATGCTAGAACATGAATGAACCCTGAAAACATCATGCTAAGTGAATGAAGCCATTCACAAAGGACCACACATTATGTGATTTTATTTACATGCAGTGTTCAGAATAAGCAAAACCATAGAGACAGAAAGCAGATTTGTGATTTCCAAGGGGTAGGAATTGCGATGAAAAATAGGGATTAATTGCAAATGGGTTTGGGTTTTCCTTTTTGGATGATGAAAATGTTCTAACAGTAAATAATAGGAGTGGTTGCACTAAACTGCATTCTTCAAGAGGTTGATTTTTATGGCATGTGAATGATGTGTGCATAAATGTATTATTTATTTTCATGTATTACAGGTAATATACCTGCATTATTGTTACATATATGTATTATATCTGAATAAAACTTTTTTAATTTATAAAGCTTTTATTACTAGAAAATAGCTGAGCTTAAATCTGAATGCAAGCCTATTGATTCTAAACTCTTCAAGATCCATGGCACCAAATCACATTCTTGGGCTTACAAAAAAAAATACAAAACTCCCTGATAATTTATCAGCACCAAAAATTTTATCACATAAATATATTCACAGAATTTGTGCATATGCATCCTAGTTCCTCAACAGCTATTAGTACTTGACACATGAGAATTTTCCAAATAATGGTATTAGTAATGGGAAATAAAAAGAGAAACACTAAAAAAAGAGGAAGCTCAAAACTAGAAAAAAATCTCTCATCTTTTTCCATACCAGGCAATTATACTATAGCAATAGATTACAAATGCTACTCTAACGTCCTAATTCAATAGCTAAGGTTTCTCATGAAGTGCCTTAGGTACATCTAGTGTAGAGTGGCAAAATATAGATAAATCCTTTGAAACAAATATATTATATTGCCCGCTTTTATTTGCCTCTTTATTAAATATTTTAAATATGGGTCATATTTTAAAGGATAATTTATTTGTTTGTCATCTCAGTGTCTCCCTATCATTTTTCTCTCATTCCCTCTCTTATACACACATTCATACACAAGGACAGTTGAAAACAACTTCATAATTTTGATACTTATTTTAATTATTGGGAAAAGTTATAAAAATTATGTAAATACATGCTTAACATTTTGGATTTGATGACTTGCCAAATTTTTTAAGTGAAAAAATAATTTGCCTAGCTGTTTACTGGGATTGCAGGAAATAAAGGAATGAAAAAAGTCAGAAGTTTATGTATTGATAATTTTCATATAAATTTGTATTCAGCCAAATAATCAAGGGTGAAGGTAAAATAATACATTTTTAGACAAGCAAAGACTCAGGGGCTACCTCTATGTACCCTTTCTTGGGAAGCTATTGGAGAAAATACTCCAGCAAAATGAAGGAGTACACAAACCAGAGAATGACATGGATCCAGCAAATAGGATCTAACGCAGGCAATATTCCAGCTATGGAGCTGGTTTTTAAAAGAAACACTAAAAATATTAATAGGTTAGCTGGAGAGAATGGCCCATGCCTGTAGTTCCAGCTACTCAGGAGGCTAAGCAAGAGGATGGCTTGAGCCCAAGTGTTCCAGACCAGCCTGGTCACCATAGTGAGATCCCTTCTCTTAAAAATAATAATGGGTTATTGCCAGATTTGGGGCATTTGGAAAGAAGCTCATTGAAGATAAAGCAGAAATAAAAAAAAAAAAAAACAAGGGGGAAAGGTTGGTTAGGCAATCATTAATTCTAGGGCAGAAAGAAGTACAAGATAGGAAGTAAGAGTATAACACGCTGTTTTTCTCAACAATGAGTAATATGTACATCATCATAATGATGTGGTGACTGCTTAGCTCCTAAATCTGGTAACTACTTTGGGACAATATGGGAGGAAAAGTGAAGATAGTGATGGTATAAGAGCTAAATCCTCAACTGTCATATCAAGAAATCACTATATAATGTATAAAATAATCAAGAAACGACTAGTTACATAAGGAAAAAAATAGAAGACATTGCTAAAAGAGTTAAAAGTCATTTAGAATTAGGAGGGATGGGGCAGGGTACTGTTAGGATGCATTATAAACTGAAGAGGCTTTTAAAAATTACATGTATTCATGTATGCATTCACTTGAAAAACCAAAAAAAATAATAATCTGGAAAAAATCCATGAAGGTAACTACCAGCAGGAAAAACTAAGAGAATGAAAAGTGCTTGCCTCTGGAAAGAACAACTGGCAGGACTGTTGTTTTCACTGTTAAGACTTTTGGAGCCATTTGATTTTACTTAACCATTTTCATATACTTCTTTAATGAAAATAATTGTCTTAATAAAAAGTTACACTCATTCATTAAAAAGTGATCTCTTTTAGAAAAAAAAAAAACCTTAAGAAACATTTAGCTATAAGATTAGAACTCTAAGCTGAACAGATATAAAAGCTTTTTTTGCCAAGATGATCTTTAGTACTCTTCTTTAATGAAGTGTTTGACTTAATAGAAAATTTGTCAAATAACTGTCTAATTTTAAATTAAAGTGGGAATAAAAGACTGAACCTAACTCCATTTTCAGAAAACAGCCCATGGAAATACTTAGTTCTCTAATCAAAAAGACCTGTATATCCCAAACCACTGACTTCTCACTTACTAGGAGACCCTTTGGAGATGAATGTTCACACAGGGTATCTAGAAGCAAATGTTTTGACATTTCAGTAATAAACAGATAAAATTAGAAGATTTGAATACTTAGGGAGAAAAAAAAGTAAGCCATTCAGAAGACATCTGTCAATGTAACATTCCACAACAGGTAAAATAAAAGTAAATATGCTCCTTGTCTAACTTCCAAATGCAATAATGTGAAGATCTTGAACTGAATCCCTTAGTTGAAGATAGTTGCATATATCATCCCATCATTAGGTCTTAATATTTGTTTCACATTTTGGCAAACATTGAGAACATCTGATCAATAATTTACTAAGGGAAAATGACTATGAGCTCTGCCCAAGAACCATTTTTTGGAGAAGCTAACTGGTTTATTTGTAGAACTTTCTAATCATTCATGTTTCATTCTGTGAATTTAAATAAGCTTTGATGCATTTGTGTTTATTGAGATAAAAATGAGCTAAAACATGACTTAATAAGTGAGATGTTACAATTGCTTCCATAGGAAATATATATATGTAGCTTTGTAATTACATTTACCTTAAAACATGTTTATCGACACTGTTATCTTTGAAATTATTGCAATTAAACTTGAAAGTAGTGCCAAATGTACAAGATAAAAGCATAAATAAAAAGATAGAAAATGAAAATTCATGAAACTTATAAGAAGTAGAGTTTGGAAGTAGACTACATATCCTCAGGCCAGCCAACCAGTAAGATTAGGAAAGGAATATTGAGCCATGGGGAAAACAGATGTTGTCTGGAGGGACCACAGTATTGAAAGGAAGATAATCCTTGACGGTCTAATGGTCTTTACTTAATCCTGAGTATACCTTTTCTTATAGAGTTAATTTAATTCCACTTAAAAAAGTCAACCTCATAAAATCTTACTTAAATGATATCGGGTGAAATATTTTTAGTGATATTCAGTAGGACATTTCACCACAGACGAAGTGGTTTGCCTAGGGGTAAAAATTCTGAGAGCCTGACCCTGTATTATAAATTCTTTAATACAAATTTAGGCTTTGCCAAGTAAAAAAACTGTTTCCCATATTGAAATTTTATTTGTAAGTCTTCAGGACAATCTGTTTTTATTTTTCTTACCATATTAACAAAGAGAAAAAATTTGATCAATTAAATTGTTGCTAAAATACAATTGGTTTTGTTATAATTGGTTATGGAGTTGTACTTTTTCCAGATGGAAAAGTATATATAAAATCATCACGTTTGAAACTTTTAGTATAGGTACAATCATGAAACCAACTAAAAATTCACTTTGACTCCAAATATGAATATTTGTCTTCCCTCCTTGTAATCTTGCCTCAATCTTTGCAAAGTTCTGGGCATTTGGTAGAATCCATCCTTGCCTGGGCTGTTTTGTTCTTCAAATGATTTCTTTGTATAGGATACAGGTATCTCTGGAGGGAGGTTTTATGAGACCCCCTCCAGAGATGCCTGTATCCTATACAAACAAATCAAAACTCCTAATGCCTTCAAAGTTTTTAACAGTCTGGTCCCAATTACACAGCTTCCAGAGGCCCTACCTCAGCTATCTGCTCATACATGCCCCAGAAGACCATGAATTCTCAGCCTTCTTAAATTTGCATATAATGTTCCCACTGTGTGACCCATTCTTCTACCCTGTTCTCTGTCCTCCAACTTTTTTCATCATCAAGGCTTAGCTCAAATTCTTTCTGCTCTGAATCTTTTCCCAACCCCTCTCCAAGCAGAATTCATTGCTGCCTTTTTTATGCTTCCATTACACTATCAGAGGTGAGTTGGAGGTCAGCTTAAACCCACTTGTGAGAGCTGATTGTTAAATATCCAGGAATTTCAAGCCAATTTTTAAACTGGTAGGACCTGGAAATCAGCCATGGTGGAAATATTTACAAAATAGAAATGGACAAATCCGAGCTCTTTCCCTCACCCTGCCAGAGAGCCAGTTTTCCAGCTCCTCACTGTTTTGCAGATGATGTTAGTATAGCACATATCCTATTCCCATTTATGTTACAGTTAAAATATCAGTCTCTCCTATAAAGTTGTGAGCTCACTGAGGTCAGAGTCACTATCTTTACTCACTTTTCTACCTCCCAGAACTTAGAAAAACTGTTTGATAAATGGCAGGTGATCAATGAACAACTTTTTAAATAAAAAATAAATATAAGTATTAAAACTAAACTGTTATTCTAACTCTTTCTTAATGAGAAATTAGGCACATGGCATAACCACTCTGAGTATGTTTCCCATTCTTCAACAGGCAGAGATATATCTCTGTAACCCAGTTATTGTAAGAATTAAACAAGATAAAACTTAGAAAAATTATTTGTAAATAATGAGAAATGAAAAATTCGTAAATAATGGAAAAAGTTCATGAGCTATTGTTATTTTCATTGAGGCATTTCCTCAAGTTCTAGCAATGTCCTCGGAGTATAAAATCCTCAAAAGGTATTCATAAAATTAATTCAATAATCAACATTGAAATTAATAACATTTATTAAACATGTCTTAATAAAATAATAATTCTTATTTTATTTATTTATTTATTTTTGGCCAAAGAAACACTCTTATTTAGCTCAATTTTTTTTGAAATTGAATTCCTCAAGTTCTACTGGTTACATAGCCCACTTTGGGTCATTGAGGGAGGGTTCACTGTGATAGGGAAGGAAGCAAATCAGTGATGATCATCTGGTGATACCATCTTACAGCCTTTGAGTCTGAGCAGCTCCAGTTTTGTCTAATTTTTAAAATAGGCATTTATATGTGATGTCCTTCAAATACTCTTTTCCACAGCCAAATTAAAGTTTAAAAAGTTTGAGATAATTGGAACACACACATCTGTAATAATATCATTTTATTATTTTTTACATGTTAAATTACTGCAACTTAATAGCATATTTTGAGTTGATTTCAAATGATTTTACATTAAGTTTTGGTTTATCTACTATAGAGGTGTCTATACTGAATTTATAATCAAATTAGAAATAGCTATTTTAATGACAATTGAAACATGAATAAATGGGATTATTCAATATGAATCCAAAATTTTAGTGAACAATAAAACTTTATTTTTTCACAACTTCTCACTGACAATTTGTTAAATTAGAACAAGCCTACTGACATAAGGAAACACTTCTGTCTTTTTATGTGGGAAATGGAAAGACTAAAGAACTGACACTCAAAGTTCAAACTGTGTAAATGAACTGCAGGGAAATGTTAGGCAATAAAGACAAGGAAGAAAAATTAAATATGAATTAATCTATGTGATCTTATCTAATAACTTTTTTTTTTACAACTAAATTTTTAAAACTATATATTTTAGGCCTTTGAACTAAAGAATCACTCATATCTGTGTCTGTTTTTGATACTTCACTAATTTCTGTTAGTGACTTTTAAAAAAATGTCGCACCTGACAAAGAATAGGAAAACTGCAATTCTACAACAGAATCTTAAAACCATGTGATGTTTATGGTACAAATTGATGTAATGATATAGCTATAGTAGTTCAAACAGAAGAGAGACAAAGTTAATATAAGAAAACTATTTAAATATTAGGTTAAATTAATTTTTCCGTGTGGCAGGAGAAAAATTAAGGTCAGTTTAACAATCTGTGAGTTGAGACTTTTAAATACTTATTGATTTGCTGTAAAAACATTTTTGGATTTTAGAATCAGGAGCTATGGGGATGACAGATTGTAAGGAAAAGATAACATGAATCTGTCTACGTCAATAAACTTGATTTTTAACAT
Source organism: Homo sapiens (assembly GCF_000001405.40). Classification (NCBI taxonomy): domain Eukaryota; kingdom Metazoa; phylum Chordata; class Mammalia; order Primates; family Hominidae; genus Homo; species Homo sapiens. Next base: position 31,442,712 of record NC_000004.12, on the reverse strand, counting down.
GAACAATAGATTTAGAGTGGTGTGATTTCTCTCTAAAGCATTAATTCATAACATGAAAACTATGGACTCTTTTTCCTTAAACATGTACAGAAAATCAATATTGCTCATAAGTTTCAAAGAATACTTTTTTGGAGGTGGTTTCCTAATCGCCTAAATTGACTTACAAAATGGTACTAGAATCAGGAAGCTTCAACATCCTGTTTCAGAGAAACAGTGCTGCAGAATGGAAGGTTCTTGTATCTGTTTGAACCCCTAGAGCGCGCCAACACACAACAGGAGGCGGTGTGGAGCAACATGCTGTTTTAATGAGCGCCTGGGTGCAGGCGGGCTAAGGCCTAAAATGACATCAGCCCAGAGTAAGGACGGGGCAAAGGTTTTATAGTCTCCTGTAAACAGGAAGTGTCCTAGTGTGACGTAACTGCTACGTTGTACCTGGATGGCCTCTTTCTCAATCTTCAGGGATACACGTCTTCCGGCTATGGTAGGTGTCTTCCGGCCAGCTCTCTTCCTGCTTCTACTATCTTTTTTTTTTATTATTATACTTTAAGTTTTAGGGTACATGTGCAGAACGTGCAGGTTTGTTACATATGTATACATGTGCCATGTTGGTGTGCTGCACCCATTAACTCGTCATTTACATTAGGTATATCTCCTAATGCTATCCCTCCCCCCTCCCTCCACCCCACAACAGGCCCCGGGGTGTGATGTTCCCCTTCCTGTGTCCAAGTGTTCTCATTGTTCAATTCCCACCTATGAGTGAGAACCTGCTATCTTGGCGGCGCACTCTGCTGACACAAGTTGCACCTTGGGACTGGGCCTGAGAAGGGAGGAGTTACTCATCTCCTTAAGCTTTCAGGTCCCAGGGAGAATCTTACACTGACCAGTGTATTTTTTATTCCAAAGGAGCTGAAAATCCATATTTTTATATGAAGCATGATGATTTTTAAATATTGGTAACTAAAACAAAGACACATCTGTGTGAACAAAAACACAAAAACAAAAACAAAGCTATGAGTCTAATAGAACATGAACACCACCAGCTTCTGACTCTCTTTAAATCCCTTGTATGCAGAAGATTGTACAGTCTTACAACCTTCCTAAAGGAAATTGCATAAACATGTTAAGATTAGTGCAAGAGAAAATAATTATTTTTAAAACCTAAATAAGTTGTTCTTTTCATGTTTGTGGCCCCAAATATATATAGGGGTTTGCTGCTTTTCTGAGGAAATAAATTTGAACTCCACGTATGGCCAGGTTATTAAGCTTAAACACAAGACCTTATTTAATTATTTATTTATTTTTTTCAGTTAATAAGAATGAAAGACAAATTAGTAACAAACATAAGTAAAGGGTTAGAAATATAATGATGTGCTAAACAATGCTCTCAACTCCTCTGTCTAGAATAACTTAGAGTAAAACAAAGCAAACAAAAGCAGAATTTTTTATTTGTGGTCTAGTCATAAATACATTTTTCTAAAATTGTACATGCTGCCCATTCTTACCTAGAGGCATCTGAAATGACCTATCAGGCATTTTCAAGACTAGGAGTTTTTAAAGATTCATTAGAAATCTACTGACTCCCAAATTTTTTTATCAACTTCAAATCAATCTTAATCTTGCCCAGTAAGTGGACATTTTTCACACCTGGTTTCAACACAAGAAATATTGAAATTAATATGAAGGGCAAAACGATCCATTTCAATATATTTTTAATCAATTCAAATCAGTAAACTTTTTAACAGGCTTTACTTGAATTTTACCAATTTTGGCCAAGTTGCCTGTCTATAAGATAGAAGTGACATGAAGGACTTAAAATTAATGTCTACTTATTTCTTCCCAGACCTATGTGGAGCCCAAGAAATGTAACAGAATACTTTCTGTTGGTTTTTTTTAAAACTTTATTTCTGCTTTGAATAGATATTTCTCCAAAGAATCCACTCATCATATTTACACCATTGGTCTGATCTTAAAGACCATAAAAAGAAGATGAGTAAGCTTACAGTTACTGGAATTTGAGCAGTTTCAGAAATGTTCCAAATATTTTTAAAGGTATTTGACCATGGTTATTTAAAATGTTTACCGTGTTTCCAGTATATTGGCCCTACTTTGAGGATTGACTCAATATATTTTAAATTATATTTTAACTTTATGTTGAAAGTAATTTCTTAAAAACAGTAAAGATATTTATATGATTTGAATGTTTTTGTTCCCTACAAATTTCATGTTGAAACGTAATCCCCTCCAAAATTCAGTTGTTTCCAATATGATACTGTGAAGAAGTGGGACGTTTGAGAAGATTAGGCAAGGCCCGGCGGGGTGGCTCACGCCTGTAATCCCATTACTCTGAGAGGCCGAGGTGGGCGCATCACGAAGTCAAGAGATAGAGACCATCCTTCCAACATGGTGAAACCCCATCTCTACTAAAAATACAAAAATTAGCTGGGCGTGGTGGGGCGCTTGTAGTCCCAGCTGCTTGAGAGACTGAGGCAGGAAAATAGCTTGAATGCTGGAGGCAGAAATGGCAGTGAGCCGAGGTCGCACCATTGCACTCCAGCCTAAGTGACAGAGCAAGACTCCGTCTCAAAAGAAAAAAAAATAAAAAAAGGTTTTTAAGCTTTTTGGGTCATATCATCAGTCTAAAGTAAAATGACATTTCTGTTTAGATAGGCTCTTTTGACTATTAAGATTGTCTTATTGTGTCCAGAATTGGTGGGTTCTTGGTCTCACTGACTTCAAGAATGAAGCCGCGGACCCTCGCGGTGAGTGTTATAGCTCTTAAGGTGGCACATCTGGAGTCTGTCCCTTTTGATGTTCAGATGTGTTCAGAGTTTCTTCCTTCTGGTGGGTTCGTGGTCTCACTGGCTCAGAAGTGAAGCTGCAGACCTTCGCGATGAGTGTTACAGTTCTTAAGGCAGCATGTCTGGAGTTGTTCATTCCTCCCGGTGGGCTTGTGGTCTCGCTGGGCTCAGGAGTGAAGCTGCAGATCTTCGCGGTGAGTGTTATAGCTCATAAAAGCAGTGTGGACCCAAAGAGTGAGCAGTAGCAAGATTTATTGCAAAGAGCGAAAAAACAAAGCTTCCACAGTGTGGAAGGGGACCCAAGCGGGTTACCAATGCTGGCTCGGGCAGCCTGCTTTTATTCTCTTATCTGGCCCCACCCACATCCTGCTGATTGGTAGAGCGGAGTGGCCTGTTTTGTCAGGGCGCTGATTGGTGCATTTACAATCCCTGAGCTAGATACAAAGGTTTTCCACATCCCCATCAGATTAGTTAGATACAGAGTTTCCACACACAGGTTCTCCAAGGCCCCACCAGAGCAGCTAGATACAGAGTGTCGATTGGTGCATTTACAAACCCTGAGCTAAACACAGGGTGCTGATTGGTGTGTTTACAAACCTTGAGCTAGATACAGAGTGCTGATTGGTGTATTTACAATCCCTGAGCTAGACATAAAGGTTCTCCACCTCCTCACCAGAGCAGCTAGATACAGAGTGTGGATTGGTGCACTCACAAACCTTCAGCTAAACACAGGGTGCTGATTGGTGTATTTACAATCCCTGAGCTAGATATAAAGACTCTCCACGTCCCCACCAGACTCAGGAGCCCAGCTGGCTTCACCTAGTGGACCCGCACGGGGGCTGCAGGTGGAGCTGCCTGCCAGTCCTGTGCCGTGCGCTCACATTCCTCAGCCCTTGGGTGGTCGATGGGACTGGGTGCCGTGGAGCAGGGGGTGGTGCTCATCGGGGAGGCTGGGGCTGCACAGGAGCCCATGGAGTGGGTGGGAGGCTCAGGCATGGCGGGCTGCAGGTCCTGAGCCCTGCCCTACAGGAAGGCAGCTAAGGCCCAGCGAGAAATCGAGCGCAGCGCCGGTGGGCCGGCACTGCTGGGGAACTCAGTACACCCTCCGCAGCCACTGGCCCGGGTGCTAAGTCCCCCATTGCCTGGGGCCAGCAGGGCTGGCTGGCTGCTCCGAGTGCGGGGCCCACCAAGCCCACGCCCACCCGGAACTCCAGCTGTCCGGCAAGCACCGCACGCAGCCCCGGTTCCCGCTCGTGCCTCTCCCTCCACACCTCCCTGCAAGCTGGGGGAGTGGGCTCCGGCCTTGGCCAGCCCAGAAAGGGGCTCCCACAGTGCAGTGGGGGGCTGAAGGGCTCCTCAAATGCCACCAAAGTGGGAGCCCAGGCAGAGGAGGTGCCGAGAGCAAGCGAGGGCTCTGAGGACTGCCAGCATGCTGTCACCTCTCATTATTAATTATACACATTAGGTTGTTTTGTTTGGTCTTATTTTACAATAAAATGAGGCAGAGGTTTGTTGATTAGATATTGATTTGTTGAATGTTATATATAATGTTACAGGAAAATGTTAAATAATCTTTTTAAATGTTTACGTATTTATCATATATTAAATGCCAAGCACTTCTCACATATTGTATTTTTTCTTCTATATATTCTAAAATTTCTACAATGTGTCTTTATTACATTTATTTAAATATATGTTTTTAAATAAATGCATCTCCTTGGTAAAATGATCGTCAAATGTAAGGTGAATTTAAAATATATTTGTTTGTTTGTTTATTTCCTTTTTTTCTTTTTTGAGACAGTCTCACTCTGTCGCCCAGGGTGGAGTGCAGTGACATATGTTGGCTCACTGCACCTCCGCCTCCCAGGGTCAAGCAATTCTCGTGCCTTAACCTCCTGAGTAGCTGGGGTTACAGTGGTACATCTAATTTTTGTATTTTTAGTAGAGATGCGGTTTCACCAAGTTAGCCAGGCTGATCTCAAACTCCAGGCCTCAGCTGATCCATCCGTCTCAGCTTCCCAAAGTGCAGGGATTACAGGCATGAGCCACCAAGCCTGGCTTACATATTTTAATTTATAAAAAAACATTTTATTTTGAAGTAATTTCAGATTTGCAGAAAAGTTGTGAAGACCATTGATAGCTGCCATAAATGTCACTACCAGTTTTCCCTATCAGTAACATCTTATGCTAGTGTCAGTTTATAAAATATTGATACATTATTATTAACCAGACTATACTCTTGTTCATATTCTCTTAGGTTTCACCTAATGTCCTTTTTCCATTTCGGGATCTCACCCAGGATACCTTTACTACTTTCAGTCATGATGCCTAATTTAGACTCCTTCTGGTTGTAGCAGCTTCTCAGACTTACCTTGTTTTTGATGTCCTGGACATTTTTAGGAGTACTGATTAGATATTTTGCAGAATTTTCCTCATTTTAGATTTCTTGAATGTTTTTCTCATTATTGGACTGGAATTATGGCTTGGGGGAGGAAAAACACTATGGTAAAATGCCATTTCCATCACCTTATATCAAGAGCACATGACTCCTCACAGTCCATGTAATCTTGGATCATCTGGCTAAGGTAGTGTTTGTCAGGTTTCTTCACTGTAAAGTTGCCTTTTTCCTCCTTTACTGAACGCACTCTGTGGAAGGAAATCACTGTGAGCAACCCACACTTAAGAAACTGGGCGTAATGTCCCACTTGTGTGAGAGTGGAGTATCTGCATAAATTATCTGGAATTATTCCCCAAGGGAAATTTGTCTCTTCGGATTTATTTATTCAATCTTTTTTATATCAGTATAATCTCATGAATGTTAATTTTATATTTTGGGTTATAATTCAATATTACTTTATTTTGTGGAATTTTTTTTTCAGCTTTAATCTTTGGGTACTTGTGAGCACTCCCTCGCACCTGCATTTCCAATTGTATGTGTGTATGCTTGAGCACTTCCTTACTTTCTGACACTACAGAAAATTCCAGGCTCATTTTATGTATTTCCTGCTCTAGTCCTAAAATTAGCCATTTCTTCAAGAATCTTTTCTTTCTTTAATTGTAAAATGTTATTAGAAACCAAGAACTGAATGCTAAGTTTGCTCTTTGCTACTTTGGTATGGTTGATTCTAGAACCTCTTAGCTTACAGAGCAAGGAAATATGTTTGTATACTCACATCTTTACACACACCTATAAATAGGTATATATGTGATCGTCTGTATCTGTATTAAACTACACATGAGTTTTACTTATCTCTCCACCTCTAATCCATTACCACATGGATCATTCTTGTGTCTTCTGCTTTCTTATTTGTAACTTTCCTTGACCTCCATTCTGGCTCTCACCATTTTCCATCCATTTAATTATTTGTTTAATTCTTTTTTTTTTTTTTTTTTTTTTTTGACATGGAGTCTTATTCTTGTCACCCAGGCTGGAGTGCAGCGGTGCCATCTCAGCTCACTGCAACCTTCACCTCCCGGGTTCAAGCGATTCTCCTGCCTCAGGCTCCTGAGTAGCTGGGATTACAGGCACCCGACACCACACTGGCTAATTTTTTTATTTTTTGGTACTTTTAGTAGAGATGGGGTTTTGCCATGTTGGCCAGACTGGTCTGGAACTCCTGACCTCAGGTGATGTGCCCACCTCAGCCTCCCAAAGTGCTGGGATTACAGGCGTGAACCACTGCACCCGGCCTGTTTAATTCTTTTTACGTGTGTATTGGTTACAGATTTGTAAACCTACATACTCATGGGAAAACACCTCAGCAACTAGAGTACAAAGCTCATGTATGGTTTCTTTTGCCTTAAGTCTTATGGACTATCCCTTTACTTTTATTGAGAGTCTTTATTGATAACTGTGTATCTTGTATACAACAGACAGCTGGTTTTTTTTTTTTTTTAATCCACTCTGACAATCTCTGTCTTTTAATTGGTATATTTAGGCCTTCACATATAAAATGCTTATTAACATGACTGGATTAATATGTACCATGCTTGTAACTGTTTTCTATTCATTACATTTGTTGTTTGTTTCTTTATTTCCTACTTGGTTTCGGCCTTCTCCAGTTTTGATTGAGAATTTTATATAATGCTATTGTATCTCCTTTCTTAGCGTAATTAACACTTTTAAAATATTTTAGTGATTGCCCTAGAGTTTACAATATACATTTTTAACTGAACCAAATCCACCTTCATATAACACTTTACGACTGTGCCTGTAGAACACACACTTTACAACAGAGGATTCCCCAATTCCTCCTTCCTATCCCTTATGACACTAATGTCATTCATTTTGGTGATTGATGTGTTCTAATCACTGAATACACTGTTACTATTACTGTTTTAAAGTATTGTCTTTCATGTCAATTAAGAATGAGAAAAACAGAAGACTTTGTTTTACCTTTATTTTCTCCTTCTTTGATATTCATTCTTTCTGTAAATCCAAGTTTCTGGCCCTTTTTTGGTGATTCTTTCCACTTCAAGACCTTCTTTTTTAAAATTTATTTTGTATTGTGCATTGACAAATTACAGTTGTGTGTATTTATGGGTTACGAAGTGATGTTATTATTTATGAATGCAATATAATAATTAAATCACACTAATTAACATAGCCATCTCCTCAAATATTTACCAATTTTGTGGTGAGGATATTTAAAATTTACTTAGTGATTCTGGAGTACACAGTTAGCTCCACTCATCATGCTGTGCAATAGATTTTTGTAAAGAACTGATTCTTTCTCTGTATTTGAGGCTTTGGACCTTTTAAGCATTGTCTCTCCTTTTCCCCAAGTTCCCCAGCCTCTGTAACCACCATTCTACTCTTGGTTTCTTGATTGTTTTAGAGTCCACATGTAAATGAGAACATGCAGCATTTGTCTTTTTGTGCCTGGCTTAATTCATTCAGCATAATATTCTCCAATTCCATTCATGTCAAAATGACAGAATTTTTTCTTTATGGCTGAATAGTATTCCATGGTGTACATATACCACTTTTCTTTATCCGTTCATCCCTTTATAGACATTTAGGTTAAATCCATAACTTGGCTACTGTCAATAGGGATACAATGAACGTAGGAGTACAGACATCTCTTTGATATATTGATTTCAAGTCTTTAGGGTAAATATCCAGAGGTGGGATGGCTGGGTCTTATTATACTTCTACTTTTAGTTTTTTGAGAAACTTCCATACTGTTTTTCATAATAATTGTATTAATCTACATTCTCCATCATAGTGTACAAGGTTTCTCTTTTCTCTCCATCCTCACCAACACTTGTCTTTTGTCTTTTAGTTAACCATTCTGACAGATATGAGGTAATATATCATTGTAGTTTTAATCTGCATTTCCCAAATGTTTAGTTATGTTGAGCATTTTCTGATATATCTGTTGGCCATTCTTATGTTTTGAGAAATGTCTATTCAAGTCGTTTGCCCGTTTTCTAGTAGGATTATCTATTTTCTTTGCATAGAGTAGTTTGAGTTCCTTATATATTTTGGACACTAACAGCTTAACAGATATATGCCTTGCAAATATTTTCTCCAAATCACAGATTTTCTTTTCATTTGGTTGGTGTTACTGTTTCTCTCCAAAACTTTAAATTTTTTGCTCCATTCTTTTCCTGCTTGCATGGAAAAGAAGGCATTTGACAAGAAGTTGGCTATAATTTTTGCCTTTGCTCCTCTATTGAGAAGGTATATTTTTCCACTGGCTTTTTTGAAGATTATCTTTGTTTGCGTTTTAAATATGATATTCCTAGATGTGTTGTTGTTTGTGTATTTTGCGTTTATCCTGCTGGTGTTCTTTTAGCCTTTGGACTCTGTGATTTGGGGAATCTGTAGGTAATTTTGGAAAATTCTCTGCTCTTAATATTTTAAGTATTCATTCTGTGTTATCTTCTGCTCCTGGTATCCAAATTAAGCATATTTTACACATTTTTAATTGTCTCACAGTTATTTGATATCCCGCCAGGATTTTTTAAATTATTTTTTCATTCCATTTCAATTGACCTATCTTTACACTTACTGATTTTTTTTCTTCATCTATGATGTGTCTACTGATGAGTCCATCAAAAATATTCCTCAATTTTATTAGTGTTTTTTTATTTCTAGCATTTTCTTTTTATTCTTTCTTATACTTATCTTATACCTGCTTCAATTGTCCATCTGTTCTTGTGTGATAGCTACTGTTTACAATAGAGCCCTTCAAATATTAATCGTCATCATAATTATTTTAAATTCCTTGTGTGATAATTCCAACATCTGTGTTAGATCTGGGTTTGGTTATGATGATTTCTTTTTCTTTTCAGACTTTATTTGCATTTTTGCCTTTTGACGTGCCTTGTAATTATTTCACTGGAAGCCAGACATGTCCTGTCAGTTAATATGAGTGAAGTATTTAGGTCTTTATTGTGAGATTTTATGTTAATGTGGCTAGGAGTTGAGCTTTGTATAATGTTTGCTGTAGCTGTAGGTGACAGAGGATTCACACTCCTTTTTCTTTTTTCTTCTTTTCTTGTTGAGATGGAGTCTTGTTCTGTTGCCCAGGCTGGAGGGCAGTGGTGCCATCTCAGCTCACTGCAACCTCCACCTCCCAGGTTGAAGCGATTCTCCTGTCTCAGCCTCCTGAGTGGCTGGGATTACAGGCATCACCATGCCCAGCTAATATTTGTATTTTTAGTAGAGACAGGGTTTCACCATGTTGGCCAGGCTGGTTTTAAACTCCTGACCTCAGGTGACCTGCCCGCCTCAGCCTCCCAAAGTGCTGGGATTACAGGCACACTCCTTTACTCTTCCTGTTTCTGTCTACTCTGTTGACCTTCGGTTTCCCTAAGTTTGCCTCCTTAAGTTTACAACTTGAAAGTGTTACAAGTTATAGAGACAAAATATAAGTTGTGGCACTTTCAAATATAACCCAGTGATGGGGTATATTTGATATAAGCCACTACTATGATGAAGGATTTTTTGCTCCTTAGCTCAGCTAAAATCTGGGTTCTTGTCTCTCGACCAGAAAAAATTAAGCACATGGACACGTTGAAAGGTAAGAAGAGTAAAATTTATTAAAAGAAAGCTCTCATCAAAAAGGAGCAGGTCCTGCCAACAGGCTCCCACCTCACAGAACGAACACCAGGCCACCACACATGAGCTGAAATGGCCAGGCTTCTCCTCGCTGCATAAGGCATGAATTCCTAGTGCGCAGTCAGGCCCCCAGTCCATTGCAGGCATGTCCAGACAAGGTCCTAGGTAAGTTCCCTCATTTGCACAAAAGCATCTGATGTAAACACATGTGGGGTAGGTCAGAGACTCTCTAGGGACCCTCCCTTATCTGCCTCCTGCATCTATCAATTATACTGAAGCCCTGTTGGTGTAGTGCTAAGGTATGGGAAACCAGGGACATTCTACAATCTGATTAAATCTTGGTCTTTACAAGGCAAGTGTTCTTGGGCTCTAACCTCCCAATGTTTCTCCAGTATTATAGCTTTGTCCTCCTGTTCCCTATTCCCTTCCCTGGCTTAGGTATTCCCAATCTACTTTCTTTAACCTATGTCCTCTGTGGACCATGCTTAATTTTGTTGTTGCCGTTATTGTTATTTTCCACTCAAGTAAGATAAGAAGGCTGGAGGCAACTGGACTGGTAGGAATTCTCTTCCCCTAGCTGAAGTAAAACTGAGGCAAAATCCTTTCCCTCGGGGAGTATAAATGTGTTATTGAAAATCATTTGGGTGTATTTCACAATGGTTTTTTTTTCCCTTTTTCCCTGCTAGAGCCATGAGGGAATCTTTCTTGGATATTTACCATGAGAACCTGGTATGATTCCTGGAATTGAAACCCACACAAGTAGGACTATAGATCCCAGCATCCTCTCACTTTCAGGCTAGTCCACACTCAGTTTACAGCAATTAGGCAAAATTTACCTAATTCAAGGGTTTCAATCACTTTAGCTCTCCAGGGACTTTTGTACCAGATTAGCAGATTAGGCTTTCTTTCAGCGGATAGGTCTGTCTCTCCAAATTTCAGGGTGGCAGTTTGCCTTGTGACCTCAGTTCTCTAACGGTAGAAGAAAAATCATTGATGATCTGTTTATCTAACACTTTCATTGCTTGTTTTAAAGATGAGAATAATGACTCCCAAGCTCTTTTACCTTTTGAAGCTTAAAATAGCAAAACAATTATACTTTGCATATAAAATCCTACTAAGCTTATTGTGGGTCATTCCATATATATTGGAGAAAGCAAAAATACAAGACTACGATACTTCCTGACTAAGTAAAAATATAACATATAAAAGTATAAATTCAATTTTAAAAACCTCATATTAATACAGAATATAAAGTGAGTATTTCTGTGAAAAACATCAAATTTTTAGTACTTGCTTTAAAAAACAGAACACTTTCTTAAATCATTGATATATTTATTTCAAAAGCATGTAAATATATATGTGTTCACCTAACATCAACCTATAGAATTCCCCAAACCTAGGGAATATTGAGTCTGATAATTTCTACACTAATTATTAGATTTATACTTAAGCTAAGGAAAGAGAATTCAGTTTTAGCTTTTATGACATTAGCTGATTTATTCAGGGGTCAAAATGGGAATGTTTCCCTGAAAAGCAGTGAATCGACTCAGTGCATTCCATACACCATATATTACTTTTTATAGCTAAGGAGTCCTTGATATTTTTAGGATTGCCAATAATTTTTATGTGTATATGTCCCTACTTTAGAAATTAGCAAAGAAATGTATGCTACTCGGCACTTCAGCCATTTCTATGTGTCTGTATGTGCATACTACATATTTTTTGCAACTGCTCTTTCAAGATTTAAAAGGATTTCTCATAATGTTTCTGCAACATCAATAAAATAGGTCAGACTGTGAGCTCAAATGAAAATAACTAAGGAAGACTGCTCATAGACTTACTTCTCTTTTTTGGCTATTTAAATGTATCTACCCTGCTGAATAGAGACTTTCAATAAGAGAATGAAAATACAGGCTATTGTGTAGGTGTTTAAATTGTGTGCACTGACCTAAACCAAAATTGTTAACATAATTCACAGTCATAAGTTTTGGCAGATGAGTGTGTGAATGAAAAATGCACACTATGTGGAATACAGGGTGACATATTTTTCCCAACTCACTGGTTAATGCAGTTGTGTCCTGTCTGTCCTATATAAGTCCATTTAAAAATTTTGAAGGAGACATTCCCTTACAACAACCTGAAACATCTTTTGTAATACTATAACTTGGTATCATACGAGGATATTAAAGTTTAGCTTAGACCTGTTATTACCTTAGAGAGAAAAGAAAGATGGAATGCATTATGGGTTAAGTTGATTACTAATGGCTTATGTACTTTAAATATTGTATAACTTGTAGAAATAAACAGCTAATAAAGGAAAAATACAGTTATAAAGAGAATATAAAGATTAGTTATATAAAAGAGCTAAAACAATGCAAATTTAAGACTAAACAAAATTTTATGATTATGTCTATACAGACAATATATCTTGGAGAGTTGAAATTTTTATAGGGAATCTGACTGTAAAAGAAGTAGGATTTAAATGAATCAGTCAGTAAAATATACCTGACTTTATATTCAGGGACAGGAAAACATTCTAAATTACTCAAAGGTTTCAAAAACCCATTTTCAGTGTCAGCTGGTCTCATTGCTCACCTGTAAGTTTGATTTACAGTGTGAAAGAAATGACAAATGTCCATGTTGCCGTAAAAGGTCACAATTAAGAAATAAGTATTTTTTTAATGCTGATATTTTTTTCCTTTTCTTGCAAATTGGAATTTAGAAAGGGAGGGCTTTTGGCAAACACCTGGGCCTGCTAACTCAAAGAATAAATTAGGCCCTGAGGAGGAAGAAGGCTATAAAAAGAATAAAAACATTTAAAATGCCTCTTTACTCCTAAAAACTGTAGCCAGCAATTAAAAATGGAAAGGAATCTAGAAGATAATTAAGATAAGTCATATCCTGAAGTCCTTTAATAATTTTGATTGGGATTTAGAAATTGTGATTTTAAATTTTTGAAACCACTTCTATGATGCCTGACATTTAGACAATTGTTTAAGAGAAAAAAAATAACTGACAGTAAAAGATTAGCTGAACTGTGCACCGGACATGGAAGAATGCAAATGAGAGTATGCGATTGTAAAGCAGTGCACATCAAAAACACTGTGGAGACAAATAACCGGACTGAGTGACTTTCAAACTAAGAAACTAGGTCAAAAATCAGACGAAGTGTGTATATCTATAACAGCAGCATTTTGTTATTTAAGTTGTTCAGGTTTTAATATTGAATTTTAATGCATTTACTTTTAGCTATATGTGGCTCAAAATTTTATTTACATGTTATTTTTTCCAAAAATACTTGAGGCTTTTTAATAGTACAAATAAGCAGTAGTTTCTTTCTAGTCGCAACTTAATCTAATATTGTTCGCATTGGATAATAATCAGAGCTCAATTGCTCATTTGAGTGCGTTTCCTTAACATTTAAGGGCTTTTTTGAGATTTCAAAATTATCCTAATAATACTACAGACTGGGAAGGGGAGGAAAGAGGAATGGATAAGAAGAGACTGGTTAAAGAATATAAAATTACAGCTATATAGAAGGAATAACTTCTAGTGTTCTATACCACTATAGGATGACTACAGTTAACAATAATATGTAGTTTCACATAGCTACAAGGAAGATATTGAATGCTCTCCACACAAAGAAGTGACAAATGTATTAGATGATGAATATGCTAATTATCCTGATGATGATACATTATATGTATTGAAACTTCACTATGTACCCCAGATATATGTACAATTGTTATTTATCAATTTAAATAAATTAAATTTTAAAAATAAAATAAAAATATCAAGAAAGTGTTAAAAGACAGCCTAGTAAAATGCACTCCCCTTGAAAGCATATCAACATAAAACATTGTTCATCTTCTCTTTCCTTGGTTAATACTAAATCCCTGTTAAAAGAACACTTGGTAAAGGGTTAGATTGGGGCTAAAGAAAATCAGTGACTTTAGGAAGACACAAACTGGGGTGGAGGGGAGAGAATTTCATAAGAGACGTTACTACTTGAAATACATATATAAACATACATATATATATTTCCTTCCTTTTATATTTCTGTATATACATATACACATACACAATATATATGTGTATATATATATACACATACCCATACACAATATATATGTGTGTATATATATATGTACACACACAATACTGACACAGCTTATATTTACATAATATGATGAAAGTAACTGCAAGTTTTTAACATCTAATTATTAAAGGTTAGTTTGAGTCACAGATGTTGAAAATGTTATTTTCAGCAATCATCCCAGATTTTCCCAGAGCCAATGAAGATTTACATGGTCTCTTTCATTTCCTCTTTTAATCATGTCCTTGCCCCTTTGCATGCAGGTGGCCTGCAGGACCTGAAGCTCTCTCTGCCCCATTATCCTGGTTTACTAGTGTTGTCCCACTTACCCAATGGACCCATTGCTCCTGGGTCTTAGAATCATCTTGCTTCAGTCTCTCTCTTACGACCAGTTTCTGTCTCAGTCCTCTTGCAGTTTATGAAAACATTTTAGACTTTACTGTCTCTTTCCACTACTCTTCCCTCCTTGAATTCTGAATTTTTTTTCACTCCTTTCAACAGCACTAGCACTTACAGAGCTGATCAACAGACATTTGCTCTTCTAACCTCTGTTCAGAGAAACCTTCATCATATTCTCCTCTTGAATTCCATGCTTAGCCTTCTATCCACCACTCACACATCCCTAGGTTCCAATTAAGGCTATAAATAGAACGTAATTCACATGCATGTTCATAGCTATCCATTGTCTTGGATTTTTATTTAAAACATATGATCTTTCATAATTTGAAGACTTTGCAGCACTACTTAGATCTTCTGCTGTGAGAAGCATAGTTGACAGCCCCACCGTTTTTAAGCTGAGGCCCTGTTCCTGCAACTTGCTCTCAGCCAGGACTGAGTTTGGCAGCTCCATTCTAGCAAGGAGAGGCAACTTTGGCTCAAGTATTCACTCATCTGTCTGCCTCAGTGAACCTTTCTTGGAAATATGCTGCAAGCTGAGACTCTTAATAAACAGTCCTCTTCTTTTCCTCTCTCCTTCTGAGGTGTCAGACATGCAACAGATCGAAAGCTCGCCCAGCTCCTTTCCCCTTTATGCTTTACAGGCATTTCAGCCAATCTATCTTCTCCATATCTAATCCATTTTAATGTTGCTCCTTGGAAGAGCCAAGCTGACGTAAGAATATAAGCCTTATGGTCTTTTGTTTAAATATCATGTCCATTAATAGATTTTAGTGTAAACTGGTGAACAAATTTATGGCCACTGATTTTAGAAGCATTTGGAATAAAGTGCCAATTCTGCAGAGGACTAAGTGTGTGATTTTAGACTATCATTTCAAGTCTCAGTTTTCTACTTTAATAAAAATAATTATCTCATGTTGGGTTATTGTGTGGAGGAGGATTCTGACATAGCAAATATCATTAGGTGATAACTTTAAAAGTCAGGGATAAAGACTCAGAAGTCTTAAAGAAATTCATATTGAAAACCTGAAAGAATGAGCATTAAAATATAATTTTTCAGGAGGGTGAGACAAGAGAATTGCTTGAACCTGGGAGGTGGAGATTGCAGTGAGCCGAGATCGCACCACTGCACTCCAGCCTGGAAAACAGAGCAAGACTCCATCTCAAAAAAATAATAATAATAAAATAGAATTTTTATATTTCTCTTTGGTAGCAGGGAAATGTCAGTTTGAATAAAGAGGAAGAAAGATTGAACTAGTTGGTGGGATATCCGGGAATCACTGCTCTGGAGCTAAAATTTCTAGAACATTTTGGGTAGCTGAAGTCCTGACAAGCTCTCGGAGATTGCACTATGTCTCATTTTTTAATAACAACATCATAATCTCATGAAAAAAATAGCATTAGGACCTCTGAAGACCTTTGGAATCCGAAATTCTGAAATTTAAACTACAACAATTTTTTTGTTTGTTTGTACTTGAGGGATTATAGAAATGAACTTCTTATTTCTAAATAGCCCTTTTCCTAAGGCATGGTTATTTGAGGTAATTAGTGCTGTGTCCTTAGGTTGGTTAATTGTTAATGTAATTAAAACAAATGAAAATAAATATACAGAGATACAGAATCTTTACAACATTTAAATGTAGTGGAAACAGAATTAAAGAGGACTACAGGTGTTTGGGAGAAAATGTTATTCTACAAAACATTGCTGCGTGAAATAATTCATCAAGTTAAATTTTGTTCAATTATTAAAGCAGAACCAAGGCTATATACAACTTCAATATTTGATGCAAAAATGAACCTAATTATTATAAATTCTTAGTCATATATATGTTAAGAATAAGATATATTAAACATGCAACAGCCTTCTCGTTTAAGCACAGTGACATGCATGACAGAAGGGAGGTTATAAGGTCAAGGCTGTCATTTCATATAACTTGATTTTCCTGAAGATCAGGTGCTACTGCAGGTCAGTGATAAGAAAATAATAAACCATATTTATTCAGATAATGAGTTAATGCTTCAAGAACCAATCTGATATTTTTTAAGTATCAGAGCTTATCCACACTTTGATAAGGAGTTTAAAACAAGATGCCGTTTTATAGATTATTGGTGCAAGAAGATAAAATAGTTCACAAATGGAAATAGCACTTTGTAGACGAAAGGAAAATGGCCAAACATAAATTATTTAACAGACATATTTCTAATTATAGTCTGAAGAATGATACACAAGCAGTGATGCTATATGAGCAAATGCATGTTATTTTAACAGATTTAATAAATAAGAAATTATTTTGAATATTGAGGGAAATCAATCCTGATGGAATAAAGGGGAATAAGGAGCCAATTTCTGAAAAATTGATGAATAACATGACCATCCTACATATGCACACACAAGAAATTGAGAAGTTTAAGAAAATAAGCAGAAATAATGATTAAAAAAATAAATTAGTGTTTTTATTTTAAAAATTTGGAGATTCATAATAAAACAATAAGTGCATTTGCTAAGAGGGCTAACATGAGCACTATACCCCAAAATAATGTCAATAACATAGAAGCACTTTTTTCCCATAACACAGGGGTTGGCAAACTTTTCTTTAGATGGCCAGAGAGCAAATAATTTAGGGTTACAGGCCATATTTGGTCTCCACTCCACACTAGTTCTTTTCTTTTCTTTTCTTTTCTTTTTTAAAAGAATTTTTCAGTTTAAAAATGTTTCCTAGCTGGGTGTACAGCATACAAAAATAGACCAAGGGTCTTACTTGTCCAAAAAATTGTAGTTTGCCTACTCCTAATTTGTATTCTTGAAATAAATATGTCTATACCCTACACAGGATGATGCAGTCGGTAAGATGTAAGACGGGACAAATGAAGTCTCTTGATAAGACAGTTAGTCCAAATGAGTCCAAAAGAACAGAAAACCCAATCACCAGATTCTAGAATATTACCTTTTTTTTTTTTTTTTTTTGATGAGATGGAGTCTTGCTCTGTCACCCAGGCTGGAGTGCAGTAGTGCAGTGGCGCAATGGAGGCTCACTACAACCTCTGCCTCCCAGGCTCAAGCAATTCTCCCACCTCAGTCTCCTGAGTAGCTGGAATTACAGGAACCTGCCACCATGCCCAGCTAATTTTTGTATTTTTGTAGAGACAGGGTTTTACCGTGTTGGCCAGGCTGGTCTTGAACTCCTGACCTCAGGTGATCCGCCCACCTCAGCCTCCCAAAGTGCTGGGATTACAGGTGTGAGCCACCACGCCTGGTCCATATGTTTTAAGGAGAAATGAAACACCTGTAAATGAGAAACTTGCCTGATTGGACTATCATATGTAAATGCAATCCATACTGTACATTCATTTCCACATACTAACTGAAACATTTGATTTCAGGCTTTTGTTCTATCTTTGGATTCTTCCCCATTTCTCTTCTATAGATAAAAATGGTTTATTTTTTGACAGAGATAACTATATTTCCTTCTATCCTATTTACCAAAACAGATTAAGAGAAAAATTGGTAGTTAGGATGTGATTTTTATTTGTTATTTTCCATAGAGAATTATTTGGCATGGCTTAAATTGAATATAGCAAAAATGCCATACACTAGCTTGCAATTAAAAGACTGCTTTACTCTGAGATAATTTAACCAACATAGAATTGTTTACATTACTTCTATAGAAAAGAAGGCAAAGGTCTTAATTGCTTTTAGTGTTTTCACCACAGAAACTAGAGGAAAGATTTTTAAAGAGAATAGGATAAAGAACATATTTCTGTGGCATTCTGAAGTATCCTTATTTGGAAGGCTAATTATAATCAGTACACACATTACAGTGTTTCATCTGAAAAATAATATATTTCACTTTTGACCTTATAGCCTTCTATGATGTCCTTATGCAAAATTCACATTTCAATGACAAAGGCAGCCAGAAGAGAAGTCTGTTGATGGATGTTGAGAGCTTCCTATAGATGCATGTCATAATACTTTTTGATCACTCTGGGTAAGACATTTTATGCAAGATGCTACACTGAAGTAGATGTGATTCTAATACTCAAATGTTTGCAGTTTCCAAAGGAACTAAGAAAGGAAAAAAACCAAAGGAGGGGAATATGACATATAAAAAGTGGAAAAAAATAAATTTATACTTACAGAAAAAAAAGGGAAACAGAAGTCAAGGGTAAGATGGATTTCAGAATGCATAAAATAAGCACTAACAATTAATATAAAAGTGAAATAAAATGACAAAGAAAGAAGAAACAAGGTGTGGAAGGCGGGCGGATCACGAGGTCAGGAGATCGAGACCATCCTGGCTAACACGGTGAAACCCCCTCTCTACTAAAAATACAAAAAATTAGCCGGGCGTGGTAGCGGGCGCCTGTAGTCCCAGCTACTCGGGAGGCTGAGGCAGGAGAATGGCGTGAACCCGGGAGGCGGAGCTTGCAGTGAGCCGAGATCGCACCACTGCACTCCAGCCTGGGCGACAGAGCGAGACTCCGTCTCAAAAAAAAAAAAAAAAAAAAAATTTTCCATTTACTTGAAGTCCTTGAACAAGCAATTTATTTTATAGTTTCTTTTGATTTGAGGTTAGCAACAACAGTTGAATTGAACCTATATATGCAACAAATACATGTGGGTATTTTTGTCATTTTAGCAACTTTTGTATTACACTGAAATTACCAACCTTAAAGAATAGAATAGGACCACTTAGAACTAGGTTGATTTATGCAGCTATTGAGCACTGTTAGTGTGGCAAGTGCAACTAAGGAACTGAAATTTTTAATTTAATTAATTTTCTTTTCATCTAAGGTTAAAAACTGAAGCACTGTAAATATGTTTGCATTCCATAAACTTTGCTGTTTTGATAGGATTACATTTCACTTTAATCATTATCGTATAGGATAGCATTATTCTACTGCAGGCCTCAAGCTGAGCACAAGCATTGTTTCTATTATTACACATAAATATACCACCAATTTGGTAAATGTCAACAAATTAATTCAGCTCTATTTTTTAATGCACAGATATAACACTGTAATGTGTTTTTAAAATATTTTTGGAAACATGATTACAGTGATACCTACATACATCGCAATTCATGATTAAATTGAAATATTGATTATTTTAGTTATAATTAAATTATTTTTCAGATATAAAAAGGTTATGAAGAAACTTTACAATTCTAAACAAAAACATTCTACTGTTGCAGAACAGGCTGAAGTTTGTACTAAAACTACCATAAAAATAAAGAAAAACTAAAAAACTGAAAGA
This sequence comes from Homo sapiens, assembly GCF_000001405.40. Taxonomy (NCBI): domain Eukaryota; kingdom Metazoa; phylum Chordata; class Mammalia; order Primates; family Hominidae; genus Homo; species Homo sapiens. Next base: position 31,423,099 of record NC_000004.12, on the reverse strand, counting down.
AAGTATGCTGTACATTCCCTAATTGGTGGCAACTGCAATTTGCTACTGCAGAATAAAGTGAACAGCTGTCAGTTTGTTGGATGAAATAGTATTAAAACTAGTGAGATAACAATAGCAACAGACATTTCCAGCAAAAAAGTGATTTCTTGAGACATTTTCTCACAATAGTTAAAAACAATTGATTTTACTCTCCCTGTTAGAAACTTTTCCATATGGTTTGAAGGGAGTCAAATATATATATATATACTTGTTTTGATGTCCTATAATATTAAATATTTATACATTATATATACACACACACATACATTATTTCATCATTTGGTTGTAGATGGAATTTTGTTGTTTTGTGTTTTCTTTTCATTTCAAATAAAGTTTAGATGGATAATTTATTAAAGTTCCAAAGTAATTCCACATTTATTCTTATAATAAATTTGGTAAACATTGTATATATGTATCAATCCACTAATGTACACATATGTAATTAATAGGCATTTACAGTATGAAGTTTAACTATTGAAAATATTTCAAAGGCTTATAAACTTGAATGCCATTATATTTGTGAAATGTCACTAATATTAAAAAGCTTTTCAGTTAAAACAACAACTGCTGCCTAAACTTTCAACAATAACACATAATGTTGCTATTTTCTGTTGCAGATACTGAAGGGAAATTGACTTTATTATAAACAGAGTTTTACCTTTACTTTTAGGATTGCAAACACTGCCTTATAATAATTAATTCTCACTCACAGTGTTTTTCGAAATAAGCAGATTTGTGGCACCAATAGCCTCCATGAAATTCCAAATCAATGCACATCTCTAGGACATGAGTCAAGGTTATATCCTGTGGATTCCAATTTGACTGTTCCTTCCGGAGTCTTGAACAGTGTGCATTGAATTCATCACACACCACAATTCATTTTGTATGAATTGTACCACAATTCATCTTGTATTCTAATCTAAGTCAGCTAGTCTTAGCTTTAAGACCAGTGTTGCCAGTGATAATCTGCTCATATAGAGGCATCTGTTGTCTCTACTTATAATATAGTTACAATTCAGAGACTAGCATATCACTTTCACTGTCTTTACAAAAGATATCCATTCATACATAAGACGTTAGTGAGTCCCAGCAATATAAAGCAATGAGGAGTGTTTTTGAGTGAAAAAAACAGAAACCTAGGACCTGAGTTCTGGTCCTCACTCTGCCAATTCTGGTTTGATGTTGACAATGTATTTATTAGCTATTGTGAGGATTAAATGATGTGCTCTGTGAGTGGCAGTTATAGTAATTATGAAAGTCCATCTCTTTGTAGACTTTACAGTAGGCTTGCAGTCATCATTGGGTAACTAAGAAAGCTTAGCAGGCTATATAAGAAAAAATAACCCTTTTGGTTACATTTGAGTTAAATTTTAACAAACTGTTTTACATGCAGGGACCTATTAGGCAATTTGTCTCTGCTATTGGCCTACATAAAAATAAAAACCATAACTGTAACAATATAATAATAACAACACTATAGTCTGTTTGTGCTCTCTTAAATAGGCCTAAATATAAAACTTATATATATATATGTGTGTGTGTATATATATATATTATATATATACACACACTTTCTCTCTCAATATGAAGAACAATTTTATATACAATAGCTATAAAAATATTTAGGAATAAATTTATTCAAGGCTGTGAAAGATTGTACACTGAAAACTATACAAAGTTAATGAAAGACATTGAAGAAGACACAAATAAATGGAACGACATCCCATGTTCATGGACTGGATGAATTAATATTGTTAAAATGTCCATTCTATACAAAGCAATCTACAGATTTGATGACATGCCTATAAAAAATTTTAATGTCATTTCTCATAGATATAGAAAAAATTCCAAAATTCATATGGACACACAAAAAAAGCCTAAAGTTTATGCAATCATGAGCAAGGGGAACAAAGATGGAGATATCCCAACCCATTTTTAAACTATTTGACAAAATTATAGTAATTAAAATAGCATGGTACTGGCATAAATATAGATACATTAACCAATAGAGCCGAATAGAGACCCTTAAAAAGAACCCACACATCTATGGTCAATTGATCTTTGACAAAGCTACAAAGAATATACAATAGAAAAATAATATTCTCTTCAATGGTTGGGAAATCTATATATCCAGATGGAAAAGAATGAAATTGGACTCTTTTATTATGTACAAAAATCAACTGAAAATGGATTAAAGAAGGACTTAAAGACTTGAAACTGTAAAACTACTGGAAGAAAATATAGGGGAAAATCTACATGGACAATGATGTTTTAGCTTTGACCCCAAAAGCATGTCAATAAAAGCAAAAATAGACAAATAGAATTACAATGAAATTAAAAGTTTCTACACAACAAAGGAAACAACTAAAAGAGTGAAAAGGCCAACCTACCAATTTGGAGAAAATATTTGCAAGCCATACATCTAATAAAGGATTAATATCCGCAATATTATATAATTAAGTCAAACTCTATAGAAGGAAAATAAATAATCTGTTTAAGAAATGGGCAAGGTATCTGGATAGACATCTGTCAAAAGAAGACATTAATGACTAACAGATACATGAAAAACCACTTATTATCACTAGTCATTAGAGAGATGTAAAAGAAAACCACAATGAGGTAACATCTCACACCTGTTAGAATGGCATCAAAAAGGCAAAGGATAGCGAGTGCTGGCGAGGATGTGGAGAAAAGGGGGCCCTTATACACTGTTGTTAAGAATGTAAATTACCACAACCATTATGAAAACAGTATGAAGTTTCCTCACAAAACTACAAATAGAAGTACCATATGTCCCAGCAGTTCCACCTTTGCGTATTTGCCCAAAAGATTAAAAATCTTTATGTTGAAGAGATATCTGTACTCTCATGTTCATTGTAGTACTATTCACAATAGCCAAGTTATGGAATCAGCCTAGGTGTCTGTCCATCAAGGGAGAAATGAATAAAGAAAAGTGGTAAATATACTCAATGGAATACTATTTACCTTTTAAACAGAAAAAAAATCTATCATTATTGAAAACATGAATGGAATTGAAGAACTTTATGCTCAGTAAAATAAACCAAAGACAGACAAATACCACATGTTCTCATTTAAATTTGGCATCTAAAATTCTCGAACTGATGGAACCAAGGAATACAAAGGTAGTTACCAGAGGCTAGGAGTGTGGGGAAATAGGGGAGATGATAGTCAAAGGGTAAAAACCTCAGTTAGGTAGAAGGAATAAGGATGGTTTAAAAAACATTTTTTGAGGTCAATTACATAGTATGGTGAATATAGCTAATAATTGAATACTATATGTTTAAATTAGGCTGAGAGTAAATTAGGCTGAGATTACGCCTGTAATCTCAGCACTTTGGGAGGCCGAGGTGGGCGGATCACGAGGTCAGGAGATGGATACCATCCTGACTAACACGGTGAAACCCCGTCTCTACTAAAAATACAAAAAAAAATTAGCCAGGCGTGGTGGCGGGTGCCTATAATCCCAGCTACTCCGGAGGCTGAGGCAGGAGAATGGCGTGAATCCAGGAGGCGGAGCTTGCAGTGAGCCCAGATCGTGGAACGGCACTCCAGCCTGGGCGACAGCGCAAGACTCCATCTCAAAAAATAAAAATAAAAATAAAGAAATAAAATAATAATAATAATAACGTAACAGTACAATTATGTAGCTAGCTCTCTAACAAAAGTGAGATTTTCTTAAATTCTTTACTCATTTTGTTGAAGCTGTTCAATGTCATGCTGAATGAATTATTATAATAGATTAGAGAAGCAGGGTATTGCTTAGTATTGCAGGTGTTTTTAGTACAATATAAATAAAAAACACATCTAATAACCCAAATAAATAGACTGTCTATTACTCAGTGAATAAGTTATACCAACAACTTTCATTTGCATCATAAACTCAAATTATTTTTTAAATGTATCATAATGTTGAAAATAAGTATAACCTTAAACAATAATTTTTCACTTAAAAGAATCATCACAAATTTATATGAACCGAATATTACGTATTTTTCTGAATATAATGTCTTATCCCAGAAAATTCAGTAAGAATTTATATAACAATACATAGAATTTCTGTGATATCTATTTCTGACTCATTTAGTTTTTCTCATTTTTATTTTCTTGCATCCCTCAGAACATGTATTTCCTTAAAATTCCATAAATCTTCAAGTCTTAAATGTAGAATTCCTCTTCATGTTATTCTGTTAATTTCACATTTTAAAAAATTATGACTTACCTTATATAAATCTTATTTTTTGTTGCATATCCTGCTGCCTATGTCTCTTTAATTTGAAATTCTTCAGTAACAATAATAGACTTCCTGAAAAAAAATTCCCCATTCTAAGTTTTGTTTAAGATCAATGTTGGGGTATCAGTTTAATTACTTTATAAAAATGTGAAAGAAAAAGTGTGCATACAATAGAAAAGCTTTAAGTCCCAGGGCAGAAAGTAGTAAGATTCTCTGCCTCCATTAACCCATAATGAAAAACAATGCCAGAAAGTTGGAAATAAATGTTCAGCAGAGATTAAGCCCAGTTTTTCTAATAAACTGGAATAGCTATTTGTTTGCCATGAAGCAAGTAGAGACTAGGAGATGTCACCGTTTTCTTGGCAGCATAAGCATTTTTCTTAGCATGAAAAGTCTTGTGGCACTTGTAGGTAAGTAAAAGGAGATCCTGGACCTTTTATTATTCCCTAGCCCTTGGATTTTGCTTTTCTTCTCTTTTAGATTTTTAGCACAGTCAACATCTGTGCCCCTGTCATCCTTCAACAAGCTTATCCTTTGTGCTGTTTTTAGGGTAAGCTTCAAGGGAAAAATTAAATGTGTCTTTCTTTTACTCATTAATTTTTATTGCATGAAATTTAAATTTATAATAATTTGAAATACCTTAGCTAGACAATGTAAAAGGACAAAAATACCTACATATAGATAGAGAGATGATAGATAGAGGTATAGATAAATTATCTCTATATTTATATCTTTATTTGTTTTCCACAATTTAAAGAAGTGATAGAAGTATAAAGGATAATTACATTGAATTTTACCTGTATTGCATAGCTGTTTCCTCCCTTTGACTAGACGGGCCCTCAGATATGGAAATGGATAAAGTATTTTTGTAGGTCATTAGTTTTGCAATGTAGAACATTATTATTGACAAATAATACAAATAAGTGTAAAATCTATGTGTTCCATGACACATAACCAACAAACGGAATTTGGACTTGTTCTTGTAATGTAAACTTCAAATTTTCTAACTTTGTTCAATTAAATTTGCAAACCTAATGTTGCATTAAATTCTACTTAAGCTAATTCTTACCTCTTTTTCCCATTTGTATTTAAAAAAGCTTTTCTTGTTGAAATTCTATCCCTATTAAACAAATCTCTTCCACTAAAACTACTTTCTTGAATTGGATTATTTGCCATATGGTACTTTATTTTCTTTTCCTAAATATTTGATAAACATTATCAGGAGCCAATTAACACATTGATCATTTCAATGTTTATTAAAACCCTCTTAATGACTTTTAAAGAAGAAACATGGCTATATTTACACACATTATATAGTGCATTAATCTAGGCCATCATGCAGAGAAAAAGGCATTGAAGGCATCATGTATTGGTTGTATAAAACAGGGTTTGTTAGCAGTTTGGTGAAATATTCTCAAAATGCTGTTATAAATATAATCACAATTTTCTGGTAGAGAAGTCAAGACAGCTTAGGGAACTGAGAAGGAGTTATGGGTGAAATTCTCAAAGGGCACTAAAGAGGCCCCAAGAAAGGGCTTAAATGCACTGGACCGAGGTCAGCAGCTGCAATTGATTTAGCAAGTAATAATGCAGAACACAGGGAAGAAAAGAGCAGAGGAACATGAAGCGATTCTGTCCTGGCTGCGGTGTTTTTCTGAAGGCCAAGGACATAATTCTGCCTAACTTTTGGGATGGTTTTTCTTCTTAAAAAGTATCATTTTACTTTTTGGATACAGTGTGTGTCAGTTTTAATACAGCCATTTGATTGCTGATCTCTCAGAAGGGCATAAGTGACTGTCTTGTTTAAATGGACACTCCGACCTTGCCTCTCCCTTTCTCCACCACAAATTAAGAAATGATTTTCATCTGCTTCACATTCTCAAGGATGAAGGTACTCAAGTCAACCATTTTGTCCAGGAGCCTCTGAATGGATCTTGATGGCAACAGGACCAGAAAGAAGCCACGATATATGGCGTAGCTCACGCTCTTACCTTTGCTCTTGGAGACAGTTATAACTGGTGGTATCTGACAACACGCAGCATTACTTTCAAGCCCCATATGCTAAGGATGATTTTATGCAGTCATTTAAGCAGAACCTCCCTTGGCTGCCTGGAACTCAGCAGGGATTGTTTCAGGGACGGGAGAGAGTCACAGTTCTTCGAGTTCAGACAGCTGTGGTGACCTCTTCAAATACCTCACAAAGATTAGGCTGTCACACCTTGTCAGGTGGTCTAAGCTTTTAGGGTTTTATCCTTTTCAAAGATTTAAAGCGTTCTCATTGCTGTAGCACTGCTCCCCTCACAACTTCTAGCTTTAATTCCCACTCCTCTCATCTTATGCCTTTTTCTCATCCAGAGTTTGTGACTGTTTGTAGATCACTTCCACAGCATATTACTGCAGCACCCCTGTTCATATTGTCTCCTCAGATTGGAACAGTTCCATTGCATTCCAAATCCACCCTCCATCTCAGCCCACTGAAATCTTATTCAAAATGTAATCCATAAGCCACCTTAAAAAAAAAAAAGAAAAAACTATGAGGAGCCTACAACTAATTCTAATTGTTTTAGATATATCATATATATTAGATTTCTTTTTTTTCACATACATATCAGTTAAAAGAGGCAATATATCACTATGGTTAAGTTGGGGTCTTAACCAACTTAATTCAACCATAGGCATTCAAATCAAGGATGCTAAACTTAGTAGCTATATGATTTTGAAAAGATATCTAACATCTGTACTTCATTTCCTCATGTGTAAATCAGGATAACAATATCTCATACAGACAATACGTAAGATAATTAAATTGATAATACACATACATACCTAGAAGCATGTTTGGTGCAATCTAAGTGCTCTACAATGTTAGCACTGTCACTGTTATTGGAATGTACTGTCTTGGATGTATTGTTTACTTATAGGTCATGTACCCAGCAATTACACAAGGCTCTTAGAAGGAAGCATTCTATTGTTTTAATCTTTATATCTTTACTACAATACTCAATATGTTTCTTTGTACACACTGGCCCTTCAACAAATACTTGTTAAACTCAGTCCATTGTGAAGCAGGCTTAGGTACTTTAATCTTGAGCTCTTTGGGAGTAGAAAAGCTCTCTTCTCTGTAACGCCCGATGTATTTTGACCATAAATGGTCAATAAATGGTGTTTGAATGAATGACTGCAAGTCTTAAAGGACGAAGAAATCTTGCTATCCAGTTTTTTTATGTGTATATTTACATGCCTCCTTGGTCCCAGCATACCTATCTTGCAAAATATACCACACAAATGAAAATATAAGGGCATTCGATGCCAAGTTGAATCAGTGTGTGGTGAGAGTAAGGGCCCATTTGTGATATCAAGAAAAATTCTTCCTATTGAACCAATAGAATTTGTGGAATCTGAGGAAGGAGAGGATCGGAGAGGTGCATCCTGGACTAATTATTAATTAATAAGCATTCTGTATGATTTAGTTTATCTGTAAACATTTTTATATTTCTTGGAGGCCTTCAATATTTTCAAACTGAGAAATTTGAAAATAAAATTGAATGCAAATAAGACAAGTTCAGGCAATAAGAAGAAAAAAAGCAGCACAGTTTTATCAGAGGATAAATAATGATGACACCTGGTTGTCTACATGGTTATGGGTGGAATAAAATGAGGTATTTTAAATTAAATCTCATATTATTGAACATATATACTGCATTTAAAATATATCCCTTTTTACATACCCATAACCATGCAAGATAAGTTTCACTATTCAATTTTACAGATGAGAAAATTATAGTCAAGGAGATGAAATCAGCTGATTATAAGTGACAACATAGGGACAACATAGGGTGTCAAATCAGAGTTTGAGCTGCAATCAAAGCCCACACAGTTTTCTACTATGTCACATTTAGAAATGACTTATAAAAAGCACTTTGGCTCATACGCATGACTTCAGTCAAGAAAATTTAGAAAACATTCGCTATGCTACTGCAGTTCATTTGAACTAACCATTTTATAGCAGCAATTCAAGTAACAGTGAAATATGGCAGTAGCAATAGTCAGTCCTTTGAGGGTAGAAAATACTACCCAAATGGCTCTTTTCCAAAATGAGCGTTTGGGGTTGGAAACCTCATAAAGTCTACTACAAACACTTTCATTGCTCAGATGTGTTAAAGGTTATTGTGTTTTGAGACTCTTTTAATAGCTTTACCTGTTCTTAGCAAGTAGTAATAATTACTGTTTAAGAATGCATTAACTACATGTACTGAATAATTATTGTGACACGTAGGGAACCTCTACAACTAACATTTAACACATCGGCACAGTCTATTCTAGTATATACTTTTGCGTTGTATTTAAACAAATTATAAATTGAGAAAGTGAGAGAGGAAGGAGGTAGAGGGTTGGCAGGAAGAAGCAGTAAGAAGAAAAAGGTGGACAGCAAGAACAGGCAGGAAGGGTTGAGAAGGTAGATGGGTCAGGCACTGGTGAAAAAGAAAGGGAAAGCAGGAGAGAAAGAGAGATAGGAAATGTTCTAAACCTCTTAATCCTTTAAAGAACAAAACATTTATGAGCACTTTTTTAAAAAGTTCTGGGTCATGATGGCACTTTTATCACTGGAATGAATTAAAGCAGAAGCTAATAATTTCACAGGTCAGCAATGATGTGATTCTCAGACCAAGAGATGTTCTCTAACAATTCTCTGATAGCCAGCTATTTACTCAGCATGCTTTTCATTAAATAACTTAGATTTTGAGTCACAGGGATGCTTTTAAGATTATGTTGGGGACTAGGTTGTATTGCTAGAAGGAAGGGTCTTAGTACTTGTACAATGCGGTGTCTCAGAGACGGGAAGACAATTTGACAGAAACAGGAATTTGTGAGTCCCTTCTTTTGTCTCTTACCTTATCTGCTTCTTCAAATTTTTTGTTTGTTTGTTTGTTTGTTTCTGTATTTTTTGTTTGTTTGAGACGGCATCTCACTCTGTCGCCAGGCTGGAGTGCAGTGGCACGATCTCGGTTTACTGCAACCTCTGCCTCCTGGGTTCAAGCAATTCTCCTGCCTCAGCCTCCCGAGTAGCTGGGACTACAGGCACCCACCACCATGCCTGGCTAATTTTTGTATTTTTAGTAGAGATGAGGTTTCACCATGTTGGCCAGGATGGTCTTGATCTCCTGACCTCGTGATCCTCCCACCTTGGCCTCCCAAAGTGCTGGGATTACAAGTGTGAGCCACCACACCCGGCCCTCAGGTTTGCTTTTTGTAGCTGTTGTTGTTTTACTTTTGCTGCTCTCCTGTATTCCTCACAACCTCCATGCTTCTGCTTACTGCCTTCTCTGTGGTGCCTCTCTTCTCTTGCCTTCAGCAATATTTTAGTACTGTGTCTTTCCCTATTTATCTAACACTCGCAAATCCCAGAGTGGAGAGTACCCATATGAGGTAAAGGTTTCATGCCTGTTCACAAAGCCAGAGTGAGCACAGAAAGGATACCGATGATAACTGTGTCTTTTTCTGATGACTGAAAAGATACTTCATGGTCTCGAAGCACCACAGAGTCATCTTCAAATGTATTAATTACCTTTCTTATGATTTGTCATTTCTTTCTTTCTCATAAAAGTCAAGGGGGAAAATAAATTAGTGAGTTGAGCTTTCCAGTAACTCAGACTCCAGATAAATGAAAAGGTACTGTAATTGTGTGTATTGCAATGAAGTAAAAACCATTTCCTCTGATATAAGATTACAGTAAATGACCTCTAACTTTCTAATTCCAATTCTAAGGGTTCTGTGATCCACACAAATACAGTTGAGAGTTTCTCACCACTTTTTGATGATTACCTTCCTATAGTCATATTTAACACTTGGATTTTTCTCTCCTATATTAAATACCTGAGCTAATCAAAAACTTGAAACATTATTCTAATATTTTTTATTCATATAACAGTGAGTCTGAGGATTTTCTTTAAACTCTAATGAGTCCTTGAGGATGCGATAATCACCAGAACATATTAATTCTGATTCCCTTCCCTAGTCTACTAATCAAGAGAATTTCAAACTACTATAGATACTATGTGTGTTTTTATTCTACTCAGATTATTTTTTCTTTAAGAGTGATATCAGGCTGGTAATTTGACAAAATCAAATGCATTTCACAGGAAATAGAAAAATTGAAATAATTCACAGTTCCATTTAATTCAGAACATGGTTTCATCACTTCATCAGTCTTTTAAAAATTATCTAAAGTATGGCCAGCACAATTCTAGGCCCTCAGAATACGTTACTGGGCTGAGTGCGGTGGCTCACGCCTGTAATCCCAGCACTCTGGGAAGCCGAGGCGGGCGAATCATCTGGGGTCAGGAGTTCAAAACCAACCTGGCCAACATAGCAAAACTCCATCTCTACTAAAAAATACGAAAAGTAGCTGGGCATTATGGCAGGTGCCTGTAATCCCAGCTACTCAGGAGGCTGAGGCAGGGAGAATCCCTTGAATTCAGGAGGCGGAGGTTGCAGTGAGCTGAGATTGTGCCACTGCACTCCAGCCTGGGCAACAGAGCGAGACTCCATTTCAAAAAAAAAATAGTGAACAAAACATTAAAATTCTCCGTCTTTAAAGAGTTTATATCTTTGTTGTCTTCATGACATTCTAAAGTAAATATTTCATTTCTGGACCATTATTTTTCAAAAGTTCTTTTGTGGTATTCTTCATTTTGTTTTTGTTTTCACATTTTCGGTCAAGTATCATGAAAAACATGTGGATTGTTTACTAGAGTATTTCACCCACTTCAAAAAAACCTCTGAACTTTGGACTCTTTAAACCTCTAAGTAAACTCAGGTTGGGCAAAATAGCAATATATAAAATTTTATGCTGTTTTCAAATTTAATATTTACTTAAAGGATAAAGGGAGTAGTATGGAGAGAGTTTTTCGTAGCAATTTTCAGATTAGTTGAAAGATTACAAAATAGCTGATACACAGTGAACCCAGAACAAATAAACTATTTACACTGTCCACTATGAAAGAAAATAAAACCTTTTTGCCTTCTTACTGGAATAAAGCCAGTACATAGCAAGCATGTGTAGCTATGTTGTAATTTATTTCACTTGAAAGCAAAGACCTTTATAACTCACTTGTGGCTTTGATTGTGGCTGAATTATAAGGTTTTCCTATTGCTTACATAAAGCACTTGATACTCTCCCAATGACTGGTCCTTTTAATGTGTGCACAATCCCTGCTGACCCTGCTATGTTTAAACTATATTTATTCTGATCACATATTAAATATTGAACAATTGTGCTTCTGACCTTATACAATTCTTAACCTAAAGTACATGTAATTAGATTTTTCTAAAGCACATCTTCTTTTCTCAAGTGGCAATACACATAATAAACTAGCAATAAACTCTACTACCTGTAGCAAAGCTACTACTTAATTTAGGCCATGCTAAGACAACACTACATTACAATGGGGCCTTTCCATAATGACAAAATCTGTTTTCCTCTTCCAAAGGCAAAGTTAAGAGAATGTCTCTCCTTTCATCTTCAGACATTATTACTAAATTCAAGCAACTCAATAAGAACTAAGTATTGAGTTGAAAGCCTAAGGAATTTGTTCCTGTATAGTGACATCACTGGAATTTTTAGATTTTTTTAAATATTATCTTTCTTTTGTTACCTTCAAAAGATATCCATTACTTAACAAATTAGATAAAGTGACTTCACTCCAACAGTACAGAAAATTAAGCATTGTCCTACCCAATGTAGTTTTGGAGATAATAAGAAAAAACAACAATCTTAGAAAAATACACATAATTATGATTTTTGTTACTATGAATAGATCATGCATTTTTATGACCTCATATTCTGACATTCTGATGAATAAGATCAATCAGTATGAGAATACTAACCACACTCCACCATCATTTTGCTTCCAGTTTCTTCTCAAACTCTGATTTGAACAGATGCTTATAATTCTTGTTAATCACTGCACACACACAAAATACACTCCTACACATGGTTTGAATGATTAAGAGTTTTAAATAAATGTCAAATCAAAAATTAACTATTGGTAATAGTTTCCAAATCATTATGAAACAAAAAGCAAGATGGGTCAATCTCTGTCTAGTAAACTGAAATTTCCTCCTGTCCAAACTGCTAATCAATTTGATTAATAATCCTTTGATTAAGAGAATATACCCAATCTAGAGAATGCTTCTGACATTTGAATTTCAAATTTCTTAAGACTTAAGTGAGACAATCTTGGAAATGTTTAAGATATATGTTCACTGGATTATAAATCAAAATTTTATTCATTTTCCATGGGATTTTTTTTCCACTAACAGTTTGAAACTTGGGTCTCTAGAGGCGATATTTCCAAATGTGCTTTCTTATAGAAGCTTTATTGTAAAGAAAGGCTAATATATTCAATAAACATGCTGGTACCACTCCCCTAACTGACCTGACCACTAACAATTGATTAGTCATTTAAGTAAAGGGTGACATCTATTTTGAATACAATACTATGAGGTGGCTATGGAAGATATAAGTGGAGATGTCCAGAAAATAACTAAAGGGCCAAATAAAATAATCTCATTTAGAAATACAGTTCTCAGAATCATAAACATGTCCATGACAATTGAAGTTCTTAGAATGGATAAAATGTCCAGGCTTATATTGAGGACTAAGTTGAGCATAAAGACCATGGATTTATGTTTCACTCATCCATTTCTTTAGTAATACTTCATAGCCTACAGTCAACAAATTAAACAGATGGATTAAGCTAGAGTTTAAGCTAGAGTTAGATTTTTCCCAGGTAGTTCCTGTGAAAATGATGCAAAGAATCAATAGAGAGAGAGGAGTGATAGTGATATTGAGGTATTTCGCTTTTTTTTTTTTTCGAGACCGAGTCTTGCTCTGTTACCCAGGCTGCAGTGCAATGGTGGGATCTCAGCTCACTGCTACCTCCATCTCCCTAGTTCAAGCGACTCTCCTGCCTCAGCCTCCCGAGTAGCTGGGATTACAGACACGCACCACCAAGTCCAGTTAGTTTTTGTATTTTTAGTAGAGCTGGGGTTTCACCATGTTGGCTAGGATGGTCTCTGCCTCCTGACCTTGTAATCCGTCCACCTCGGCCTCCCAAAGAGCTGGGATTACAGTTGTGAGCAACTGCGCCCGGCTGAGCTATTTAGCTTTTTAGAGAACAAGGTGAAAATGGACTTGTTAGAACAGGAAAGTGCAGCAGGACCTTGAATAATGTCCTCTCCTTCAACATCATTTTGTTAAATGTTATTTTGTTATAATGGTTGAGGATGAAAATAAAAAAAGCAATTCCTGGCCAGGGCCATCATCTGTGTGGAGGGTACAAGTTCTCCCCACATATGTGTGGGTTTCTCCAGGCACTCTGGTTTCCTCCCACATCTCAAAGATATGCACATTTGGTTCATTGGCATGTCTATATACTCCCAGTCTGAGTTAGGGTGTGTGTGTGTGTGTGTGTGTGTGTGTTGCCCTGGTATTTTGGTATTTATTTGGAAGTTTGGATATGTTTTAATGACCAGAAGTATGCCATAGGGACATACGTCTTGTTTATGTCAATTAGCCTACAGTAACCATCGGTCTTGTTATAGATCATTTTGCTTAAAGTCACAGTTTCTAAGAATCTATCAATGACCTTATGTGAGGATTTACTGTAGAGATATCAATGACTTCACAGACTAGGCATTTTGAGAGGATTTGGGTAAGAAAGTGAAAATTATTTGAGGCTATGGTCATATTGTGGCCTGCAATATGTATAAACTCAGATGTGATACACTCAAGGGTGATGACAAGGACCAGGTGGAATTAATTGCTCATGCTCCTGTGTCCTCATAATGGTTTGTACTTAATTCTTCTCTAGCACTTGTTACACTACCTAGTTGATTTTGTGTGCCTTTCCTCTTGACGCCAATGGCAGTCACTGCAGAGTAGGGAATATAATTTAATCCTATCTATTTCTAGGACTTGAAAGGATTTCTGGTATAGATGGATGACCAATATGTCCTTGAGTTGCTTGTTGAGTTAATGAACTACCAACTCTTAAGTTTAATGATATGGTGTGTGTAGGGGTGTCTCTGTGTGTGTGTGTGTGTGCGTGTGTACACAATGTACATATGTGTGCATGTTTCAATAATGGGTACCATTGTGTCTGTGCGTGTGTGCACGCCATGCACATATGTGTGAATGTTTCAATAATGGGTGCCACTGAATATAGCTAAATTAATTTTCTATTAATATATATTAGCAAGTATATTTACTCTTTGTTGTAGCTATCATGCATTTTCTAAAGTTAGATGAAAAGAAATTTAAACCGCTGGACTTTTAATGGAAATTTGTGACAATCTTATATGCATTTGTGTTGTGACTGGTCCCCCACTAGGCTACTTAAGGGCATAATGTCTACTGCCTGAGGCCTGAAGACCAGGCAATGAGCCAAGGCCATGGTACCCAGCTGAGGAGCAGGTGTCCCTAAGAACACAAACATCTCTGAGAGTATCTGAGAACCTACCAAGGAAAACAGTCCCATTGCATACACACAGCAGGCCAAGAGCCAGAAAATTAGCTGAAAAGCAGCTTAGGGATGGGAGGCAGCACGGATCTCTAAAGCTGTCCTGCTGCCTCATAAGTAAGTACCATAAACTCATCTACTGGCCAAGCTGGACTTGTCCGAGTCATTCATTGGTCTCTTGGCTCCCTTCCAGTTTGGGTGAAGGTTTTTAAATATGAATCCAGTTTTTCTCATTATGGCATTTTTCTTTACATAAACTTAAATAATCATTGTATAATAGCTTTTCTTCCTTTATTGTTCTCTTGTATTTTCCATTTGGGCATTTTTTTCTAACTATAAATTTTATATATCATCCTCTGAGCTCTTGAGATTTTTCACTGAGGAAAAAAAAAAACTGACATTCTTCTTAGCTCTCATGCTTTCATTAAGACAAAAGTATGTCTTATCCTGTGATTTTAACATAATCCATTATCGATAGTACTCTTAAAATATTTCCAGTCTGAGCTTATTATTTATTGTAATATAATCATCACAAGAGCTACTGTGAATGTGGCAAGTTTTACTTTAAATAAATTACAGTCCATTACATCTGTGGGAAATATTCTAACACAGTAAAATAGAGGGCAAAATAGAATAAAATTTAAATTTTCCACATTTCAGCCTTAATTGGCCAATCTCTGCTATTTCTAAAGTATACAAAGCTGGAAAATATTTGAAAATTTTGTTCTGTTATTTTCATGAGTTATATTTCATACAGCATAAAAAGCTTAGTGGGAAGTATTTTTTTTAATTACCAGCTTCAGAGATAAAATAGTTATATAACTAATAACTAATTAGAAGTCTAAAAAGTCTTCTTGGGTACATTGCTGCATAAACTAAAGAATAATTTCAGGCTATTTTGTATTTCTAGAACAACAAACAGTAAATAATTTAACAGTAAATAATTTGGCCAATTAAGTGGTTGGTTCTCCAAGGGCCTAACAATGAGGTAAATACATGATTTTACTGTTTGGATCAATGAGTTGGTCATTGTATGACTAAAAAGCTGACATCTTAGGGTTCAATGATAATTGTTTATTGGCATGGTCTTTTAAAGAACAATCTGTAAAAATATCTGTATTTTCATGGTTGACCCTATGTTAGTAGGCATTCCCTAAAATTGTGTCTTTCAGATGTGTCTCTTTTCTAATATTGAATGAGGGTTGTAACTAACTATGAATAGCTAGTTTACATTTATGACATCTGTGTTGGGAGTTTATGCAGGTTCAAGAATTATTGAGTGAATACGACAATAAGTACATTATACATAATTTGCATTTTACATAGACTGTTTTGTTTCACCCTAAAGGCAGATTAGAAACCAAAAGTTGTCAGACAATAATTAAGCGGAATTATTGAGTAGTGTTGAATGTAGCAAGTAAACAAGAAAAGTCGTGTGTGTGTGTGTGTGTGTGTGTGTGTCCGCGCGCGTTGGGGGAATCTATGGTTTACTGAGGTGATTACATTCATGCTTCTTCCAAAAGTCAAAAATACAGTGCATATAATCATAATCCATGGAATCATGCAAAGTGGATAACTTGGCCTCAGAACAGCAATGTTGTATTTGTTTGCATAGTATGTAGGCATCGGGCAATGGGTTATAAAAGTATAATTTCATTATTGCCTAAACCTTAATATAGATCATCTTTTGTTTCTATTTGCTTTTACAAATGGACTCCTTCTGATGCCCCCTCTCAGATAACAAGATGATCTCTTGATAAGTGAAAATTTTGGCTAATCTAATAATTGTGTTAGTTACTAATGAAGTAAACAACATGTGTTCTTTCTTGTTTTGAACTCTACCCTCCATCTCATTATCCAGAATATACACAAACACACACACTCTCTATCATTGCCGTTCTTGCTCTTTCACTCACAAACACACAGTCATACATACACTTTTAGCTATTTATCTTTCTCTATGTCTTATAGGACCAAAACTGATACTACTGCACAAAAGAGAATTTGTGAGTCTCAACACAAGTAGAGCTGCCCCGGAAGCTTAGGTGATGATGCAGAGTGTATGACCCTTTCCAAGTCCTGTGCACATGTCATATGTCTCTCCCTGCTCATCCCCACTACTCTGATACTAGTGAGTGTATTTGCACATGTCCAGAGATGGAACCCTTGACATGGTATTGCCCTTCTCCTGACTGTCAGTATCAACACTAAGGTTTCTTCAAGTGTTACAGAAAATGAACTGGGGCAGTGGAACTCTAAATGGAAAGAAGAAATGGGATGACTTTGCAATGGATTAATGTGTGATTACTTATAAAATATCACTGTTGTATTCTTAGATGTAAATGAAAGGCATTTTCAAAAGAGGCAGCAGAGGCTCCAGTGTGAAAAGACCACTGAGTGACACTTGCATTGCATCAAAGAACATTTCCTGTTACACAGAACATGCACAATGTACCTAGACCTCTTATTTTTATAATCATCAACTTACAATTTCATGTTGGCCAAGTCCAAACCAAAGCATTTACATCTTTCACATTTTCATATCCCCAATTCTCCAAGGTACAACAATAACATCTGTTCCCCGTTAACTAACACTGTTTTGTCCTCTACTAATACCACATACTAGCTTCATAGGAAGCTACCTTCATAGGAAGGTAAAAGAAAGAATGTACTCATTCCCAAACACATTCCCTTTTCAAGAAAAGAGAAAGCACTCATTCCCAAACACATTCCCTTTTTCTAGAAAAGCATATCTCAAAACTTAATTTTTTTCTTCATTATTTTGCCATCTCAAATGTCAAATAACCAAGAAAATAGTAAATGTCTATTAATAATTTTTGAAATATCAAATATATTAGGGCATATAACTGGTTTATTTTAACAGAAACTTAGAAGAAAATAATATTTTTTTTTTTTTTTTTTTTTTTTTTTTTTTTTTTTTAGACGGAGTCTCGCTCTGTCGCCCAGGCTGGAGTGCAGTGGCGGGATCTCGGCTCACTGCAAGCTCCGCCTCCCGGGTTCACGCCATTCTCCCGCCTCAGCCTCCCAAGTAGCTGGGACTACAGGCGCCCGCCACCACGCCCGGCTAATTTTTTGTATTTTTAGTAGAGACGGGGTTTCACCGTTTTAGCTGGGATGGTCTCGATCTCCTGACCTCGTGATCCGCCCGCCTCGGCCTCCCAAAGTGCTGGGATTACAGGCGTGAGCCACCGCGCCCGGCCGAAAATAATTTTTTGAATACTTATTTGCTGCCATGATAAAAATTTTAAGCAAATATAAGAAGCTTTTATGAAGGCTTAATTGAGCTATTAAGATTATTTGCTGATGGGCTTGTGTCTATGTGTCTCTGAATGGACCACAATTTAAATAGGTCATTTGTCTGGAAGAGAGAGGCAATGTAGTAGTAACTTGTTCTAAAAAACTCTGCTACTGTATATTAGTTACACTTACGTTTTCATATGAAAATAGTGTAATCATTGTAACAGTATAAAAGAAAATACGGTTTACTAGGAAATCTGAATTGAGTACTCTTGAAAGCAAGGAAAACATTTATATGTTGTACCCATATCCCAATAAAAATTTTTATGGGTTCTGATAAATATGCCAATTTAAGTTTACTTCTCAAATGTGATGTACAAAATTGGATTTAGCAGTATTAATAGTAAACTTTGTATATGCTTATTACTATATTTTATGAAATACAAGCTGTAATAGATAATTAGTTTAAGACATTCAACAACACAAATATTCTTCTAAATATGATACATAATAGACCTCATTCAGCAAAGATTACAGTGCAGCTAGATCATTATTTTTGACATTCAGCAGTCAACATCCAACTTCATTGCCGAAGATGTTTTTCACAGTAGCTAAACGCTTGAAAATAACAATTGTGGTATCAAAGCATTCATGAATAACACATGAAGCTAGAATTTACATTTCTCATTAGTTAAACTGCCTGTTTTCTTCTAAAGAATGTTGTTTATTTGGGTAAATAATACAAAGCCATGGCTTTCATATGATTACTGTACAATTGGAAAGTTTTAGTAATTAACTCCTTAGACACGGGATCTGAAAATATAAAGGCCCTCATAAGCATCCTTCCTTCTCCCAAAATTAATTAATTGTTAAAATTAATAATAAACAATTAATAATTGTTAAAAATGAAAAAACGAAGGAAAGTTGCTGTTAATTAATATTTTGTATAGATATGTTTGTTAGCATGGACTACACAAATACCCCATTAAGATAGGCTCAGTCTATTCTCGCACTTTTTAACGTGGTCAATCACCAAGTAAGAAGTATTTTTTCATGGCACTTGCTCTGTATGTAACTGGAGAAACTCATGAATATTTATAAATGCAAATGATGAATAACAACACAAAAAGCTACAATACTTCAATGTTAATCTGAAATTCCATAATACTTTCTATGGCATTTGCTCGTCTGCTTACGTTCCTTCCTCTGGAAGTATTCACAAATGGTCTGCTAAAACCAAAAATGTCATTATATGTCTATTTTTTCTTTAGTTTTTTGATGTTTTGTAATAAAAATTGATTTCCCGCTCCATACACCACTCCCCAGTAAAAATAATTGAATGTTTTAAAATAAGGTCATTATGACGATATGTTTACGGGACTGAAAAAAACTCACCTTTTCATAACAGTTGCCCTTAAGTTTTAAAATATCCACTGGTATTTATCACTGTTTTGCTTAGAAGCAGTAAATGACTCCCCTCTCCTGCAAGATAGAATTTTATCCCCCAGTATGTCATATAGACCTTCTATTCATTTGTCCCTAGTCTACATTTTAGTCTTCTTTCTTGATATTTCTTTCCATAATAGTAAAAATAGTGGCTAATAATTATTGAGAACTTACTCCATGCCAGACATTTTTCATTAATTTGTACATATTACCTCATCTATTCTTATGATACACTATGCAAGGGTTTCCCAACCTTGGTACTATTGACACTTTGAGTAAGTTAGTTTTATGTTGTAATGAGCTGCCCTGTGCACCGTAGGTAATTAGCAGCATCTACCTGATAAATGCCAATAACACCCTCCTCCAAGCTGTGACAATGAAAAATGTCCCCAGATATTCCCACATGTCTTCTGGGGAGAAAAATCACCCCCATTTACAAACCATGGATCTAAAGTGTCAAATATTATTTGCATTCCCATTTTACAGATGAGTAAATTGAAGGACAGAGATGTTAATAATGTATTCATGGTTGCCAGGCAAGCAGAATAAGGCCTCAAACCATGCTGCCTGGTCTTCCGAGTCTACTCTCTAAACAATAACTGTGCTTTGACATTTCCAAATGTAATCTGGGCAAGTTAAAGTTATAATGTTGTAGGTCCTCATAGTTCCAGACTTCTTGAGTAAGTTTATTGGAAGTGACATAAACAGTTAATTTCTTTGGTTCAGGGAAGAAGTTAAACATATCGTTTTCTTGGTATGCAAATGAAAACTTAGATATCATCAGCTATATTATTTAACAATAAATAAATAAGAGAAAAATACCAAAATATCACAAGAAAAGTATACATGTATACTTAAATTCTAAATTAGATAATTAGAGAAATATTAATTACCATATAGAGTACAGGACACAAAATAACTAATCAGTGAATATTATTTCCTCTGAATGCATGACCGTCACTTTCTTCCCTAGTAAAGTCTATTTCCAGGTATTTCCTATGCACTTATTCTTTTATTCATGCCCCCAAATTTATCCCAACTTGGATGACAACAACACTAATGATTAGCCAGTTTAGCCTAGGAGGTTAAAACACAAAATCTAGAGCCAGACTGCTGAGTTTCTAACCAGCTCTTCTGTTTATTAACTGTATGACCACACACAAGTAACTTAAGGTACTTAACCTCTCTGTACTTCTGCTTTATTACCTGTACAGTAAAAATGAAAATCACATTTTATGTAGGACTGTTATTATGGGTAAATAATTTGATATTTCACATAGTAAGTTCCATATTTTATATATATATAAAATATATATTATATGTGTATCTATATACATGTATATATACACTTATATATAGACTTATATATATGTATATATGTATATGTACACTTATATATTATGCACTTATATACATATATATGTATATATCTACATATATACATATATGTAGATATACACTTATATATCTACACATATATACACATATAACATGTATATATACATATATGTATACATGTATATATATAAGTGTGTATATATATAATTTGTGTTTATATATATGTTTATTTTATATATATATATTTATTTCAGTTACATAGGTGTGCTATGTTACCTTCTAGGAACATCACAGCCTAGGATTTGTTCTTATTACATGTATTAAATAT
Organism: Homo sapiens; assembly: GCF_000001405.40. NCBI lineage: Eukaryota > Metazoa > Chordata > Mammalia > Primates > Hominidae > Homo > Homo sapiens. Next base: position 31,401,915 of record NC_000004.12, on the reverse strand, counting down.
AAACAAACAAGTATATATATGTATACACACGTAAATATAAACACATACATGCATTTTAACTGTGCAATTGCATCATTTTATCTTTTAGGAATACCTAAAATTTGTATGCCATGGCCACAAAATTTATGTTAATATTTTTCTTAGGTAACCAATGTTATTAATTTCAAAACATGCTGAAGCTTTTTCAATCCTTATCATACCAGAAGGCGGTTCCCTTGTAGTAATTTGATTTTGTTTCTCTCTCTTAATCTCAAGTTATTTAAGAGAAAGATCAGGTTTTAACCTACAGCCAATATCATACTGAGTGGGCAAAAGCTGGAAGCATTCTGTTTGAAAACAAGGCACAAGATAAGGATGCCCTCTTTCACCACTCCTATTAAACATAGTATTGGTAGTTCTGGCCAGGGCAGTCAGGCAAGAGAAAGAAATACAGGGTATTCAAATAGGAAGACAGGTAGTTAAAATGTCTCTGTGTGCAGTCGACGTAATTGTATATTAACAAAACCCCATCATCTCAGCCCAAAATCTTCTTAAGCTGATAAGCAGCTTCAGCGAAGTCTCAGGATACAAAATCAATGTGCAAAAATCACGAGCATTACTATACACCAATAATAGACAGAGAGCCAAATCATGAGTGAACTCCCGTGCACAATTGCTACAAAGAGAATAAAATAGCTAGGAATACAACTTACAAGGGATGTGGAGGACCACTTCAAGGAGAACTACAAACCATTGCTCAAGGAAATATAAGAGAGGATGTAAACAAATGGAAAAACATTCCATGCTCATGGATAGGAAAAATCAATATTGTAAAAATGGCCATACTGTCCAAAGTAATTTATAGATTCAATGCTATCCCCATCAAGCTACCGTTGACTTTCTTCACAAAATTAGAAAAAAAAACTACATTAAATTTCATATGGAACCAAAAAAGAGCCCATGTAGTGAATACAATCCTAAGCAAAAAGAACAAAGCTGGAGGCATCACGCTACCTGACTTCAAACTATACTACGAGGATACAGTAACCAAAACAGCATGGTACTGGTACCAAAACAGATACATAGACAAATGGAACAGAACAGAGGCCTCAGAAATAACACCACACATCTACAACCATCTGATCTTTGGCAAACCGGACACAAACAAGAAATGGGGAAAGGACTCCCTATTTAATAAATGGTGTTGGGAAAACTGGCTAGCCATATGCAGAAAACTGAAACTGGACCCCTTCCTTACACCTTATACAAAAATTAACTCAAAAGATAGATTAAAGAGTTAAACATAAAACTTAAAACTGTAAAAACCCTAGAAGAAAACCTAGGCAATGCCATTCAGGACATAGGCATGGGCAAAGACTTCATCACTAAAACGCCAAAAGCAGTGGCAACAAAAGCCAAAATTGACAAATGGGATCTAATTAAACTAAAGAGCTTCTGCACAGCAAAAGAAACTAACATCAGAGTGAGCAGGCAACCTAGAGAATGAGAGAAAATTTTTGCAATCTATCCAAATGACAAAGGGCTAATATCCAGAATCTACAAAGAACTTAAACAAATTTAAAAGAAAAAAACAAACAACCCCGTCAAAAGTGGGCAAAGGATATGAACAGACATTTCTCAAAAGAAGACATTTATGCAGCCAACAAACATATGAAAAAAAGCTCGTAATCACTGCTCATTAGAGAAATGCAAATCAAAGCCACAATAAGATACCATCTTATTGATACCACCAGTTAGAATGGTGATCATTAAAATGTCAGGAAACAACAGATGCTGGAGAGGATGTGGAGAAATAGGAATGCTTTTACACTGTTGTTGAGAGTGTAAATCAGTTCAACCACTGTGGAAGACAGTGTGGCAATTCCTCAAGGATCTAGAACCAGAAATGCCACTTAACTCAGCAATGTCATTATTGGGTATATACCCAAAGGATTATAAATCATTCTACTATAAAAACACATGCACATGTATGTTTATTGTAGCACTATTCACAATAGCAAAGACTTGGAACCAACCCAAATGCCCATCAATGTTAGACTGGGTAAGGAAACTGTGACACATATACACCATGGAATGCTATGCAGCCATAAAAAAGGATGAGTTCATGTCCTTTGCGGCGCATGGATGAAGCTGGAAACCATCCTTCTCAGCAAACTAACATAGGAACAGAAAACTAAACAACACATGTTCTGACTCCTAAGTGGAAGGTGAACAATGAACACATGGACATGGGGAGGGGAACATCACACACTGGGACCTGTCAGGAGGTGAGGATCTAGAGGAGGGATAGCGTTAGGAGAAATACCTAATGTAGGTGACAGGTTGATGGGTGCAGCAAACCACATTGGCACGTGTATATCTATGTAACAAAACTGCACGTTCTGCACATGTATCCCAGAACTTAAAGTATAATAAAAAAATAGTATATCCACAAGTTCTAAAAGAAAAAATTATTTATTTATTTTTTTGAGGCGGAGTCTCGCTCTGTCGCCCAAGCTGGAGTGCAGTGCCGTGATCTCAGCTCACTGCAAGATCCACCTCCCCGGTTCACGCCATTCTCCCGCCTCAGCCTCCCGAGTAGCTGGGACTACAAAAAAAAAGAAAGAACATTTGACTCCCAGTCTCACATCATACATAAAAATCAATTCAAGAAGACTGTGGATTTAGATGTGAAAGTTAAAAATATAAAGCTTCCAGGAGAAAATGTAGGAAAATATCACCATTTTTATAATGTTTTGTAACTGAATTGCATTGTTGTCAGAGAATTTGATCTGAAAACAATTCTTTGAAATTTGTTGAAACTCTGTGCTTTTAAAGCATGTCCACACATTATTTGACATTCCTCTCATCAACAGGTAGAGTCTTAATTTCATTCCCCTTAAATATGGATGTCTTCAGTGACTTGCTTTTAGCCAGTAGGATACGATGAAGGTGACACTGTATGACTTCTGAGGATAGGTTAGAAAAAGAGATATAGCTTCTTCCACCTGGCTTTTCATCCTGGCACCCAACCTTGGAACCTAGCCACCCTCCCAAGCAAGGGAGCCACATAGAAAGACCACATTTTGGTATTCTGGACATAGTGCCATGGAGGTTCCAGCCAAGAGCTAGCATCAACTACCAGAGAAGTTAGCAAGCCTTGGAGCCATCCTAGCTAATACTGAGTAGGACATAGTAGACAATCTGCCCCACTAAACCCTGCCTAAATTGTAGTTCCATGAACAAAATAAATGTTGTATTTGTTTCAGACCATGAAAAAAATACATACAGCGTGTAGAAAAGTTAACTTCTCATAAAATTTGTATGTATATAACACATATATTGATCTTCTGAGAAGTAATATGTAAGAGTATTTTTATGGCAGGAAAACCTAGGGATCTCTGAAAACATTCTGAATCATTAGCATAGTGCTTATTTCCTAAAAGTTGGGTAAAATACCTACTAGGTGACATCTCTAAAGTTAACAATATTATTTCTATGAGTAAATAACAAAAATGCATCACTAAGTAAATAACTGACTGCAATGTGAAATAAATTTTCCCTGGCTTAAATCAAAGCAGTCATACTCAAGAGGAAAATAAGTGGCCTGAGAGCTTCCTATATTAAAAAAAAAAAAGGTCTGTTTTATGCAGGATTATGCAAACTAAAAATGAAAACCAAAGATTACTAGCATTTGTCTAAACTCAACATTTTAACATTTTCAGAATATAAAAAAGGCATTGGGAAGTCGGAAAAATCAGGCTAGAAATGGACTTATTCATTTACAATAATCCTGTGTAGATAGAAAGTGCATAGACCTAGAATCAATAGTCATGCCTTTTGCTCACTCCATCGTAAACTTCAATGGATGGCACATTAAACTCCAAATGGACTGTTCCTAAACTTTCTTAATAAAATGTCAAATGAATTCTTCATTTGTCTCTTTAATCCTCAGCAATATTTTTAGTTTTCACAAAGGTAAACTACTTGCCAAATGCATGGCTGCTTTAAATAAAAGGAAATATCACTTAGAACTATCATATTTTATGAAAACATATGTTATTTCATATTCTCAAAAATAAGTAGTATAGATGTTTATCTTTAAGGATGAAAAAAACCATTACAAATTCTATTTATCACTATCAATGAGGTTTTCCAATTAAAATGACAACCTTTGATTAATATAAAGCCTCATTATTGTAACTGGGCAATAAATTCAACATTCCATGTTGTCATTTTACTATTAATTATAGTCACATTTTTATACAAAAGAAATAAACATATGTTAAAGATTCATTTACTCTTTTTAATTAAAAACCCCCAACCCAATACATAGAAAAAAAAAAAACGATTAAATAATTAACTTTCTTTTTCTTTGGAGATCCCTGTGCATTTTAATTTACATGTTGATTATGTAGCCAGGAAAAGTCTCCCATGTTAAATTTGATTGAGCAAGGCAGAAAGTGCCTTAAAATGAATAGACTGCTGAAACTGGAGAACGCATTTTGTCTAATTGTGTTAATGAACTACCCTGATGAGACTTGTTTAGTACAAAAGCCCCCCCGACCTTTTATTGACTGTAAAACAATACTTCTAATATCTAAAGAGTTTTACTCCATTTTTGCATTTTTAAAAAGCCAAACACTCAAGCCACTTAAATACTTGAGAAAATAATGGAATGGGTAAAAGATCTAGGCATTTGTCAGCTCAGTAGTGAAACCACCGCTCCTTGTTTATTGAAAAACTCTCATGTTGAGGCCACCTGTGTTTTTTAATTACTTCGTTTGCATCTCAGACTATGATAGACATTGTGTACAAGAAGTACAAATTATGTAACTCATAATATTGTGTGCAAGGGCTAGGGTTTATGCAGGAGGGAAAAAATATCTGATAAGTTGTCATAGTATAATCTAACGTGTGGTGTTTATAAGTGTCATAGTGTTCAAAAAGGACATTGATGGTTTGGTGTAAAAATATGTTCCCCTTCCATGTAGGAAGTGTATTGTCTGTCAATGTGATGCATAAGTTTCCTGTGTCACCACAATATTTAAATTTTACTCACCTAATCATCCAATACATTGAAAGAACAATGTAGCTACTCAAAAAGTATGTAAATTAATTTATTTCAGCTAAAGTCCGTATGAAATTCTTCGTGACTAGGTGGTATCTCAAAAGTACGCGCGCGCGCGCGTGTGTGTGTGTGTGTGTGTGTGTGTGTTTTGCGACTGAGTCTCGCTCTGTCACCCGGGCTGGAGTGCAGTGGCGAGATCTGGGCTCACTGCCAGCTCCGCCTCCCGGGTTCACGCCATTCTCCTGCCTCAGCCTGCCGAGTAGCTGGGACTACAGGCGCCCGCCACCATGCCCGGCTAATTTTTTGTATTTTTAGTAGAGGCGGGGTTTCATCGTGTTAGCCAGGATGGTGTTGATCTCCTGAGCTTGTGATCTGCCCACCTCGGCCTCCCAAAGTGCTGAGATTACAGGCGTGAGCCACCACGCCCGGCTATGTTCTTGTTTTTTAATTATACATATTACAGAAAAGAAAACCTTCCACATGGATAGAAAACCAAACTATCATACTATTTTGTCGATAATTCAATAAGTTATGGTACATATAAGAGAACATTTTGTATAATTTTAAGACAGTAATCATTGATACAAATATGTGATTAAGTTGCCATTAAAATGCAGAACAGAACATGTGAAAAGGAGAAAGATAATTTGATGTTAAAAAAAACTATACGTAGTGCAATCATAAGCTTGTAAAGCCAAAATGTATTTTTATGTTTAACTATCAGAAAATACACCCAAAGATTACCAATAGTAATCTTTGATTAATGGATTTACAAAATGATTTTTTGATTTTTTTCTGTAAATTCTTCTATATGTTTTAGAATTTCCACAATTAGCCTTTATTTTATTACATTTATTTAAATATGTTTTCAAATAAATACATCTCATTGGTAAAATAATCATCAACTGTAGAGTGAATTTTTAAAAACATCATTTTTTGTGTTGTTTGTTTGTTTTTGAGTCTCACTCTGTTGGCCAGGCTGGAGTGCAGGGGCACAATCTCAGCTCACTGCAACCTCTGCCTCCCAGGTTCAAGCAATTCTTTCACCTCAGCCTCCAGAGTAGCTGGAATTACAGGTGCGGCCACCATGCCCAGCTAATTTTTGTATTATTAGTACAGACAGGGTTTCACCATGTTGGCCAGGCTGGTCTCCAACTCCTGGCCTCAAGTGATCCTCCTGCCACGGCCTCCCAAAGTGCTGGGATTACAGGTGTGAGCCACCACACCCAGCCTAAAAAATCTCGACATTTTAGTTCTTCTGTAAATTACTGTTAAAATGTTAATAGTCTACTCTTTGGTCTATTTCTTATGTTCATGAATATGGAGCATTAATCAATAAGAATTTTGTAACCTGAATAATCCCATGCCTATTTATTTCCTACAGTTTTTCACATTCCCTGCTTCCAGTTCTAAACACCAGTTACATATGCATTTGTACACACACAAACAGTAGCTAGGGAAAATAATTGAGTCTTTGCCTAAAGTATAATATTTTCAAGACAAATCACATTTACAATCTCATCAATAACTAAAGATAAAGTTTATATTCCATGCTATGTGTAAATTGTTGTTTAAATGTTTACATTGAACATTATTAGTATTGTTTTTACTATGTAAATATTGTTATTGCAGAACCAATAATATATTTGGGTATACGTGGTTTCCTGTGGTTCTAATTTTGCAATCCTTGTGCAACTCAAAGAGGATGATCTTTAAGTGTAGGTCAAATACATTTTTCTTTAATATGTTATAAATTAATTCTTCTATTAATTAGATATATATTGAATACATAGTGTGTGATGAATACTGTCTCCATTATCTAATGTTTTTAAATCACACAATATTAGTTTGCTTCATATTCAGACTATAAAATTTTTGTACTTCAGGGCCGGGCATGGTGGCTCACGCCTGTAATCCCAGCACTTTGGGAGGCCGAGGCGGGCAGATCACGAGGTCAGGAGTTCAAGACCAGCCTGCCCAACATGGTGAAACCCTGTCTCTACTAAAAATACAAAAATTAGCCGGGCGTGGTGGTGAGTGCCTGTAATCCCAGCTACTCAGGAGGCTGAGGCAGGAGAATCGCTTGAACCCGGGAGGCAGAGGTTGCAGTGAGCCAAGATTGCACGACTGCACTCCAGCCTGGGTGACAGAGCGAGACTCTGTCTCGAAAAAATAAAATAAAATAAAATAAAAATTGTACTTCTTTCAATATTGTTGTTTTACCCAGAATTTCGGTTGCCTTCTTTGTTTTCATTTTTAGGAGAAATTGTGCATGTTTTCCTCCTCACTTACTTATACTTTAATTTTATGATTTACTCTCATGCTACTTTGATCTCGAAAACATTCTTTCTCTATGACATGTTAACACTGGCCTCCTATTTTAATTCTGACTGGGCATATGGTACATCTATCTCCTTAGATGTTTATGGAGCGTGGTTGATTCTGCTGGTCATTAGATTCGTTGACTTTCTTCACTTTGTTTTGTACATACTTTCCTTGAAATACATCCTTAAAAATCTTTGTTTAAAAAAAGTACAAGAGTGTTTTGGGAGCCTCCAGCTAAATTAGGATTCAAGTACCAGAACAGCTAGCAGCCCTGCCCTAATGGAAATTGTGAAGGGAAGCCGGATAGGTGTTTAGAATATGCCTTTCACAGGACACATCTTTCACCTGGAGAATGCCCTAATACCAAGTTTTCCAACCCACAATCAGGAGGTTCCTCACATAGGAAATCTGCTTATACTGGCCAAAAGCCTCATGGCTCCTGTCTCACCAGTGTCCAGTTTATGCCTGGACATCGTTGTGGGTCTGAGAGTAAAACCTTGGGGTCTCCCTGGCATCCCAGAGAAAATCCTGCCTCGGGTAGTCCCTGGTTCTTCAGATGGAAGGCGCAAATTCAATACACACCACCATAGGAAATAAGTTCAAAGTTTTTACTTACAGATCCTGGGCAAGGAGGGAACCACACGTCAAGAGGGCAGCCCTTTGTCTTCATCCTCAGGCCACACAGACAGAAATGAAGAGTCATGCAGAGAGAGAGAGAGAAAAGCACATAATAGGTAGAAATATATAAGGGAATAAGGTGGGGGTCACTTTAAGTTTGTAAGCAAATACGAACGTTTGCCTTACAGGAAGCAGCAGGAAAGCAGACAGTCAAGTCGGCTAAGCAGGAGAGATGACTCTGAGTTCTCGTTTCCGTCCACTGGCTTGAGCCGCTTGGATGTGGTGTAAAACTGGAACCTGTGTCAAGAGTGATTGAGCCCTGCTTCTGGTATGAAAGAGTTAAACTTTATTCAAAATGGATGCAAAGGCAACAAAAAATTATACAAATTCATACAGAAAGCAATTACTTGAGTCTTTCTCTAAAAATGATAATAATTGTCCTTACCAAACACAGAAGATAATATAAACAATCCCTTCCCAAGTTCTATTTGTTTAAAAAGCACTCATTGATTTGAATATTAATATTATTGATGAAGACACTTCGTAGCCCTATATTTGAACCATATTTCTTTTGCTAATGCTTACATGTTTTTCCTCTCTTCAAAGCTTCCACTCACTCTTTCATTCCACAACAAATTCGATTTCTCAATGTTCTAGAATGTATTTCTTGAGAACGAAAAATGCTATAAACCTCTCCATCCCTTCTCAACTCAAACAACTTTAATATATGCTGCAGTCACAGATTAACAAGAGAATATGATGTAAATATTGGGATGTGGTATGGCAACATTCATAGTCTTTGGTATTCAAGTGACTGCCCAGGGCAGAGAAAGAATGTGGCTAACAGATGATTGCTAGCAATGCAGTACCTAAGGAAGAAGAAATAAATATTTTCCATGAAGCAAACTGATTTCTCTGAAATTAATTAAGAATGGCAAGGAGAGGATAGACATTATTATGTTAATTTTGTACTTAGAGAGAGATTAAACACTTTTTTCAAGGTCACAAAGCCAATAATCATTAGTTAGGACTTGAATCCAGGGTTGTCTTATTTCAAGCTCTGTTTATATTTTAATATGTCATAACTGTCCATTAAACTAAAGGAACACTTTAAAGATAACCACTGTCGAAGAGGCTGAAGTAGACATGTAACTTCCACTACATCATTTCTAAAAGTGTTCTGTTAACAACTTGCTTGTACATTTAAGAGTCTTCTGTTACTCATTAATTTTAATAAATTGAGATTCTGTGCCTAGGTGTCTTTTAACTTGTAGGAAAACTGTATTCCTCAGTGATTTATTTTTAGCCAACACTTAATACTACTTCAGCATCTAGCCATTTGCCTACCATAACTGTATACCTTTATCCTGGTGTGCAGAATCTATCAAAACTAGATATTATTGTACATAATTTGTTGTTTCCTTTTTTAGATGGTAACAGAAATCACAATTCCGTGACACATAAAGGAATGAAATTTTATGTAACATTCTGATTATCACAGGTAAATTCATGAATTCTTAGCATCACTCAACATAGGGACACGCATTGTACTGAAGACAGCAATCAGAGGAAAGAAAGGGATATGAGAATCAGAAAAAATGCCCAAAAGATGACTAAAAGGAAATCCATTTGCTTTTGAGAGAAGGGAAAACATTAAATCAAAAAGAGGTCACATATTACACATCAGAAACTTTATTTGAGTAATATGTGTGCTAAGCTGTTTACACAGATAAAGTTAAAGAGATATTTGGGAACTGCAGGCTTCATTTTGTGCCAGGTATGCATGCCAGTGCCTTCATAGGCTTGTTGTAAAATTAAATGAGAATGCATAGAAAACACTTAACACACTGCCTGGTTCATATTAAGCAGTCAATAAATGCTAGCTCTCATTTTTTTTTATTGTGGTCATTATTCTAGAAGCCTGAGATGAACAAATTGAAGGCATATTCATTCATGAATTAATGAAAGAAATACACAAATGTTTATATTCTCAGAAATTTTATTAAATCTGCATGGTAGTTATCTAGACTATTCAGTTGAGAATATTCACTGGGGACAGGGATTATTTGGTTTGGCTGTCATATACTCAGATAATTAGTTGGATAATTGACAAATTTTCCTTTCTTTCATACCAGCCAGCAGCTTGGAATGGATTTGTAATAGTGAAATCAGTGGACTTCTATGATACTGCTAATTGAAAAAAAAAAATTGTTTTTTTTTCTTTTTTTCTGAAAAACAATTGGAGACCTCATAATGTTTTTAATTTCGTAGAAAGAAAATATAAATAGTTTAAATCTGGTCATATATTATAATTGTTAATTCTATGTAATGAATGTCTTAGAATATTAAGAGTACATTGATTTTGTCAGCGCACGGAAGTCACAAGCTTCAAACTGTGTATACTGAAAATGCAAGGACATGATAAAAAAAACTTGCATTTTTGTGATGATTTTTGAATGTGTTGATGATGAGAACAGTGTGGCAGCATGGTCATTTTGATCCCATAGTTATTTTTCTCTGCTAAAATTATACAATTGCCATCAAGGCTTATAAGTTAGCTTCTCATAAAATTAATTTGGTTATAGCAGTTCTCCGGGACCTAGTTATTGCTAGTGAATTGGAAAATGTCACTCTCCTGTAGCTGTGAAGCTGTGATATAGATTCAGAGTCGACTGCCTCATATAGCTCACCCCCAACCTCTTACTTATAAAAGAGTAAAGAATAATCCTCTTATTATTGTATGTATGTGACTCCCTTTATGAAGGCTGTAGGCCTGCCAATCATAGTGAAACTAGAACTGAGTAGGAGCATCCTAGGTCAGCAGCAGGTTTGGAATGTTTTCTTTTTGCAGTTATTATGGAGAGAACAAGTTGGGCAATTGACCAGCTCCCTGCAGATAAGATGGCTCTCCCCTATGGAGAAAACCTGGGAGGGAGAAGGGCCTGAAGCCAGGTAAATTGCCTGCAAAGTGGCTCCAGCCATTTGAGGCTGGATTGTAACATTCCTGGGGAATAGAACAAGGGCTTTTGGTCTGGTAAGTTACTTAAATGTTACAGGAACAGAAACTTGTTTTTTTCTAAGCCCGTGTGATTTTTAATGCCTCTTGTACATTATTCATTTCTCCTTGTCCCCTTTATATATTTAGCATGATTCTTTTGAAAATGCCAGCTTGTCTCTGATGGGAGACAAAGAAAAATAGCATTTTTTCATAAATAGACTGGTATTGCAATATTTTTTTTAAGTTAGAGTCTTGCTCTGTTGCCCAGGATGAAGTGCAGTGACAAAATCACAGTTCACTGTAAGCTCAAACTCCTGGGCTCAAATTATCCTTTCACTTCAGCCTCCAAAGTAGCTAGGACTATAGGTGCACACCACCATGCCCAGATATTTTTAAGGGAGGTTAGTATAGCCCCGGGGCCAAGAAAGGGTGATGAGAGCAGTATTCCATGTGAATAAACCTTAAGAAGGTGCCACTTAAGGGAAAACAGTTAGGATTTGTTGACTATTAGTTTAGCTAACTCTTCCTGCCAATGAATAATTTAGAGGAACTTATTTTGATCTTATCCAGGAAAACTTGTACAATGCTAGCTAGTCTTCCTCTGTAGCACAGTTTAGCTACAATAATGTGTGTGCTATGTATATGTACATGTGCGTATGTGTGTATCATACGTGTCTATGACCTGTATTTATGTCAATAGGTTTCAGAAATTGTGAGTATACCAATAATGTGTGACACCTTAGGAACCAAAGCGATGAATTCAAATGCTAGTTCTACTTCTCTGGGCTACGGTTTTCATCAGTATAATGAGGGTATTAACAGTATAACTGATAGGTAAGAATATGAAAGAATTCATTTCTTTGTAAAGAACTTACAACAGTGCTTGACACAAGTAAGTGCACAAGAAATATTAAATGTAGTTATTATTACCTACTATTCTGTTTAATTAGGTTTTTTGCTTGTTAAGTTTATGCAACTTTTCATTAATATAAACACTGAAAATACCAAAATGTTATATAAACCCATGTCCTAAGGGTGAACGGTTACTACGTATTTAAGTATATATGGGACTGTGAGTTTCAGTAATTGCAGAAAAGGAAATTCAAACCAATCTTCTAATTAACAACTACTATAAAATCAGGAAAACATAGAGGGAGAGAGAGAGTTTATGTGCCTTAAGACATCAAACAACTAACTTACCATTGAAGAATTGTGAGACCAAGAACTGAGAATAATACTAAAAACGTGAGGCTCACATTTGAGGCAGTTTAATTTTTCTCCTGAGGGGCCGCTGCCAATTCAGAAGCTGACAGTGATAAGGTAGGCAGAATTGTTGCTGTTCTTGCAAGGGTGGGAGAGTAACTTGAAGTCTAAGATCTGCCAAGGTGGGGAGGGAGCTGATCAACTCTTCATAGTTTGAAACAGGAATCCAAAGGGATTGCCATAATGTAAGAGTGAACAAGCAATAGCTCAGCTTTCCTAGGGAAAGAAACCCAACTTCAAATCATTTCAATGGTTAAAATTGAATTGGATTTCCCAAAGACTTCTACCCCATATGGAGGACTAGATTGTAAATCCTATTTGAAAAACATAACATTATCTTTGCCACAATATTCTTTCATTTTTTTCTTCAAATATAATTTCCAGTCCACAATAAAAAAAGGACCAAACATGCAATAAAGAATGACTATGTTATTGAGAATCTCAAGATATAAGACAAAAAAGACAACTGGAGCAGATCAACAACCGTATTAGAAATTGGAGTTATTAGCAACTGACTTTTAACTAAACATGCTTAATATCTTCAAGAAAATAGAAGACATGTTTGAAGATTTCAACATAAAATAAGTAGAAATTACAGAATCATATACTTGATGGTTAGATTTCAAAACAGATTATACAGATCTGAAGTGAGGATTCCTGAAATGGAGCATAGGTCAAAAGAAAATATCTTCAATATAGCATGAAGAGAAAAAAAGTACACAAAAAAACCATAAGAGAGAATAAAAAACTAAAAGAAAGAGTGAGAAATTCTAGCATAATTGCAACTGAAATTTTAGAATGAGAGACAGGGAAGCATGGCAAAAAGTAAGAATGCAAGGGGGCCCATCACTACAAATCAGACACACATTAAAGACAAAAAAAGTATATCATGATGAGCTTTATGTAAATAAGTTGAAAAATTTAGATAAACTGGAGAAATTGCTAAAAAAAAGTTACATCTGAATAGCCCTATAATTATTAAGTAATGAAATTTACATTGAAAAACTATAAGCAGTAGAAAACTTCCAACTTAGACAAATCCCTAGTAAAATCTACAAAAACCATCAGAAAGAAATTGTACAAAACTGTTTTTTACAAAAAAGATTTTTCAAAACTATTGAAAAGAAGAGAAACAGAAAAAACTCTACAAGATTTTGTTTTGTTTTGTTTTAGGCTATCTTAATCTTGATACAAAACATGACAAAATTGGAAAGATTAATTATGAAAGTATCACCTATGAATATAGATAAATATACTTAAGAAATTAGTAACAAACTAAACTAAAATCTTTAAAAGTATGTTTTTTAAACAAGTGTAATTGGGGCAAGCAACACACATCGGAGCAGCATTATTTAAATTTATGGTAAGAGAAGTAATAGCTTTTCTGATAGCTCAACTGATATGTTGAGGATACCATAGAAATATAACATGGAAGCACCCTAGTAACAGCCATGTCTTCTCAGTTATGTACATAGTTGCTTGGAGTACCAAACCCTCCCATGATAAGTCAAAGGCTCATGTTTTAGCCATAGGATGTGGCAAGGTAGTGTCAGAATTCTTAAAAACAACATTCATGATTGGAAAGCTCCTGCCTATAATCAGAGTGGAATCCTCACCTTGTGCTTAATACAAACAGGAATTATCAATATGCAGTTCCTATTAAGGCCCGATTATTTGGCCTTAATAGGAATCGTTTACCCTGCCTTCACAATAATTATAGAAACAAATCGAAATCATAAAAAAAGATTTAGGATAAATCATTTCAAAAATACATGATATTGGCTGGGCACGGTGGCTCACGCCTGTAATCCCAGCATTTTGGGAGGCCGATCACAAGGTCAGGAGTTCAAGACCAGACTGGCCAAGATGGTGAAACCCCGTCTCTACTAAAAATACAAAAATTAGCCGGGTGTAGTGGTGCACGCCTGTAGTCCCAGCTACTTGGGAGGCTGAGGCAGAAGAATCGCTTGAACTCGGGAGGCAGAGGTTGCAGTGAGCCGTGATGGCACCACTGCACTCCAGCCTGGGTGACAGAGCGAGACTCCGTCTCAAAAAAAGCACAACATATTAATACCTGAGACATTTTCGAAAACAAAAGCTCTTCAAAGAATCATTGTGCTTTACTGAAAATGTAATGATAAAAGAATGAGTAAATGAATGGAGTACATTCATTCAATGAGTAAATTCCACTGACAATCTGTCTTTTTCTATTTTTTTATTGTCAAAGCTTAAAAGAAGACAAAGAATTGGTAAATAGCAAATATGTGGTTAGAAAGAGGGTCTGTTAGTCCCAGCAGGAGTTCTTTCAATAGAATCCAAATGAAAGTTAGAAAAAATAGAAGTGGTTTTCTTCAATTCAATCCAATCCAATTTAACTCAATTCAGCAGACATTTTTTGAGTGGCTCTATGTATAGGGTCCTGTACTAGGTAATATTTTTCTTAGAAAAAATATTGGAAACAATGAAGATTTATAACAGTTTTATTTTAGATTCTTTACTCAGTTTTTATTTAGTCCAGTGTTTTTATTTTTTATAAGCTATAGGCAAATTCTTTTTTTATGGTTGCATTGAGAATATTAATATGTTATATATATTACATGTATTATTAATACATGTATTTAGCAGAGACAACCTTAAAAGTCACAGAACTATCAGAAAACTTGGAGTCTAAAGTGTATTTGGCAATAACGCAAACACCTATGTACTATTACACGTCTTCATAGCTTCCAGACTGGGTATTGGTATTCTTTTTGAATCTATGTGTGAATTATACTTTAGTAAAACCTCAGCCAAGACAAAATGCTTCTCCTATTCATCACATTGACTTGTATATTCATCTCTTATATTGCCTGGGTATTTGGGTGTTTTGTTTGTTTGTTTTTCCTCTCTTTGTGGAGGAGGTTTAACTTTTCTCAAAAATATCAGACCAAAAATAGAGATTTTTATATATGTTTTTAGAAGTTCGATAGATACACACATTATCACCTATGGTCCATAATGATAAATACATGAATATCTCTGTAGGTTATGAATACACTTTAAGACAACAATAAAAACAGTAGATTAAATAAATTAATCACATAATCACACATCAAATTGAAAATCAGTTGCGTAATGGAAACACCATAACCAATGAATGTCTTATTTACTTATACTTTTCAAGTGAAAATAACAAGTACAAAGTAATTTAATCATCCCTATATTAGAATTATCTGTGAATTGCTGTTCTTAAGAGTCAATATTAAAGACAAACTGATAATCCAGACCTGCTAATTTGTGCAACTTTTAATGCTCCTTTTTTCAGTTATTGTTCAAGAAAAATTTATTTTTTAATGCTGATATTTTTATCCTTACCATTAAAAGAAGAAAACAGTTTATGTTATGTAGTCACTTATTCAAACTCCAAACTATATATAAGTAGTGATTTATCAATACATAAAGTTTATATAAAGAACACATTATAAAACAAAAATATGATTATGATTAGATTTTCCTAATGTTTTCTCTTTCTAGATATTCTCTAATGAGCTTTGTGAGAATCATATTATGTATCCTGTGAAAAATTGTTTCTATATTGAGTCTAAAGTATAGGGAACAACATGTACCTTTATTTTAAGTCTCAGAACACTGTCCTTGATTCAAATAGAACTGTGCTCTGAATAAATATCTACACAATTTGAAACATAGCTCTAAACTGGTCCTCAGGGCCTAAAATGAGCTCAAATAATCATTTTCTTCCCCATTCTTCTTGCTCCTTTTCACCCCTTCCTCTGAACACTTAGGCAACTTGGTCTTCATCTGTGTTCCTTATAAACTTATATGTTACGATTATTTCAATTTCCGTTTCTCCTCCACTTACTCAATACCAACTCTAGAGCCATTGACATTTATTGTTACCTTAATTCTATAGTGGTATGAACACTGGTTGCATTGCATAAGATGCTTAGAAACATAGGCATATATAAAATACTCAGGAACTGTACCTTTTAATTGATATACTCCAGAGAAACAGAACCAACAGGGTGGGTATGTGTGTTTATTGGCCATTTTTGTATTTCCTTTAAAGAAATGTCCTTTGCCCATTTTTGAATTGGTGGTTTTTATTATTGCTGAATTTTAGAAATTCTCTGTATATTCTAGATATTATTCTCTTATCAGATTTGTAATTTGCAAATATCTTCTCCCATTCTGTGGGTTGCCCTTTATATCCATTGACACTGGGTTTTGATTCACAATGTTTAAAAATTTTTTATGAAGTCTTATTTATTTTTTTCTTTTGTTGTTTGTGCCTTTGGTCTAATATCCAAAAAAAAATTGCCAAATTTAATAGTTTTAAGTTTAACCTTATGTTTTCTTCTAAGAGTTTTATAGTTTAAGAAATTTTATTCATTTTGTGTTAATTATTATATTTATAGTGTTAGGTAGGGTCCAACAATAGATGCTGGCAAGGCTGTGGAGAATTAGAAATGCTTTTACACTGTTGGTGGGAATTAATTGTAAATTAATTCAACAATTGTGGAAGATAGTGTGGTGATTCCTCAAGGATCTAGAACCAGAAATACCATTTGACCCAGGAATCCCATTACTGGGTATATACCCAAAGGATTACAAATCATTCTACTATAAAGACACATGCACACGTATGTTTATTGCAGAACTATTTACCATAGCAAAGACTTGGAACCAACCCAAATGTCCATCAATGATAGACTGGATAAAGAAAATGTGGCACATATACACCATGGAATACTATGCAGCCTAAAAAAGAATGAGATCATGTCTTTTGCAGGGACATGGATGAAACTGGAAGCCATCATTCTCAGTAAGCTAACACAGGAGCAGAAAACCAAACACTGCATGTTCTTACTCATAAGTGGGAGTTGAACAATGAGAACATATGGACACAGGGAGGGGAACAACACACATCGGGGCCTGTTAGCGGGGTAGGGGGAAAGGGGAGGGAGAGCATTAGGACAAATATCTAATGCATGCGGGGCTTAAAACACAGATGATGGGTTGATAGGTGCAGCAAACCACCACGGCACATGTATACCTGTGTAACAAACCTGGACATTCTGCACATGTATCCGGAACTTAAAGTAAAGTAAAATTATTTTTTAAAAAAGAAAATTGAACATTTGAATCTAATAATGTGGTGACTCTGGAAATCAAACTCTCTGTTCCCCAGGATTTGCTGTTGTTTGTTATTGGGTGGTTGTTTTGTTTTTTTGTTTTGTTTTGTTTTGTTTTTCTGTCTCGGTGTCAAGAATCAGTCTGGAATGTAAACTTAAGTTCCTCTCAAGTCTTTTCTGAGCCTGTATCTTTTCCTGGGCAAGCGTAGTTACTTTCTAATCTTCCACGTATATGCAGTTGCCTTTTAATGTCCTAGTCTTTAATGTCTGGCAACACGAAGAGAAACAGAAAAAAATAAAGGGACAGAGAAAAGGGTTCCAGCTTTAACATTTTCCGGAAGTAACTTCAGCCAAAAGGAAAAGGGCTTGCAACAACATGGGGAGGTAAAGCAACAATATCCACCCATCCTTTTCTCTGTACTTGTGGAGTCAGAAGTAGCAATTAGTAATCACAGAAAAAAATTCCAGATATTTGGATGAGAAGATACCTTTTGCCCACCCTGCAGTGTGCCAACTGTATGGAGTTTGCTCTAGAAACATATGCACAGCTGCCATGTGACTGAGTTGAAAATAGGTAGTTGCTACTGTACTAGGAACTGAAATTGACTAAAACTAGCCACAATTTACTATCTAAGCCTTTCATTTTAAGTTCCATGCCTTTAATAGATTCCAGAGTCCCAAAATAGTATCATCAGACCTACTCTGCCAATGCAATCGTTTTCTCATTCGGGAGACAGATTCCTGGTTCTTCCTCTTCTGCCATATTGCCAAAATCCTCCCTCAAATTATTTTCATATACAATAGATTCTTAGCTCAATGAAATAAATAGAATTCTTTTTTCGTATTTATTTTGAATTCTGGCATTAGAATAATAAAATCAACTCAAAATTATATATGTATATGTGTGTATCTATATATGCACATATTTTATAGAAGCATAAATAATAGAAAATTAAGAAATTAAAATAATTGGGTGACATTTCTCTACTATCTACCTCAATTTTTATTTTAAGATCATGTCTATACAATGCTAAAACAAATGTCTTTGAACAATGAGAACACATGGACACAGGAAGGGGAACATCACACACCGGGGACAGTTGTGGGGTGGGGGGAGGGGGGAGGGATAGCATTAGGAGATATACCTAATGCTAAATGATGAGTTAATGGGTGCAGCACACCAACATGGCACATGTATACATATGCAACAAACCTGCATTTTGTGCACATGTACCCTAAAACTTAAAGCATAATAATAATAATAATAATAAGTCATGCAAAACTAGGTCGACTGAATTATTCACTTCTCAGTCAGTTGAGTTGGAATCACATAAGAAATCACAGGTTCATGATACTCATTGGCTCTGAAGGAACCGGGGTTATGCCATTGGAGTATCTTGTATATTCTGTGGAAGTGTATTATGATACTCAGTTCACATTAACTGTGAGACCTGACTTCAAGTGCAAGATACAGATGTGGATGCCTGTTCATTAACATCCTGAAAATACCCAAAGTTCCTCTGACAGTCAGATCCAGAAATTTTGTGAGTGACAGGATTCTTGCACACACATTTTAGTACTATGACAAAAAGACAATCTTCTTTTTTTTTTTTCAAGAAGAAATAAAATATTGAAACCTCTCCTTGTCAGAGTCAAACATGGACAGCGGTTCCAAATTATAATTATAACTAATTATAACTGAATAGTTAGCTGGGATTTGCTGAAGGCACTGGTCTGACTCATCTATCCACCATCTACTTCATGCTGCTGGATGAATGTCAATCTCTCAATTGGCTAAACTTTACATTCCCTAGGAAGGCTTACAAGGGCTTTCAGCTCACGTAAGAGCACACTGATGATTTTTGTAAGATAATGTCACCAATAAAATAGCCCTCTTGCTTGTGTTGAGCACCTTGGCAGCCTGTTTTGCTGAACAAAAGTGGACTCTTGCTGTGTTCAGTCCATCATATTGTGAACTGTGCAATCCACATTGCTTCAGGGGATGCTTTGTTAACCATTCTCTTGATTCCACTGGATGGCCCAATTACACATATTGACTTTCTGCTGTCAGGTAGATATTATTTCAGATTTCTAAATTATTGTTGGCTTAGAGAATGCTTTGGTAAGTTGTGTTTTACTCCTGCTCAAAAAAAAAAAAAAATGATAGTTTTACAAATGTCTTACCATGCTTACAAATTAATGTTCCAAACACTCTGGATCCAAATACTCAAGTGGTAGAATTAAACAGTTTAAATTTTACCAATCAGGGGGCTCATGAGTGTAAATACAGCACTTTGGGAGGCCAAGGCAAGAGGATCACTTGAAGCCAGGAGATTGAGACCAGCCTAGGCAACATAGTGAGACCTTTTCTCTACAAAAAAAATGTTTAAATAAACAATTAGCTGGGTGTGGTGGCATGTGCCTGTAGTGCTAGCTAGCTGGGATGCTGAGGTGGGTGGGAAGGTTGCTTGAGCCCAGGAAATTGATGGGACAGTGAGCTATGATAGCACCACTGCACTCCAACCTGGCAACAGAGCAACACCTATTCTCTAAATAATAAATAAATAAATAAATAAATAAACAAACAAATAAATAAATAAATTTTGTAAATCATGTGGAAGGTTTGTGCTTTATAGTTTATTTGGTATTGGTTTTATTTATTCTGATTGATTTAGTTGTGTTTGTAAGATTCAGCAGTGTCTATTTTTCTATCTGGTAGTTTTTGGATTTCCTAGTAATGGGCCTAAATTTACTGTTCTCCAATTTATATCTGGTCCTTTTTGTCATCTCCATAGTGAAAACAAGAAAATATAATTTAGCACTCTCAAAACAGATGCAACTTCAAGGAATTAAATATGTTTACTAAGTGATTCCCTAAAGGTTAATATTTGTTATTTAGAAGCTTCATTTAGCTTTTTTTTATGAGTCCAATTTGTTTAAACTGTTGGTTTTCAAAATAGGTTAAATGTACCCAAAATGTTCATTTAAGATTATCCGCATTGTTTCAACCAAATATTTCAAGCTTTTGCATATATATGTAGTACAACACCATACGATTTCATTTAAACAATGAATTTATGGAACAAATAATAAAGGAAAAAAAGTGCCCAACAAATTGTCTCAATTTCTATGTTTCTGATTCTTTATTTTGTCTACTCATTTATTTATTACAGTATCTTCTTACTTATTCATAGCTTAAAAATTTCCTTGGCCATTTCTGAACTGTATTATTTTATCTTTATAGATTCTTTTTTTGTGGTGAACTCATCCACTTCTACAACTGTAAATATACTATTCAATTTTCACTTTTCTACAGCTATATAACTATATGTCTAGGAGAAATTTTTACTTATATAAATTAAAGATATCTCATATATAAAACTGTACCCATCATCATTCCTGTTTCCTTTTCAACATCTCAAAGCTTATTTATTTTTGTATGTTTTTTATTTCAGCAATTGGTTGCTCATCACCCAAAAATTCAAGTCAAAGTTTCAGATTATGTGTTAATTCTTCCTTTCCACTCCTTTCTGATGCATAACTAATGCCTAGGTCCTGCCATTCTGACATTCGCAACTTCTCTTAAATACATTCACTTCTCTTTATCCCCACATTATCCTAGTATCCCTAATTCAAGCAATCATCAACTTACCACTAAATCATTAAAGAATGCCCTCCTGACTTTTTAATGATTGCCATTCTAACTGGCGTGAGATGGTATCTCATTGTGGTTTTGATTTGCATTTCTCTAATGACCAGTGATGATGAGCTTTCTTTCATATGTTTGTTGGCTGCATAAATGTCTTCTTTTGAGAAGTGTCTGTTCATATCCTTTGCCAACTTTTTGATGAGGTTGTTTGCTTTTTTCTTGTAAATTTGTTAAAGTTCTTTGTAGATTCTGGATATTAGCCCTTTGTCAGATGGAGAGATTGCAAAAATTTCCTCCCATTCTGTTGGTTGCCTGTTCACTCTGATCATAGTTTCTTTTGCTGTACAGAAGCTCTTTAGTTTAATTAGATCCCATTTGTCAATTTTGACTTTTCTTGCTATTGCTTTTGGTGTTTTAAATATTTAGATATTTAGATATTCCATATATATATACATATGGAATTCAGGTTTGAACTAGTGACAGTGAAAATGCCTATTAATCTTCCAAATGGAAATGTTCTGTAGGCTTAAGAAATGAGTGTTCAAGACAGAGCTTTAGTATAGAGCTACACAAGTGAGACTGAACAAAATATATATTAATATTAAAGCCATGAGACAAGATAAGTTCATCATGGACTGAGGATACAGAGTAAAAAGAGAAAGGGTTATGATTGAGCCTTGGTCCACTTCAAAGCCTATAGGTTTAGTTGATGAAGATGTGCCTGCAAGTAATACAAGAAGGAGCATTCAGCAAGGTAAGAGGAAAACCAAGAGAGATTGTTAATCCAATGAGGCAGGTGAGTGATCAATATTAAGAATGATGGAATAATAAATCAACACAAGTTTTATAAAGGTCAAATAAGATGAATACTGACAACTAACTATTGGAGAACAATATATTAATAGATGTCACTGGCAACATATATGCAAAAAAGAAATTCTATTAGCATAGAGTCTAAATTGAGGTTGATAAGGGCAAGTGAAAATGGATCAATAAGTTGTTATGTTCTACTCAGGTCAAAGAATTACCACAAAGTTTAGAACCAAAGGTTGTGTACTAAATGTCAAATTTAGATTATTGAGAGTTCACAGGTATTCAAAATGACAGTGTCAAAGTATAATACAGAATTGAGTGTTTGTGAAAGCATGAAAAATAAATCTTTGAAGGAAAGGAGGTCAAAAAACATTTAGAAGAATTGTCTATGGAAGTTCAACTCTTAATGCTTGTGACTAAAGCAATGCTGTAGAGAATGATATTGAGTCAAAAGCTATAATCTTTCAATGAAGAAATAAGGTAGAACAGCCTGAGAAATTGCTGATCAATGCAAAAAGGAACGCTAGTAAGTACAATTAAACAGAGGTCATATTATTCAAAGTTTGAGAAGTTTAGGCCAGAGGGAAAAAACTAGTCTGAATCTGGCGATGAGAACAGAAGAAGCCAATGTTTGGGATGTAGAAGATATAACAGCCCTTCCTTCAGAGCTAGTGCTAAGGTGTGAGCATGTTGCTTAAGTTACTTAAGAGGACTGTAGGGAAAACATAGTGACCAAAAAGGAGTGTTCAGCTAGGATTAGAACAAATAAAATAAATGTTCAGAGAAGAGTTTGAAGATACAGGAGATTCTGCAGATGCCAGATCATAAGACCCAGAGGGCACACAGAAAGCTTTTTGAATCAGGGAATGTTGTAAAATAGGATTGGATTAAGAAAATTACTGAGGCATAAATGTCCAGGTCATGAGAGATAACCATAGAGTCTTGGGCACCTAGAGTGATTATAATACATGGAGATAAATGATGTGATTAGATTAGTCCAGAGGCTACAGTCTGAGGGAGAAGGTTTCTAAGTCTTAGCAGAAATATGAAGAGCCCTTGAGATCCTGGTTCCCTCTTATTAATAATGCTTCTAATTCACAGCACACAACTTTGCCATTCCCCACCTCTTGGCTTCTGCATCGGGGGCCTGGAGGATGGTGGAGGATTGATCTTACATGAAGCATGGGAAATCAGAGATAACCTCTTGACTCTTAGGGCATGTGAAGTTCTGCAAAGGAAACATAGAGGTAAGGGAAGAATTTATCTTATCTGGAAGATGGAGAGTTTCAGGGCTACACACCCACAAACCCACTATCTCCACCCCGACACACACAGGGACACACACGTGCACTTTTATTAAATTTTTTTTCAGATCCTATATCTGCATTTATTTCTTCCCTATGTAATTTGTCAGAGGGAAGCAGAAGTATCTTCCCTTAAAAGTTTCTTTTTAACGGCAACTCTTCCCCAGATCTCTAGCTTGCCAGCCTTCCCTGCAGAGTTTGGATTTGCCAGCCTCCAGAATGGAATGAGCAATTCCCTAACATTTTTTAAAAATAAATATAGATCTCTCTCTCCATATTAGTTATGTTCTCTGAAGAACTCTGACTCATATAGGAATCCAATCTCTGTTATATTTGCTCTTGATGACTTTTGAATTTTATTAAACAATTTGAATTTTTTTTTCTGATGATGTACTAGTCCGTTTTCATACTGCTGATAAAGACATACCTACTTGGCAACTTACAAAAGAGAGGTTTAATGGACTTACAGTTCCACGTAAAGAGAGAGAGCTTGTGCAGGGAAATTCCCATTTTTAAAACCATCAGATCTCGTGAAACTTTTTCAGTACCACAAGAATAGCATGGGAAAGACCCACCCCATGATTCAATTATCTTCCACTGGGTCCCTCCCACAGCATGTGGAAGTTATGGGAGCTAGAAGATGAGATATGGGTGGGGACACAGAGCCAAACCATATCAGATGATAAAATACAGACTGTAAAAAACATAGAAAATTCAAATAGCACAAAAATGGCACTGTCAACATCTTGCTGAGTGCTCTTCTGTTTTTTCTGTGAGTTTATAGACATGTATACTCAACAACAAATTTGGATTATGAAATTCTTTTTCAATAACATTAACTGTAAGCATTTAAAAATGTTATTAAAATTGTATAGAAAAAAATTATATAGAAAAAAGATTTTTAAAGTTTCTGTCTTTAATTCTAATACATTTCATTTTACCATGCATAGCATACATTTTTATAATCAGTGTCTTCATTTAAAATATACAATACTCATATAGAAAATAAAATTACACTCTTTTGCTGTGCTGAATTTTATTATTTTAATTTTATCCTAAAATTTGTGTTTAACTTCTGTAAAACACTGTTTTTAATAGGAACGCTTTTAATATATGTTAAATTTATTGTCATAATTTCTTAAATAGTAGTAAATGACTAATTTTCTGAGTGAATATTAGTAAAATAGTGTCATAAAGATCATTAATATGACTGCCAAAGTGAGGCAGAAATACCACAGTAATAAAATACTAATTTAGAAAAACCCAGAAGAAAGATGTGTAATAGTACAAAAAGATTTAATATACCTCCACAAGAGATAAATTTTCCATGTTGCTCTTATAATCATTACTGTTTGGTTTTAGATTGTTACTGGGCATGAGAACCATAGTTAGACCTGCTGTAGATCCAGAAGGCTTAGGGTCCCAGTTAGCCTGACATTTGAGAATGTAAACTAACTTTAGCTGAGTCAGTGTGTGAACAGTTGCCTATGAGTACAAAATCAATTCATCTCTGAGTATATTATCAAGGACTGTGTCTCTTTTGCTGTTCAGTTAAGCTCAGGTCCCAGAAAGTACTTTGCATACATAGCTTCAAAGGAATTCACAGTTGGGTCAGATAAGGGACTCAGTACATAAGTCTTTGTGTTTGTCTTCTTTTATTATTTTCCCAAATCCCTCCAACCCATGAGCCCAGGTAAATAAAAATTAACTGAACAAGAACCCAAACTGAGACTATCTGTAAAAAGTAACTGAAATCTGCCTTTGTTTCATTATTTTTAATAAGAAGACGAGAAAATAAGTGGTTATCTTCAGCTTAACTTACCATCAAAAAAATGTATTAATCAGTTCACTTAAATGTGAGAAAAGCCAAACCCCACCATATGGTATCTTATTAACAATGCCATGGCTTAACAGTGAGTCCTAAATTGGGCATGGAGCCATATTTCTTCAGATTCTTGTTAAGTCGTGTTTCTAAACTGACTAAGTTCTTAGATACAGTGTATGAGAATCATATAATTACATTATTAAGCAAGTTCATATAGCAAGAACTAAAAGAACTTCTCTATATAGAGCTAGATGTTTTTTCCATAATTATACTTATGTATCTGAATAACAGTCATATATCTGAATCACTTTAAATTCTTCTTAATGATATAGCGTTTGTACAGACACTCCTTTGACTCAAATGTCTAGCTCACAATCATAGAGCTAGCAACTATACATCACAATGTGTAATCATGACTCAATTATATAGTCGTTTGCTCCAACATGATGGGAGAACTTCTTGATTCAGTGTTTCTTCCCCACAACTTCCTTTATTCTTCCTCACTGCAGAGTGCTACCTCAGTTTTTCCTTTCCATATCCATTTTCCCTATCTTGGCTACTTACAGTCCAGTTCCTTTAATTATTCACTCTTCTTGCACTCTTCTACTACCTTCTTCCTTAGAAACTACTCTTCCTCACCTATTGCTTGCTTTCTTGCTGACCATTTGGAAACTCCCTCATCATTGTTTATCCCTTGAATTATAATCTGGTTCAAGCGCTTGTGAAATTTCCTAAACTGCGATAGTTTCCTAACAACTTCAGCCTTGCATACACGAGACATTCTTTACACAGATGTATGTTAAAAACACAAGCCAAACTTGTCCAGTTCTCTTGGCAACGTTTAGTGATCCCCATTTCCTACAACATGTTTTTCATATTGTATCATGACACAGAGAGCCCTTTACCAATAGTCTTATCTCTACCTCTTTTGCTTTATTCCCAGGCACGTTTTTCAGGGTGACTTGTTATTTATAGGTTAGTGGAACAAGTTCAATCCAAAACAATCATTTATAGTGTTTCCCTTGAAAAAAACAGATCAAGTGTTCTAAAAAAAAGAGATTAACAAATCACGGCCGGGCACGGTGGCTCACGCCTGTAATCCCAGCACTTCGGGAAGCCAAGATGGGTGGATCACGAGGTCAGGAGATCAAGACCATCCTGGCTAAGATGGTGAAATCCCTTCTGTACTAAAAATACAAAAAATTAGCCGAGCATGGTGGCGGGCGCCTGTAGTCCTAGCTACTCGGGAGGCTGAGGCAGGAGAATGGCGTGAACCTGGGAGGTGGAGCTTGCAGTGAGCCAAGATCACACCACTGCACTCCAGCCTGGGCGACAGAGCAAGACTCCATCTCAAGAAAAAAAAAAAAATAATTTTAAGACTCTTTTTAACTTTAACTTATATCCAGTGAATATTTTATGTTTTCAGATTCTAAGAATTTTTCCATTCACATGAAAACGTCTGAATATTCTTTATTAATGTAATAAGAATCATGATAATTAAAATTGAATTCATAGAAATTTACATTTCAGCAGCAGTTGCTAAATTTCAAAAATTTGCTTACTCTTTACCATGTTTGGCATATTTTTGAACTTTTTTAAGTAGAAATAAGTGCTTTCATAACCCTCTTAACCTGAGCAAGAAAAAAAGCCTAAATCATTTCAGAATGTTTAAACATCGAAAAAGGGAAATTATCATAATGTTTATCATAAAGTATAAAAAGCTACATACAAACTTTTTTAAATAAATTGAATCATCAAACAAATTTGACCTAAATGAAAGGTTAATAATCAAGTTCTTAAATGCTATTCTACTTCATACTATTATTGTTAAAACTGCATTGAAAACTGCTCCAGAATTTAGATTCTTCATTTGTAAAATGGAATAACATAAATTTGCTATTTAGAATAAGAACTGAGAAAATGTCAACAGAAATTGTATATTAAATAAATATATGAAGCCAAACACAAAGTTATATAAACATTCTTTTCAAAATAAAATGTTGGCTTAAATGTATAATTGTATGAGACACATTTGGAGAAGCTTGCTCGGACCACATTTAAAATATGATAAACCACAGCTCAAGCCAAGAGGATACAGAAAAATCTATCCAAATTCCTGTATGTTAGACAACAGCTTGGACTGCTTGCTTTTTTGTTACAGATCTACCCAGATCTCACCAAATCAATCTCTTTTAATAGCACAGTTTGATAACAGTTCTGACAAAGAAAATTGCCATCAGCAACTACTGGCTGCCAAAGAATACTGAATTATTGTGAGGTATCGGCCAAATATATAAAATTTTAAAAGCTCATAAAAAAGCAATTAATTGGTCTCATATATCTATTTCTATTTTAATGCTAGAATTAACCATTTAATTAACCTATCCCATTAAAATAGAACATTCATATAATAGCTTCTTAAGTCTGGGGGCTTTCTTGCATGTGAGTGCTGGCTTCTTTTTCTGTAAGTAGGCCCAAGATTATCCCATTATGTCTGAATTCACTCAGGTTCCAGCCAAGCCAGATCTCTCTATGAGCTCCAAACTCAAGCATTCATTTATTCCACAGACAGCTGCTGTGTGTCAGGCATTATGCTAGGCTAGGTACCAGAGATAAAAAAAAAAAATGCTGTCAGCAGCTCCGCAGGAATATTTATTTCATAGGCTCTCCCCCAATAAAATGTTTCAATGATCAATTTGTTTTGAGAAATGTTGTATATGCTACCACATCCCCAAATATTAAAACCTGTTTTTAAAACTTTGAAAGCATTACAAATTCTTGTGGTTAAAAATGTAACCACACCTAGTAGAATGGTGAAAATGCAAAACACTGACAACACTAAATGCTGGTGATAACGTGGAGCAACAGGAATGCTCATTCATTGCTGGATGAAATGTAAAGTAGTATAGCCATTTTGGAAGACAGTTTGGCAGTTTCTTATGAAATTAAATGTACTCTACTATCCAGTCACCACACTCCTGGGTATTTATAAAAATAAGTTGAAATTTGTGTCCACAAAAAATCCTGCATGTGGATGTTTATAGCAACTTGTTCATAATTGCCAAAACTTGAAGGTGACCAAGATGTCTTTCAGTAGGTGAATGGACAAACTGTGCTACATCTGGACAATGAAATATTATTCTCTGACAAAAAGAAATGAGCTTTCAAGCACAAAGACACATGGTGGAAAACTTCAAAGCATATTGCACAGTGAAAGAAACCAATTTGAAAAGTCTGCATACTGTGTGATTCCAAATATATGACATTCTGGGAAAGACAAAACTATGGAAATGGTAAAAAGTTCCGTGCTCTTCAGAGGTCAGAAGGGAAAGAAGAATGAATTGGCAGTGCACAGAGGATTTGGGGGGCAGTGAAACTATTCTGTATACTACTACAATGGTGAAGACATGTTATTGTACATTTGTCAAAATCCATAGAATAAACAGTAAGAGTAAACCCTAATGTAAACTATGGACTTTGGGTGATGATGATGTGTCCATCTGGGTTCATTAATCATAACAACCGTACCACTCTGGTGGGGTTTGTCGACAGTTGGGGAGGCTCTGTGTGTGTTCAGAGGACCAAGGAACTCTCTGTATTGCCTGCCTCTCAATTTTGCTGTGAACTTAAAAATGCTCTAAAAATTAAAATTTGTTAAAAAAAAAACGATCTCACTTGATTATGGTATTTTTATGTCAAGAAATTGTTACTATTTCTTCTTGCAACTAATAGCCTGTGTAGCACATTTCTATATGATGGACCACTTAGTTCATATAATACAAAAATGAACCAATAATTTAATAAGTTAATTAAGACTCAGATATTTCAATTTCCAAAACAAACTACCAAAAAAAAAAGGTACTACAATCAGTTGTTTCAATAAACTGACTAAATCAAGTAAAGTATTTCATTGTGTATTCTCACTAGATAAGTCATTCATTATCTCTTGACTCATAATTTAAGCAAGAATGTAATCTTAACAAACAGCATTTTTTTATTTAGCATCAGACATCAGTATAGGTGATAGTCTCCATTATTCCATTTATTCAACAAAAATTTTTCAAGCACCAAATCTGTATTGGCAAACTTTTTCTGTGAAGGGCTAAAGAAGAAATATATTTAAGCTCTGCAACCCATATGATTTCTGTCACAACTACTCACTTCTGCCATTGTAGTGCAAAAAATAATCATAGACAATAATTAATAAATGGGCATGGCTGGGTTCCAATAAAGTGTTATTTACAAAAACTGGCAGTAGGAGAAAGTAGGCCTGTGGGGCTTTAATTTGCCAACTCCTGGTCTAGACAATAGGGATACGAATTTTCAAGTAATTGCCTTTAAATATTTAGAGCCTCATGAAGGAAACATATGCTTACATTTCATTGTTTTAACTGTTATTTTATGAAATCGGGAAGGAGGAAGTTTTAACCAAAGAAAGGAAATGTACAAGCAAAACATTTTTTTCTCAAACATCCTGGGTGAAAAGTGGCTTATCACAGTGCAAGTTGCTATTTTCTTAATTATTTGGAATCTCAAAAGAAGATCTGTCTTTGTCCTACATGTTATCCAGGAACGTATGGGGCTACAGATGATACTCATTATAAACTCACCCACTCACCTCCTACTTTCATAACAACTTGTGGTAGAGATATATCAGAAGACATGAAGAAACGATGTGAGAGGGAATTCATAATTATTATACTCTGCTAAGACCACCCACCGCAGAAAGCAAAACTGACGATTGAAAAGTGAGAAAGTTGCAAAACACAACAACAATGAGGCCTAGAGTTAAACAACAGTTAAGAGAGAAGAGTCCTTGATATACTCCAGGGGAAAACTCAACAGATTATCGTATGCTGTGCCTCAAGAGTCTTTGAGGAAACAATAAGGTTTTTGCTTCCCAAATTTGGTTCTGCTAATTTTCTTAAATGTGCTGGTCTGTAGATTTCCTGGAATAAAAATAGTCAAAATGCTTCAGAGTCAGATGACCTGTTAAAAGCAGACTGCATAATTTGTTGAAGATTTGAATAAGATTCAGAGCACTATGCATTTATGCAACACTGGCTGTTTATCTGTGAGTAATAGTTCTTGTGGGGGATACAAAAAAGTAATAATTCAGTTTCTGGAAACTTTAAGTTGGGAATATAGGATACAGACATATTAGCAATTAAATAACATAACCCACTGATATGGTTTGGCTGTGTGTGTCCCCACCCAAATCTCACGTTGAACTGTAGCTCCCATAATCCTCATGTGTCGTGGGAGGGACCTAGTGGGAGGTAATTGAATCACGGGGGTGGGTCTTTCCCCACCCTGTTCTCGTCATAGTGAATAAGTCTTATGAGATCTGATGGTTTTATAAAGGGAAGTTCCTCTTCGCAAGCTCTCTCGCCTGTTGCCATATAAGACTTGATTTTCTCCTCATTCGCCTTCTGCCATTATTGTGAGACTTCCCTAGCCATGTGGAACTGTGTGTGAGTCAATTAAAACTCTTTATAAATTACCCAGTCTCAGGTATTAGCAGCGTGAGAACAGACTAATACACCCACAAAGCCTGTATTCTAGAATATTTTCTCAGATGTAATGATACAATTATACAAATCAAGAAAATAGAAAAATTAAGTATCATTTCAATATAATTTTTGAAAGCCCAATTGGCAATTAAGTTTGAAAGTAAGAATATTTATAGCGTTCAGTAGAGGAACTCAAATGAAAATGAGAAAATATCTCATAATTTTGAGTTCAAGAATTTTCTGTTTCCCTATTTTACTAATTTATTGATTATGTTGTGTCCAATAAAACCCTAAACTTCACTTCTTTGTGTTCTTTCTGTGGTTTCCCACCCAGGTGCACATTGAATGCCTTACTGTTTTTACCACCATCTTGTGGTAAGATAAGGTAACTGCATGTAAACTCACTGAACATAACGTAAGTGGCAGATGAAGGCACTCACACCACATCCCCTTTGTGACAATGTGCCTGACAGTCAGTACACCTTTCAGGAACTTAGTACCTTACAAAAGCAGACATGGTGATAAACCTTATAAGTGAGAGGCTCAAAGAGGATTTTATAAGTGGAGTTGATTTTGTTTAATGCTGATTTTATATATACAATCAGTATTTTGAGGATACATATATATTCCCAAACATCTTCTGAAATAAGAGTGCCTATAAAGCTGTTTTATGTTTGCTTCTTTTTAAACACAGGAGGTCTCTTTCTCTTGAAGGGGATGAAGAGAGAAATCTCACTCTAACTGTGGCTAAATCGTGAAGGGACCCAACATAGATTGGTGATAAATAAGCAGAATAAAACAAAGACAAAGCAGAGGTTCGCAACTGGCTTGCAAAACAGTTAATCAAAATCAATGACTTCTGCTACTAAGAACCAAGAAAACATTGTTCTGTGGTTTTTAAGAGGAATCTTTAGCCAATGCAACCAGGTAGGAAGTCATAGGATGCTCCATAATACATGCCTATGGATACTATTCATTAAAAAAATAAAATAAAAATTAAGATAGAATACGTAGTCTTAAAATTAAAAAAGTCGATAT
Organism: Homo sapiens; assembly: GCF_000001405.40. Classification (NCBI taxonomy): domain Eukaryota; kingdom Metazoa; phylum Chordata; class Mammalia; order Primates; family Hominidae; genus Homo; species Homo sapiens. Next base: position 31,370,387 of record NC_000004.12, on the reverse strand, counting down.
TAATCTGAAATGGCAATGATAATAAAATACTACAGGAAACACTTTTTATTTTTATTTATTTATTTATTTTTCCGAGACCGAGTCTTCCTCTGTAGCCCAGGCTGGAGTGCAGTGCCGTGATCTTGGCTCACTGCAACCTCCACCTCCCAGATTCAAGCAATTCTCCTGCCTCAGCCTCCTGAGTAGCTGGGATTACAGGCGCATGCCACCATGCCCGGCTAATTTTTTTTTTTTTTTTGTATTTTTGGTAGAGATGGAGTTTCACCATGTTGGCCAGGCTGGTCTGGACCTCCTGACCTCACAATCCACCTGCCTCGGCCTCCCAAAGTGCTGAGATTACAGGGGTGAGCCACCACGCCTGGCCAGGAAACACTGTTAAGAACAAGATTGCCTTATGTTAGCGTCTTCCTGCTGGCAAACAGTCAGAACGGCAGGTACTGGCGTCTAGGTGGTGTTGCGTACACTCATACCACATACAAGTTCATTGATAGAACTGTGTTACCCATGAGAAGATACTGATTAAGATGGAGAATCAGTGTTATTGTAAATAAATTAACATGTGTGTAAAACATAAAAGCATAAAACATAAGCTCCAAAAACCACTTTAGAAATAATTTCATCTAGTCCTCTCATATTTCAAATAAAAAATTCAGAGGAGGTAAATTCTACTTAACTTTTTCAGTCTCAACATTTGGACTGATCAAATGTATGAGTATTTGCCAACCTAACAAGAGAGAATTGCTGTTCCATCTGTGACCCCATTGGGCTTTATGGTCCTTGTCTCTTGTATTGTAGTTAGCTTTAGATATAACTCAGATGTCAGTTGTTTTCTCATTTTCATACTCTTTCATTTATTCCATCTGTTTCTGTTCTCACTTCTATCTAGGTACAGCATTCCATAATGCTTTCAATTGTCTTTGGATAATTTATTCACACACACGCAAAAATATATTAGTGAGCAATATTCACTGCATTAATTCAGTTAACAAATATTTATTTGGCATCCACTAAGTGCCAACCACTGCTTTAGATGCTGGGGATAAAAACAAACAAACAAAAAGTCATGAGCTTTGCCCTGATGGAAATTATAATGGAGGAGAAAGACTAATGGAATAATCAAGAAGTTAAACCCATAAAAAATTATTCTAATGGAGAAGTACACACATTTTCAATGAGGATAATTAATGTGGTCAGAGGAAGCAAAAAATGCTTCCTTGAGAAATGAAGATTTAGCTAAGATCCAAGGAAATGAGTCCAACTTAACAATTTTAAGAAAGAGCTGATGTATATGTTGGAATAATCCATAGTTTGACGGAAAAACTGAAAGATGACTTAAAGACAGTGAATGGAAATGAATAAAGTGTAATAAATTCTCAATGAAACATTATATAGCAGTCAAAATGAATGATCTACAGCTATCTGCAGGAATGTGAATGGGCTTTATTAATATATTATTTAGTTAAAAACAATTATTCCCGTACAGAAAATTCTTCTTTGTTTCTTTTCACACCACATTAAAAGTGTAAAAATCATGATTAGCTCACTGGCTATAAAAGGACAGTCCTCAGGCCAGATTTGACCAACAAGTACAACACACACACACACACACACACACACACACACACACACACACTAAGTTTTATGATAGTGGCTACCTCTGGTTGCTGGAGTTGATAAATGGCGGGATGGGGAATGAGCTCATTAAGATGTAAGATGCATTCGTGTTCTAAATCCTGAGTTAGATAATGGATTAGAAAAAGCTTACTATGTTAAAGATTAAAAAATATAAAAACGGAGGACTATTCATGAACCAAAAATGATGATGTATTAAAAACCAGAGTTCAAATAAAAAAATTCAGTTGCATGCATTTAAGATCCAACATCCAACAACAACAAAAGAGAACAGAGAGAGAGAGAGAGAGAGAGAGAGAGAGAGAGGAAAAAACTAAAACATGGAGCAGCAAAATGGTGCTTGTTGAGGTTGGGGATTTTTTAGGCCAAATTTTCAATGGCTAACGTAGGTCTTTATTTACTTGTTTGTTTCTTTGTTTATTTATTTATTTAAAAATATTCACCTTGAATTCTCTTTATTGAAGGGTGGGAATGGGGTGGAGTGGGAGTGACATGGCCAAGTTAGCTTTTCCATAAAATTATTCCACTGTAGTGTGGAAACTCTTCAGAAGGAGACAAAAGTAAGTATTTACTCACCAAATATATACTCACAAGAGACTGTAGAAAAGTTCTGGGTAGAGTTGATAGTATCTGAGCCAAGGTAATTGTTGTGGAAATAGAAAGAATCTGGCTGATTTTAAAAACACATAAAAGGTAATAGATAAAATTTAGAAATGAATGTGACTGTTTGGATATGGACCTTGGGGCCTCAAAGATTTCATGAAGGACTATTACATTTACGGCGATTACAAAATTAGATACTTGGTAATGCCATTCTCTGAGACATAAAATGGTGCCAGAGAACTAAGTTTAGGGAGTAGATTATTTATTCATCAATTTACTCCACATTTACTAAATTTTGATTTGTGAAGCACAGCTGTGTTAAGTACTAAGATAGTAGAGTAAAGCAAATTTTCAAGTTCCCTGTTTTCATAGAGCTTACATTTTAGTGAGAGCACACAGACCAGAAATAAGTATGCAAACAAATAAATTGTTTAGATTATACCATTTTGTAGAGGAAATAAAACACCATGATGACATAGGGAACAGTGGAGGCAAGGAAGCTATTTTAAGCAGGGGGTTGGCAGGTGATTTCTCCAGAATGACGTAGCAGAGACTGGAATGGCAAAGTCAAGAGTTTTGTTTTAGATGTCTTCTGCTTAAGGTACCTTTGAGGAACCCAAGTAGAGACTAATGGAATAATCAAGAATGAGCAGCTAAAGGAGACAAAAAAGTCAGAGAAGAGATCTACAACCTCTGCAGAGGAGAAGAAGGGGAGATTAATCTCTTACATCCCATAATATATAGGTTTAATTTGTATACATGCTTTCTCTTTCTGTCTGTATCCCCAAGATAAGGCTGCAAGATTTAGCAAATAGAAATACTGAATGCTCAGTTAAATTTGATTTTAGTGAAACAGGGAATTTATTGATTGATTAACTGATTGTTTGATACCCATGCACTATTAGAGACATATAAAAATATTCATGTTTTATCTGAAACTCCAATTTACCTGGACATCCTATATTTTACCTAGCAACCCTATCACAAAAAGCACTTAGCACTACTAACTTCTCCCTTCCTCCTCTCTTCCTTCCTCCTGTCTCCTTCATTTTTCTCCTGATCTCTTTCCTTCCTCTTTCATCCCCTTTCTTATTCCCAGATTTTCCACAGGGGACTTCAAAATCCTTCCTCCTTCATCTTACAGAGTAATTCAGTTCTTCCATTTTCTGCCTTTTCTAGTATATCCCATGCCTCCCAATCAGAACACTGATTATAACCAAGACTAGACAGATATGGGCTGACCTACGTGAGAAGGCAAGTTGAAGGCCACAGCACACATTTACACATGGATAGGTGCTGGTGTCAATAAACTGTCAGTAGGTGAAGCGCAAGAACTCCATCTCGGATTTTGTCCATATTCCCTATATGTAAATATAGGAGGCACTTGACCATATTTTTCAAATGACAAAAGGCAAGGTTTGATCGGCTTAAAGTTGTAAGCTACTAAACATGTTACTGGCAACATTTTAGTAGAAACTTCATTTTTCTCCTTTTTCTGTCGAGAGGTTTAATATGAATAGTAGAAAGCAACAATAATAACAACTAATGTTTATTAGCTAATTACTACTTATGAGGCATTATATTAAACATTTCCTATGTATTACCTTAAAAGTTCCTTTTAACTTTAACAATGTATGATTCGTTGGCACAGCATGGTCTCAGATACGACAGAGTCTGAGGAAAATTTAGAGATACTTTAATTAATAATGAGATGCAATTAAATAATAATGTCTAAACATTTCCAGGGGAAAAAAAGGTGTTGAAGTATGATGATCATCATAGAGACAAGAAATATTACTAGAAAAGGTTTCAGCAATTTGCAATCTTCTCTCTATTAATTCCCAAACTGGTTGAGCACAGCTTCAACAATGTGTCATGCCTCAACAATTTGTTTGCATGAGAATCATTCACAGACCTAACATTTCATTTGGTGTGACTACAACGTGTGTGGTTGGTTGAGTAAAGTCACAAGCTACACAGATATGAGGAGAATATGTTATTAATGGTGTTAGTGAGAAACATAATTTAGAACTTAAAAGCATATTTCTTCTGTGCAGTTCATTGGGCTTTACAAATATTTCATTAAGCTGTATTACCCTGCTGTCAGAGGGAGGTGACTATATGGCAAATATTATAATAAACAGCTATTGAGGGGCTATTCAGATAAGAAAATAACACTGCAATTCACAATATGTGTAGTTAAATGAGAATAGGAAATAAATATATCTATTTACATTGGCAGGCTGTGATAAAAGCTATATTGGCATTAGAGTAACTTGAAGCCATATGAAGAAAATCCCTTTTTGGCTATCCCTCAAGGCAATCATGTGCACAGTGGAACGATAAGCCCCTCTGTGCAGAGTGCCACTGGAGCACTTGAAGTCATACAAATTGGTTGTAGTGTGGTCTAAAAAGTTCACCTCACCCACACCTACCTTCCAAAAGAATTTCATGTACGTGAAGCTGGTTATGCACAAAAATGCTTGTGAGAATGACTTTTTTGTAAATTTGTCAGATATTTGCTGCATACAAACCACCCCACATTTTAGTAGCTTACAACATTAAGCAGATAAGTTTTGCAAGTTGGTGGAGTTGTTCTTCTGGCATAGCCCAGTTGCATGTTTGATGGAGCTTACTCATGCATCTGTGGTCAACTGCAGGTTGCCTGGCGGGGGGGGTCTTGCTTGCTCCCCTGTGTTTGTGCCTTGGCTGGGACGACACTGTCTCCTTCACTTGAACTGCATTCTTCAGTATGTTAGCCTGGAATTGTTCTCACGGGTGCAGCAGGGCTCTCAGAGGAACAGCAGAAGAGCAGACGGCCTCTGAGGCGCAGGCTGGCAACCAGCACAGTATCATTTCTACCTCATTGAGTTGTTCAAACAGGTCACAACATCTGCCAAATTCATGGTTCAGGAAGAGAGACTATGTTTTGATGGGAAGAGCTGCAACACTCACATTGTAAAGGCCCGAGTATTTGTAAAGGAAGGAAGAATGTGTAGCTGTTTTGGAAATCTCCCACAGTTGTATAGTGAACATGTATTATCTTTATGGCACTCAACCACTTTTAAACAGAGGGGGTTTTTTTAGGGAATTTACCATGTTGTAAGTACCACTTTTACCAAACAAAAAAAAAAAAAAGAAAAGGAAGTCTGTTATGTGACCTAGACTTAATAAATAAGATGTGGCTTTGTGAGATTTTGACTTGGAGTAGAGAAGGCACTATGAATAATTCATTTCCTGGTGAAGATGGCAGAATATGGCAGAAAGACAGATGGCAATGAACCCATTGGTGGCTTCCCGGGTATATGAATTGCCTCTCTTTGAATCCCATGCTGTGGGGTCTCCAAAGTGTGCTCCCATGCTGGTACAGGTCCTGGCTGCCGAGCCTTTAAGCTAGTTTCCCTGGCCCTCCCAGAGATTTGGAGAATTGCTAATATCTCTTTAAATTAGCCAGAGTAATTTTCAAGGATTAAAACTAAGAGTCCTGACTGATACAGTAGAAACATTGAGTATATTTCTTCATCTCTAAAACAGAATAAATAATATACATTGAGAAACTGGTTCACAGTTGGCACTTAATAAATGATAGCTTCTGATGCTTTATGTTTTCTAAAAAGTTTTCATAAAACAAAATTTCTTGTTTTTCTTCTACCGATATAGCACCAAATCATACTGGTTAGTTTTATTTTATATTTAAGTGTAAGGCTCACACTTACTTTCTCTTAAAAGGTAAAATAGTTCAACTTTTCACTTATTTTTCCAGACAGAATATAACGTGGCTGCATAATATAGTAGAAATGTATTTGAAGAGAATCAAAGGTGAGTGCCTGGTCTCATTTCTGTCACATACATGATATAAGCAAGTTGCATTTTTTGGCCCCTACATTATCCATGGGGAAAGTGGCTGTCTTGTTCACCTCAGAGGATTACTCTGAGACTCATAAAAAATATTAGAAGCATAAAGACTTTGAAACTATGAACTGCTATGCAAACATAAGAGACTACTTTCTTAAAGAGGGATTTCTTATCTCCTTATCTATGTTATAAACAAATACCAATTGTGAAATTTTTAATATATTCTCAAAATTTATCTCTACCCTGAGCCTCCTTTAACATGGGTTTATATGTGTCCTCCATCCAGATTTAATTTAGATTGGTCCTTTCATATTTTGAATTGAAAAACTTGACATTTATTCTTGCATCCTGCAAAATAAACGTAGCTTACATCACCACAGGAGAATTGTCTTCCAAGCCTGATTTCAGAGGAAATATCACTTTTTCTTCCTGGACCTGGCACACTGACCTATACAAAGGAGGTCCAAATTAATGTAAGGTGATGATGACTATTAACAATAATAACACTGAAAATTATCACATTTATGGTGAGAATACAAAGTCATGAAATAATTACTTCATGGTTCTATCATACCGTATGTTCCTTAAGTAAATACTAGGAGTTTTCTCTTTAAATTTTTGACTTAAATCTTTCTTCTTTATATACTTTATAGTTTACAGTTATTTTCAACACTTTACTTCTTATTTTCTTTTATATGCTCCATGGGAGAAAATTACCTAAACAATGAACAAAAAAAAAATAATAATTATACATGGTTGACAACAAACAGAGCAATAAAATTATGTGGTACAATGAAAATTGAATTTAAGAATTGATTACATGAAGGAGTACAATCAATTATTTAAAAAACATAAAAACATAATACAATGTTTAAAATTACAAAAAGGAAATACAAAACCAATGGTAAGTAATTTATCAGAAGTGACACTTTAAGTAAAGGGCAAGTGAGACTTTAGTTAAACTTCATCTTCTTTCATTTATTTTATTGAAAATTTAGTTAATTTCTCATAAAATAACAAACTTTCTGTTTCTTTCTTGTTTTTAATTTTTTGATAATGGTTTTATGTTTTTTCCTAAACTTTTTTATCCATAAAATCTACCAAATTTTTGTTTTCATTTCAGAAATTGCTCTCTGCAAACCTTAAGTGGACTTCCAATTAGATATTATTGGTCTTAGTAACAATACTTAAAATTGTTCAATGGCCTCTCATACTTCTTTAAAAAGTATCCAACTCCTAAAGACAACTATGAGTGCTTACAGGAGGTCGTCATTGCCTACTGTTATCCTCATAATCTATCACTCTTCTCTTCACTCACCAACTTCACTAAACCACAACAACCTTTCTTCTACTCCACTGCACATGCCAAGACCTTACGTAATCTAATTCTTGTGTTTCTCTTCAACATCATTTTATTCTGTTCTCTACTCAGTATTTTTCAGCCACAATGGTTTCCATTCCATACCTTGAAGACGTGAAGACTTTTCTCAGCTCGCAGGGCCTGTGCTTACCAATCTCTCTACCTGAAACCATCTTCCTCCTTTTCTCATTATGTGGTCTGTTTTCTCTCAAACTCCAGATGTGAGCTCAAATGTCACATGTTCACACAGTCTTTTCTTTACCAATCTGTCCAAATCATCTCTCTTCTCACTCTCTCTCCTATAACTCTGATTATTTACTCATAAATAACATTTATCTTATTTATCTATTTGTTGACTTGCTTGTTGACTATCTCTGAAGAGGAAGTTCCTTGAGAGCAGGGAGGGTGCTGTATTTCCAGTGATATGCTCACAGCACCTACTACAATGCCAACACAATCATTATTTCTTGAACTGCTAATCTGTTACTATCCTTTCTGGTAATCTATATTTTGTGCTATCCTTTTGGGACAATATTTTCTCTCTCTTACTAAAATCTTATATTTTCTCTGAGACATTTGACTTATTAAGCCACCACACATTTTTATAATGTGTCTAGTCATTTTGATTACCAGGAGTCATATAAGAAATGAAATTTTTATTTTCAGATTTTGGCATATCTACTATCTTGACGTGCTGGATAGTATTTTTTTTTCCGGTAACTAACTTCATTCTCAAACTCTTCTGTGCTCTTCAGGTAGGAAAGACTGAAAACTGTTTTTCGCAGAATCACTTTTTTTTTTTTTTTTTTGAGACGGAGTTTCGCTCTGTCGCCCAGGCTGGAGTGCAGTGGCGCGATCTCGACTCACTGCAAGCTCCGCCTCCCGGGTTCACGCCATTCTCCTGCCTCAGCCTCCCGTGTAGCTGGGACTACAGGCGCGCGCCACCATGCCCGGCTAATTTTTGTATTTTTAGTAGAGACGGGGTTTCACCGTGTTACCCAGGATGGTCTCGATCTCCTGACCTCGTGATCCGCCCGTCTCGGCCTCCCAAAGTGCTGGGATTACAGGCGTGAGCCACCGTGCCCGGCCACGCAGAATCACTTTAATACAGAATTATGGGTTAAATTCCACCAGTTTACATGAGAATTTCAAGGCAGAAGAAAAACAAAGCCTAATATTGTTCTAATAGCAGCTATGAGCCTCTCATGATCTTTAGCACATAGTAGATACAGGTTTTCCTATAGCTCATGAGCTTTGTACAAAGAATTACCCACTTATTGCTATAGAAAACTAAGATTATCCAGAGTGGTTTTTGATATTTATTGTACTACTTGATTTCCTATCATTGGGGACAGTAGCTCAGATGATTGTACCCCAAACTTTTCAATGTGTGTGGGGTGTATGCGTTTTTATGTGTATGTGTGTGTGTCTTAACACTTTTAATTCATTTGATAAGTCCTTTTTTTAATACCTACAGAGTATATTTTTTTCTCCCAACTAAACAATAATTGCTTAATCTCCCATAAATAGATTTTAATATACAGATTCTGCTGCCAAACTTATAAAAATAATTGACTTGACAATTGTATGTACTGGCATTTTTATGAGAGGACACTGAAATATTCCCAAATTCACAAAGACTGGAGGTAGAGGCATAAGATTTGAATCTCTGAGGTGAAAATTATAGGTAGACTAGTGACGTGCAAAACCATAAATAAATAAATAAATAAGTGCAATTCAGGAGATCAGCAGGAAAAAACACAAAAGAGAAGATAAAATGGAGCAAAACTGACCCTACTTAGTTCATAACATTGAAGAGACTTCATTTCCTTCCTTCAGCCTGAAAGATATAACAGTTTGGTTGTGATCCAAGTAGACTGTGATGGAAGTTCTCCATATTGTGCAATAACTTATTCAAAAAGCAGGATATGTGATAACGTGGCTAAGTCCAGAATGCTGATGAAATCAAACCAGCTGACTCAATAGCCAAGTGGGCCATATGGAATACATTTCATGAGCTTAAATGACATTTTTTTGCACCATTTTGGCCAATGGAAGTTCTGGTGTGCATCCAGATATTCATGTAAAAATGGGCCAAGATGACTGATTCAAATTAGAAGTCAACTAGTCACAAAGAGCTGATAAAATCTACTCTCCCACTTTGTAGCTTAAAATTTGTGTGATGGATGAAATAATTACTTTTAAACTCAAGATCTTTTGACTGAGTTGGGAGTGCATCTATGATATGAAAATATATTATTCTACATGTTTATTTTCTACTTATGTCTAGCCTGTTAGGACACAGGCTCAGTGAAAGCAAGGTGTATTTTGTTCTGCTGTTAGTTTGCTTTTTTTTCTCTGCTATATTCTCATTACCTAGAATAGTGACTGTATTTGTTGGCTGAATGAGGAAATGAATTAGAGAATACAACTAGTTAGACTGTGAATAAAATTCTCAGTGTAAAACACACTAAGGGCTAGTAAAAATATTGAGATACTCAACTATCAAAGGTTATCAAGGTTTCTCTAAAATACCTCCCGATGGATACATTACCTTTAGCAGTTCTCAAACGTTTGGCCTCAGGGCCTCTTTACACTCATGGAAAATATTGAAAAATACAAGTGGCTATGGTGTATGTAGTTTATAAATATCAGTATTTACTGTATTGGAAATTACCACTGAATTTTAAAACACATGTATTAATTCATGTTAAAATAATAAGTCTATTGCATGCAAACATACTTTTGTAAAAAATAAGTATTCTCCAGAATAAAAAATAAATTAGTGAAAAGAGTGACATTGTCTTGCATTTTTTTGAATTCTTTTTGACATCTGTCTTAATAAAATAAAATAACAGCTGAATTCTCATATCTACTTCTGCATTTAACCTTTGTGAATATGGTGTATTGGTTGAAGTATGTGAAGACAATTTAGCCTCATGCAAGTATGTAGTTAAGAGAAAGAAGTATGTTAATTGCTTTTCAGAAACTTGTACTCCTCTTTTGTTCTACACCAAAACTTGTCAAATCATGGCTTCTTTGCATGGCTTCTTAGTTGCAATGTAGAATCCAAAACTTTATCAATGAACTGTTTACACTGTGTTGCATTGAAATCAAATGGATTCAACATTTTCTGTGAAAATACATTTTACCTTCACATAATTTTGTAACATCATTTATTGGTCATTTGAAATGTATTTGTTCATCGACTTATTAAAATATTACAAATGTTTATACATTTCATTATGTAATGTTTAAAAAGCATATTTATCAATATCACATCCAATCTCATCAGAAATGTCTTTACAGTGAAACTCTCAAACTCATGAGAGTGGATACATGTTTTCTAAAATTTTAATTTTCAGTTGAATGCTCAACTTTTATTATTAGCAAAAACCAGTGTTACCTGTTTTTCGTGAAGTGACAGGCTCACATTATTTAATCTTGAAGAAATGCTTGACAAATACGCAATTCTTAATAAACACAGTCTGTCAATCTGTCATTTTTTCAAGTATAAATTGTATTCAGTGAAGAAAAGCAAATATTTCAGATTACAATTCAAACAATTGGCAGTAATTCTCCTGAGAGCAATCATTATGAAATAAAAGTGTTTTGCATATTTCCTATTGTATCACAATAAATACTACAAAGATATGTACTCAAGGGTCAAGAAGTAATAAAATTAAAAATTGTTGCTATTTCATCATTCTGAAAGGAAAAAAATTATTTCCTCTATCCTTAAGCTCAATACAGAACTCTTCTGTAACCAGGTGTGTGTGGGTTTTTCACCACAGACCAAGCAATTCCTTAGCAGACGCTGTCTTAGTCCATTTTGTGCTGCTCTAACAGAATACCTGAGACCGGGTAATTTACAAAGATCAGAAATTTATTTCTTACAGTTCTGGAGGCTAAGAAGTCAAAGATCCATGGCACTGGCATCTAGTGAGGGCTTTCCCTCTGCGTCCTCATATGGAAGGAAGTGGACAGGCAAGTATGAATCCACTTCCCAAAGCCCTTTCAATAGAGGCATTAATCCATATGATGGCAAAGCCCTCCCAACCTAAACACCTCCCAACACTGTGGCATTGGAAATTAAGTTTCTGATGAATGAAATTTGGAGGACACATTGAGATTATAGCATTCCATTTGGCCCCCAAAACTCATGTTCTTCTCATTCTCCTATTTTATTTTATCCCAGTAGCCCCAAAAATCTTAATGTTTTTCATGCTCAAATTTTCCCACAGGTGTGGTCTGTAAATTAAACGAGTTATGTACTTCCAAACTATATTTGCGGGGCAGGTCTAGGGTAGATATTCCCATTCCAAAAGGGAGAAATAGGAAAAAAAAAGAAAGAAGTATCAGGTCCCAAGTAAGTACAAAACCCAACATGGCAAACAATATTAAATCCTAAGGCTTGAGAATATATATATACACACACATATATATGTGTGTGTGTGTATATATATATATTTAATTGCATGTCTTGCCACTTAGACACACTGGGGTGGGAGTTGGGACCATGAGCAGCCTTGCCCCCATGGTTTTGCTATGTGTGGTCCACACTTTCTCTCACACATTGAAGTTGTATGCCTGCAGCTTTCCCAAACTGGCATTGCATGCTGGTGGTGCGATAGTTCTGGGGTCCGAGGAGTGGCCTGACTCCTATGGTTCCTCTAGGCATTGCCCTAGTGAAGACTCTCTGCAGTGTCTCCATACCTGCAGCAGGTCTCTACCTGGCTCTGAGACTATCCCATAATTCAATTCAATTCAATTCTGACACCATCTACCTGGAGGTAGTGTCAGATACCACCTTCTAACCTCAAGACTTTCTACTTACCAGACTGGCTACAAACTGGAGTTCATGTAACCCCCTTCTTTGGGCTTGATTAGCTTGCTAGAACGGCTCACAAAACTCAGGGAAACACTTATGTTTACCATTTTATTATAAGGGAAATTACAAAGGATACAGATGAACAGCCAGAAATGGTTGGGGCAAGGTCTAGGGTGGTGCAGAGCTTCCATGCCCTCTGGGTGTGACACAACCCAGCACCTCTCCTCCATGTGTTCAGCAACCCAGAAGCTCATCAAATCTTATTGTTTAGGAGTTCTTTAGATCTTAATATCCAGCATCCTACCCCACCTTTCCTGGAGGTTGGTGGGTGGGGCAGCAAGTTCCAAGCATTCAATTCTCTAATCACTCGGTCTTTCTGATGACTGGCCCCATCCTGAGGCTTTGTGGAGCCTTCACCCTAAGTCACTTCATTAGTATAAATTTAGATCAAAAGGGGCTAATTACAAAGAACAAAAGACATTCCTACCACCCAGTAAATTCCAAGTGTTTTGGGTTCTCTGTGATAGGAACTAGCAACAACAAAAAAAAACAAATATGTTTTATATTATGGCACAATCATGCTCTCGCTTTTTTCTGTCAGAGTACGGAGCCGAAGAATATAATGGTACTACCACAGTTGGTACTAGTACCTTGATTCGTGTTAAGGTACCAGTAGTTTTACCCATGGCTGTTTTCTTACCATTACAGAAAATATCATAAAGGGTAAAAAGCAGATAATGTTTTAGTATCACTCTGACCCCCTGCTGCAGACCTCCTAAAAGAGTTTCAGGGACACCTAGGGGTTTGTAAACAGTACTTGGAGAACCAACACCTTGAGTAATTTATAAAGGTGGGTTTCTCAGTCATCTAAGATTAGAATCCTGACACTTGGTAGCATTAAAATCAAACTCATTTATATGAAGCAGGCTTACACAGGTTGCTAGAGCAGGATATGCACCTGAATGACATACTTTAATCACAGAAAGAAATATAACCACCACACAATTTGGTTGTCTTTTTACTGGTGTTGTCAGAGGTGTTGGAACCAAAGTGACTCCATCTTGAGTAGAGGCTGGGTAAAATAAAGATGAGACCTACCGGATTGCATTTCCATGAGTTTAGGCATTCTTAGTCACAGGATGAGATAGGAGGTCAGTGCAAGATACAGGTCAGAAAGACCTTGCTGATAAAACAGGTTGTGGTAAAGAAGCCAGCCAAAACCTACCAAAACCAAGATGGTGATGAAAGTGACCTCTGGTCATCCTCCCTGGCATGATACACTAATTATAATGCAGTAACATGCTAACAGATATTTCCTCCAGCGCCAACAGCTTACAGATGCCATGGCAAAGTCCAGAAGTTACCCTATATGTTCTAAAAGGGGGAGGAACCCTGAGTTGCAGGAATTGCTCAGTCTTTTCCAGGAAAACTCATGAATAATCCACCCCTTGTTTAGCATATAATCAAGAAACAACTATAAGTATATTTGATCGAGCAGCCCATGCGCTTGCTCTGCCTATGGAGTAGCCATTATTTTATTCCTTTGCTTTCTTAATAACTTTCTTTCATTTTATGGACTAGCTCCAAATTCTTTCTTGCAGAAGTCCAACAACCCTCTCTTGGGGTCTGGATTGGGACCCCTTTCTGGTAACAGTGTCAACAAACACCTGGGGTTCTTTTTTGTCCAGGAATATAGTAGGCTTACATTTCTCTGTCCTTATTTCAAATTAGGCGTGCTATGTAAGTTGTTTTGGTCAAACTGAGTGGTAGTGCTAACTGAAATGTCTTGCTAGTCTTTAAGACTCAACAAGTAGACTGATATACCATGCTTCTGCTAGGAGGAGCCAAAATTAAGCCAAGACCCTCCTCTTTGTGGATCATGCTGTCCCAACCCACTGCAGGTGAAAAATCCCCAAAGGATAGCAAACTCTGTGCCGGGACACACTTGGTACCTGCATGTGGATGAATAAGAAGCTCAGCCAGCCCTGCAAAATTCAACTCCAAATGGAAGGGGGGCTGGGGATTTACCCCACTCACAGCCCAGCGACATCATGCAATGCTGTGCACCTGATGCTAATACCTCCTCAGCTATACCCAGAACCGTTGTCAAGGGTGGATGGGAACATGAGGTGGCTGAGGACTGAGCTGGGAAAGGGAAGGCTATGTGGAACTGTGGCAGGCCAGGTCTCACTAACAGCTGAACGGGCAGGCCTGCATTACTATTTCAGCACTGACTGAGTGGTGAAGTTAAACATTAAAAGCTGATAGAACCAGTGCCCATATGCAAGGGCTGGAATGGAACAAAAGCCCACCAAGAGTTTCGCCCAGGCCTTTCCTTGGCCTTGAAGCATGACAAGGTAATGAAGGAATTCTTAACAGGACCTGTTTAGAATTAAACAAGTTTTATTGGGGGTCTGGAGAAACTCCCCAGATCTCCACAATTTTTATTGGGGATCTAAAGGAACTCCCCAAACCTCCATAATTTAGCAGGACACAAGATAAAGGTAATCACCCCTGGCACCTGGACCCATCTAGATTAAGTCAATTTACGAAGACTCCATTGGAAGGTCTTCAGGACTCAGACCTTAGTTATAGATAAGAAGTTAATCACTTACATCTTTAGATGAACACACACTTACACATAGATATACAGCTTAAAAGCTATATGAGCTCTGAAAAACTTTGTAACTTTGAGTTGGTCTAGTGATATTTTCCTGGTCTTCTCCCTGTACCGGGTTACAGAAATAAACTCTCTTCTTTCCCAGTTCATCTGCATCTCATTTTTGGGTCACCAGAATAAGAAGTCCCACCCTCGGTTCAGTCTGGGAACAGAACACGTGCCTCTAGGGTGTTGGGGAGCCTGTGGCAGAAAAACCCTCCTGGGAAGGGTGGGAGACAGGCACAAGTGAGCTAGGCTTCAAGTCCCAGTGCCTGGTTTGTTGTTTCAAGGAATTCACTTAGAAGATTCACTTTGAGAATAAAATTATTAAGACTATTAAGATGGCAGGTTTGGTTTCGCCTGAGTCTTCTCTCTTTGGTGTACAGGTGGGATGGCTGCCTTCTCACTGAACTTCACAGATATTTCATCTGTGTATGCACATCTATGGTGTTTCATTATGTGTCTAAAATTTCTTCTCTTTCTTTTCTCTTCTTGACATCAGTCAGGTTGGATTAGGTTTCACCTTCACAGCCTCATTTCAACTTAATCGCTATTTGAAAGGCCACCTCCAAATACAATCATGGATTAGGGCCAACTCATATGACCTCATTTATCCTTAATTACCTCTTTACAGTCCCTGTCTCCAAATACATTCTTAGGTACTGGGGGTTACAACTTGAACACAGGAATTTTGGTGGGACACAATTCACCCATAATAACATTCTCATTCCCACCACAGATTTAAACTCCGCTAATGTTCTGGACTATTTTCATTCATAAATCTCTGTCCCTGTCTATATATGTCTGTATATATCGATTTATTTAAACATATAATATAATTTTACAAAGATTATATGGATAACTTTTCCCTTAAAGTAAAATACTACCTAAATGTAAGTCCTCCAGGCGGTTCTCTTACAACTCCAGACTACCCTCAACTTTCTACCATAAGGTTTGATGTGCATTTTTTCAGTTATTTTAGGTATTTCACAAATGTATTTAAGTGCCCAGATATTCTTTATAGAATATTTTAAGGATATTTATAAATGTTTTAATCGCCTTTCAAAGCCATAGCTAGATCCAGAGCCACTAAGATCAATGGCTGTTTGCAGTTCCCTTATAATTGCTTTCAGGAAGTGTATGCGGGGTCGCGGGGGGAGGGTGTCTGTGCGTGTGTATATGTAGACAGGCTGGGGGAGAGGACTTGAAGGCTGTAAAAAGTCCAAGTCTGCTTTATTAGCCTTAAATAAAACATTTGGGAATGACCTCTTCATCTTAGTCTAGTTTTTTAAGTTAGAGCATAAAAACGCAGATTTGTTTGCTATTTGCATGAATTTTATATTTATCCATGTTAATTCAAATTGACTTTATATGTGTGAATCCATTAAGTATCAAAATTACACAAATATCTTTATTTTAAGTACCTCTTTAAAATCAGTTTATGTGTCAACTGCCTCAAGAATTCTATCATGATCATCTATCATAATATTTTGATATTTCTATCATGATCTATCATCTATCATGGTATTTCTATCATGATCATTCTATTATGATCATCCTACGATAGAGCTGAGTCTCTTTTGTGCATTTTCAGCTGATATTTGAGGCAAACCAATTTTAGGTCACTATTAACTCATATTTCTTTCCCTGGAGACAGATTTTTAAGAGAAACAGACTATTTCAGTCTAATAATCTGCAAAATTTAAATAAATAAGTAAATGCATACATATATATGTAAATCTAAGGTAAACTTCAAATTAGTTTTCAACAAAGCTACTCAAAAATTAGCCAACATAAAGTAAGAGTTGGTCCACATATGGAAACTTCATTTTATTACTTATTTAGGCATCAGTGTGTGAGTTGAACTATGTATATTTACTCAATATGTGTTTACTTTTTCTGCAAACAAAATAAGTAATCCATCATTTATTATTAATTTTAAGAGTAAATAGTTAATATATGGAATTCTCCATGTTTTCATAATATTAATCTACAAAACACTTTTTAATTGTCCTTAAGGCTCTGTCATCAAATTAACCAGGCATTGCCTAATTCATTTTCATCTATATATTTTTGTATTTAGTAAGAACATTCCTTTCTCTAAAGAATAGGAACAACTTCACATGGTTTTTATTGTGTTAAACTTGCTTCATGTATTGATTTCCCTCCCCTTTTCTATTAACTCTACAATTTTTATCAGTAGTTTTATTAATAGTAATATTCTCTTATCACCAAAAAGTAACAAGATCGACAATGGGCCTTTTTTTTTTTTTTGGAGACAGAATTTCACTCTTGTTGCCCAGGCTAGAGTGCAATGGTGTGATCTTGGCTCACCACAACCTCCACCTCCCAGGTTCAAGTGATTCTCCTGCCTCAGACTCCCAAGTAGCTGGGATTACAGGCATGCACCACCACACTCGGATAATTTTGTATTTTTAGTAGAGATGGGGTTTCTCCACGCTGGTCAGTCTGGTCTTGAAATCCCGACCTCAGGTGATCCGCCTGCCTCGGCAGCTTCCCAAAGTGCTGGGATTACAGGCATGAGCCACCACACCCGACAGGACCTTTCTTAATACTGTCATAGCACAGTTGATTACCTGTATACATCATAAAATGTAAGTTTAATAAGGCCCCAGTGGCTATTCTTTCATTTCTTTTTGAATGATTAGTAAGCATATTTTTAGCTTCTAAGGTTGTAGTATTAATTTAATTATACTAATTTCTTACTGATATACTATTACTGTTCACATACACATCTATAGCCAAGTAAACCCATTGCCTATAAAATATGTAAGCCAGACACACACACACACAGACGTAGGGTAGACATTATATAAAACATGTAAGCCAGACACACACACACACACACACGTGTGTGTGTGTGTAAGAATTGTATCTACTCTGCATCTTTGCCTACTAATTAAAATTCACGCTACAAATTGTGGTGCAGTTCTACATACTCAAGTGAGTGGTTCTCTCTCTACATAAATGGAAAATATTTAACCCAAACAGCAGTTCTCATACCATAGCAGGCATTCTTAATTTCCAGGAATTCAAGTATCCTTTCTTCAAAGTGCTGAAACTAGTTTTGATTACTCTCTGATTATAGTATGATGATGGCGCAGGCACAGATGTTTCAGTTTTTTTAAAAATCATATATCTATAAACATCTTAAATCAACAATATTTACTTTTTAAAATATTATGTAAATGTTCCATGTAGTAAAACAATTGCAAATGTTATACTTATGGTACATGTAAATGTTGGTTTCTTCCTAATTATCTAGTTGCGATTAATCATTCAGAGGTAAATTTCATACGCATTTAATTGTGATAATTTCACAATTAATAATTGCAATCAATAATATACAATCGCAGCTTTTTTCCTTGACTGCCATATTAGTCTGTTCGAGTTGCATTAACAAAATACTACAGTCTGTGTTTCTGGAGCAAGATAAATTTATTTTCTCACAGTTCTGGAAGCTGAAAGTCCAAGATCAGCTGTCCAAAATGACAGCAGGATTGGTTCCTCCTGAGGCCTCCTTCTGACTTGCAGATGGTTTCCTTCTTGCTGTGTCCTCATGTGATCTTTTCTCTGTGTGTGTGTCCATCCCTGATGTTTCTTCCTCTTATTATAAGGACACTAGTCCTATCAGATTAAGAACCCATCCTTATGACCCTATTTAACTTTAATCATCTCTTTAAAGGAACGATCTCCAAATCCAGTCATATTGGGTGTTAGAGTTTCAACATATGGATTTGGGGGAGACACAATTCAGTCTACAACAACTGCTCTTCCCATTTGAGCCAATTGTTGATACCATATAATAAGCTGACCAGACTTGTCTCTTTAATGGCTTGGATTATAAAAATTCAAATAACAGTAACAACAAAATGCCTGTGGCTCATCAAGATTGAGACGATGGGGTATCTACCAAGATAAGGCTGGTAGTTTAAGTTCCTCAAAAATTTACTGCTGGTGGCTGGGCACGGTGGCTCACGCCTGTAATGCCAGCACTTTAGGAGGCCGAGACGGGTGGATCACCTGAGGTCAGGAGTTCGAGACCAGCCTGGCCAAGATGGTGAAACCCCATCTCTACTAAAAAATACAAAAATTAGCCAGTCGTGGTGGCATGCGCCAGTAGTCCCAGCTACTTGGGAGGCTGAAGCAGGAGAATCTCTTGAACCCGGGAGGAGGATGTTGCAGTGAGCCGAGATCACACCAGTACACTCCAGCCTGGATGACAGAGCTAGACTCTATAAAAAAAAAAAAAAATTCACTGCTGGTAACAGGAAAGCTTGACATTAAGTCTTTTAAACTAATTTTATTTTTTTGACAAACTGAAAGTATAGCCAATTTTCAAGGATAAACTTATGTTAATCAAGTTTATCAGACGGATATAGAATACAGGAATTCTATTGATCAATTTTTAATAAAAAATATAATAATCCCCCAAGCTAAAATCATCATGTTGGCATACTATAGGAGGACAAAGAGATATTCTTGACATGTTTTGAGGATCACCAAATATTTCTATTATTTTTGAAAGCTTTGGAGCCTTTTCTACAAAAATCTAACTATGTGCATGTAAACATAGTATTTGATACACAATTTCCTTAAGATGTAATTAGTAAATCACATCTCTGTGATTGCATTTACCATGTGGCTGTTGCTTTGGGAATAAGAGAAGCTTGATTTACAGGCGTTGAACAGGTAAGCTCAATACCTGTTCACATAAAGAAAAAATATAGTTCAAAAGGCCCTGGTAAAATATCATCCTAGTAGAGAACACTATAAGCCCTGTCTGTATTTAGGTTATGCAAGACTCAGGCAAGAGCTAGGATTGCTCGGACCAAGGTAATAGTTTTGGCAGGATCATTAAAACTTGGCAAATGGGTATCTAAAACAAACTTACAACATCAAGGGGTTTATGGGGAGAGGAATTTTATTGGTGTTTCCATGTGTTATATATTATTTTTCTGGAGTAGACTGATAATGCTGAATTTTACCTAAGCCTGGTGGTTCTGGAAACATAATGGTTAAGAAATCTCCCCACCCTTCTTACTGCAAATAATACCCTTCTCCATATTACTTACCTAGGACTCACAGATGCTCTCCTTGTTTTCCTATGGCAAAGGCCAACAGAGTTTCCAAATTCCCATTCTTTGCCTCATAATTAGCTGAACTGCTGGTCTCTCCCTAATTAGCTGGAACAAAATGTGTTTTAGCTCAACTTTGGTTAAGTTTATCTCCTTCCTCCAGGTCCTGGGACCTCCACGAACTCTCAGGCTGAGCCAGCATACAACTCCTCCTTTACAGGCCTTCTGACAATAGGCTGCTCTCAGGGTAAACACTCTCTAATCCACCATCTGAACACCCCACCCTTCTAATCAGCTTCCCACAGCCAGTTTTTTAGTCTTGTTTACTCTTCCTTATAAAAGAGAAACTCTTTTTTCCTAACTCTTAAGACACTTGCAGAATTTTATGGTCACAGAATTCTCCCTATTTCAATAGTCTCCCTACTTCAACTGTTATAGTCATGATTCCCCTTATTGTAACAGTCTTTTCAAATAAAGCATTCAGTGGGTGCAAAAGTAATTGCAGTTTTTGCCATCGAAAGTAAGGCAAAACTGTAAATACTTTTGCACCAAACTAATATTTTCATACTACATCCTGATTTGTTTCTTATTTGACAAGACCAACATTATTCCTTCATTTGGTGTCCAGTATAGTTTTTATTATGTAATAAATCATTAAGAAATATTGGTTGGGAGAGTAATCAGTTGAATTGTCTCCACACAACACACAACTTAGCCTTTACTCTATTTTCTTATAGAAACTAAGATAGCATCTGATACTTACTAGTGTAGCCACACACAAAGAAAGACAGAAAAAGAAAAACATTAGGAAGGACAAAAATATATTTGATGATAGATGAGAGTTTCTCCCACAATATTATAGTTTAACTCATGCAACAATCTATAAGGTAGATGTTCTTATAATTGATATTACAAAAACTGGGACACTGCATTCAAAGTCAAAAAGCCAGCCTCCAGACTGGGAAAAAATAAATTTTTCTTGCTTAAGAAACTGAGACTGTTAATGCAACTCAAACAGACTAATATGGCAGTTGAGAAAAACAAAGCTGCCATTGCATATTATTGATTGAAATTATGAATTGCCAATAATTCAATCTAAGACAATAACCTAAGCTCTTAATCACAGAAATAAGATGTTTTCTAGAACAATTTGTTATATCATAATTATCCCAGTAAACTGCTAATAAAAAGTGAAGAATAGCATTTAACTTGATTTCAGGATTTTGAAGAAAACATTTCTAAATATGACCTCAAAAAATGAACCCATAAAAACATACGCACAGACTACAGAATGGCAAATATTATTGCTACATATTGTGTATATTTTGTTGTAATTGACATTGATTTTTAGAGTGAACTGTAATACCACAAAAATTATGTGATTTTTCTATAGTAGAAAGGTTGAAATACAAAATTATTAGTAATTTGTTTTATAAGTGAACCTACACATTCCTTTGGTTTTATTTGTTGGTTTATAATATTTTAATTTATTTTTTTCAATCCAAAATACAATGGATTCTTCTGAAAGGATGAATTATAAGTTTTAAGATATTTTAATCTTATTATAATTTGTTTCTATTTTCTTTAAGCCTTCAAATGTACCTGGCAGTGGTTCAGTGGCTGAGTGACGGAATTTGGCCCAATTGGATATTTTTATTATAGATATTAAAAGGACTTTAGAAATTATCTGCATTCTATTTTCTATACTTTGTAGCACAGAAAACCAAAGAGAAATGAAATCAAGCATTTTGCCAAAATATCCAGAAGAGAGTAGGAAAGTATAAAAGCAGTTGCCTAAGCCCATCTACACCCTTACTGTGCTTCAAACCTAATTCAGAAACATGAAATCAGATCACAGTTTTTCTTATTATTTAGTATCATATGAAAGCTATTTTTAGATGGCAAAATACATGGTGCCATTGAAGAAAAAAATTTTCATGCAAAATTGGTTATTTCCAAAAATGAAAATGACTGAACTCTGAGAAATGTTCCGCTAGTTACTCATTCACAGACAGAGGTAATTAAAATATCTCATTCACAAATGGATATTTCAGCCCATCTATTCATTAATGATAAAATTGGATCAGTCTACAGCCTGTCCTGCCAGTTGCCTGGCCGTCAATGTTTAAATAGTCCAAATGAGCTATTAAGACACAGTTTCTTAATAAAGATTAAATATGTTGTCAGGAGGTTTAGAAACATGTTAAATGGAATAAATCTGCTTTAAGAGTGAAAACATAATGGTTTATTTAAATAGTGCCTTTATCACTGCACCATATAAAACATTTTTGCTATCTACCAAATAGAATATTAAACAATATATTGGTTTTGACATATGTCAAATGTAAATTCAGATGATCAAGGATTTTAAGGATCTAGCTATGACAGATATTTAAACTTCTATTAGAGAAACATAACTATCATTGCTTGATTTTAAAAACTATAACATAGTTTTAAAACTACATACGTTTATGAAATTTGAGGGAGTACCACAGCTTTCTATTGCTGTGAAATACAGCAATGAAGGTGAAAAAATAAAAAATCAATAGCTAAAAAAGTAAAGGAAATTTAAAAATGAGATTAAATTATGAAAGTATGTAATAAATGGATTTATAAATTGTATAGGTTATAGAATTATATCAAAATAAATTATCAAAGTAAAACATAATTATTTAATACAGTGTATGTCTTGTGCCTCATAATCTGACATAAATCAAACCACAAGGTGGAATGTTATTGAGATTCTCAATGAACACAAACAACATTCATTATAAATATTCAACTAAAATGGGACTTGAAAAACATGCAATATGATTAGCCACAACAAAATAAATTCATTAAAACAAAAAAGCTTTTTTCTTTTTAAAAGAGTCTTTGTGATTACTAATTATAAATCAAAATAATTTCTTTCAACCTTTATATATTTTAATTTAGTATTAAAATCAGAAAAGATAGCCTGACCTGTTACACAAACTTTGCATGCAAGCATCTCCATCTTTTATTTTATTAAGCTTATATCTGCATGAACAAGAGATGAATTATTCTAATGATAAATTCTGATTAAAGAAATCAGCAAAGTAAATCAGCATAGCTAGAGGAAATATATATGTCTTATCATGAGGGATTCAAGTGAAAAAAATATGTAATTTTTTCATGAAGTCAATTGATAAGCAGCATAAATTCTAGTGTGGTTATTGTCTGATTTTGCATAGGTGAGGTGGAGAATAAGACACCTCTCTTTCAATAGCCAACTAGCCACTGGCTTTTTGTGTTTCTCCATTGACATATAATTTACTTACCACAAAGTTGACACCTTTTAAAGTGTACAGTTCAGTGGTTCTTAGCATATTCATGAGTTATACAAGCCGAACTACTACCTGATTACAAAACATTTTCATCACTAGTAAAGAAACCCCATACACATTAGCAGTCACTTTCCGTGCCCTCTATTCCACAATGCCTATTGGTCATTCATCTACTTTTTGTTTCTATGTATTTGTCTATTCTGTACATTTCATTTACATGAAATCAAAAGATGTGTGGCCTTTTGTATTTGACTTCTATCAACTATTATAAAGTTTTCAAGATGTATTTATGTTGCAGTATGTAGCACTTTATAGCCAAATAATATTCAATTGTATATTCAATATTGTAATTCAATATTACATTTTGTTTGTCAATTCACCAGTTGATGGACATTTGGTTGTTTTCATTTTTGGCTATTATAAATAGTACTGCTATGAAGATTCATGTACAATTTTTTGCATGAATATGTTTTCAATTCTCTTCTACATTTATCTAGGAGAAATATTGCTGAGTATTATGGAAACTCTGTGTTTAACATGCTGAAGAACTATCAGAAAGTTTTTCATAATTGCTGCATGGTTTTTACTCTTTCTACCAATGTATGAGGGTTCCAATTTTTCTACATCCTTGTCAACAATTGTTATTGTTTATCCTGATTATAGCCATCTCAGTGGGTATAAAATGACATTTCATTGTGGCTTTCATGTGCATTTCCCTAACAACTAGGATGTAAAGCAATTTTCATATGCTTATTGTTTATTTTTATATCTTTCTTGGAAAATGTCTATTCAGATCTTTTGCCCATTTTTAAGATTGGAATGTTTATCTTTTTATTGTTGAGGTTCAGGAGTTATTTATACCTTCAGGAATCTAAATTTGGATCAAATGTATGATTTCCAAATATTTTATCCCATTATATAGATTGTGTTTCTTAATAGTGTGTTTTGATTCAAAACATTTTTAATTTTCATGAAGTTCAATTTATCATTTTTCTTTTGTTTCTTTTGCCTTTGGTGTCATATCTAAAAATCCTTGCTAAATTCAAAGTCATAAAGATCTACTCTTGCTTTCTTACAAGAATTTTATACTTTTAGCTCTTATATTTAGGATTTTATTCACTTCCATGTGGTTTTTGCATATGGTGTGAGGGAGAGGTCCAAACTCATTCTTTTATGTATGTATATTCAGTTGTCCCTGAACCATTTGTTAAAAAGACTCTTCTTTCCCCATTGAATGATCTTGGAATTAATGTAAACAATTAATTGCTCAGATACGTATGGATTTATTGCTAGACTCTCAATTTTATTTATCTATATGTTTACCCTATGTAAGTAACAAACTGTTTTGAATACTATAGCTTTATAGGAAATATTGAGCCTGGGCAGTGTATGTACTTTATTTTCTTTTTCCAAAATTGTTTCACTATTTTGGGTTCCTTTCATTTCCTCATTAATTTTAGGATATGCTTCTCAATTATTTCTTTAAAAAAATTAACTGGGATTTTGGTAGAGATTGCATTGAATCTATAGATCAATTAGGGAAATATTGTCATTTTAACAATATTAAATCTTCTAATCCATGAAAATTTGATTTTTTCTAATGATTTGTCTCTTTGTTTTTATTTTTGTTTGTTTTGTTTTGCTTTGCTATTTTTATTGTTGTCATTGTTGTTTGTTTTTTGTTGTAATTTTTTTGTAGAGACAGTCTTGTCCAGGGTCGTCTCAAACTCCTAGGCTCAAGTGATCCTCCTGACTTGGCCTCCCGAATTTCTGGGATTACAGGTGTGAGCCACCATACCTGAGCTATTTATCATTTTTATAAACTAAGTGATGTTACTAGTTTTCAATATACAAGTGATGCACTCCTGTTTTAACTAGGTATTCTATTGCTTTTGATGCTATTCTAAATTGAAAAGTTTTATTTATTTAATTTTTATATTGTTTATTACTAGTGTGAAAATACAATTCCATTAGGTATATTGATCTTTGTTCCTACAACCTTGCTCAACTCCTTTATTAGTTCTAACATTTATTATTATTATTTTCATGAATCCCTTACTTTTTTTTATATACAAGTTCAAGTCATCTTAAAATAGAAAGGATTAAAGTTCTTAGTTCTTCCTTTCCAAAATGGGTTAACTTTTAGCTCCTGATTTTAAGGTAGAAGGTCTCAGTACTTCAATATTTTCTGCAGATGCCCTTTAGCTGGCTAAGAAAGTTTCCTTTTCTTCCAAGTTTAAGTGGCTTTCTTATTAAATGATATTGAACTTTCTCAAATGCTTCTATGCATATTTTGAGATTATTCTGAGCATTTTGTCCTTTATTGTATTAATATAGTGCATTACATTTTAATGATTTTTTTGTATGTTCAACATTGAATTCATGGAATAAATCTCACTTGATTATGATGTATAATTATTTTTACATGTGGCTGGATTTGGTTTTCTAGTATTTTGTTGGAAATTTTGAGAAATTTTGCATTTATATTTTGTTCTGAAGTGTTTGATTTTTTTATTAGTTTAAAAATGGCCTCATAAAGTGAGTTGAGAAATGTTCTCTTCTATTTTTTGGAAGAGTTTATGAAGGAAGAGGGTTGATTCCTCTTTAAATATTTGGGACAATTCAACAGTGAAGCCATCTGGTCCTGAGTCTTTCTTTGTGAATACTTTTCTGGTTACTAAATCAATCTTCTTATTTTTATAGGTCTTTTAAATTAATCTATTTCTTATAGAGTTAGTTACAGTAGTATATGCCTTTCTAGAAATTTGTCCGTTTCCTTTTTGTTATCTAATGTATTAGTATATAATTGAGCAGAATCTCTCCTTATAATCCTTATAATCCCTATTATCACTGTAAGATCAATAGTGATGTCTCCCTTTTTATGTTTGATTTAATAAATTTAGTTATTTCTTATTTTCATGGCTAGTCTAGCTAAAAAAATACATTTTGTTGATCCTTTCAAAGAACCAATTTCATCTTGTTGATTTTCTCTATTGGTTTATATTATTTATTCCATTTATTTCATCTTCATCACTTCTATTTTCTGTTTTCTGGTTGCTTTATGTTTAGTTTGGTGTGCTGGTTCTAGTTTCTGCAGGTGAAAAAATAGGTGATTTATTTGAGATATTTCTCTCCTTCTTTTAAAATATAGACATTTAGAGATATAATTTTCCCTCTAAGAACTGCTTTTGCTGCATCTCATAAGTTTTGATATATTGTGTCTTCATTTCAATATATCTAAAAATACTTTATGATAAGTTTTGTGATTTGCTCTTTGATCTATTTGTTGTTAAGAGTGTGTTGTTCAATCTTCACATATTTGTTTATTACTCAAATATCCCTCTTTCGTTGATTTCTAATTTCATTCCACTTTGATTGGAGAAAAATGCTTCGTACAATTTCAATCCTTTTAAATGTATTGAGATTTGTTATTTTTTTATTACAAATGACAGCTTTGTGCATTGCATGCCATTAACACATTTATAATTATTGCTTTATATCAAATAGGAAGGGAAAAAACAAAAAAAGTTAATGTCATTCATATTTACTTATGAAGTAAAATTTACTAATTTTTTCCTTTCTACAGATGATCTCAAGTTACTGTCTACTGTTCTTTCTTTTCAGCCTGACAGCTTCCCTTTAATATTTCTAGTATTACAGTTTGGCTAGGGACTAATTCTCTGTGGTTTGTTGTTGTTGTTGTTTTTCCAATCTAGAAATGTCTTAATTTCTCCTTTAGCTTAGAAGGATTATTTTGCTGGGTACAAAATTCTTGGTTGACAGTCTTTTTACTTTCAGCTTCAATAAGGCTTCTGACTGCTTCCTAGACCTCAAGGTTTGTGATAAGAAATCAGCTCTTAATCTTATTCAGAATTTTATATAGGTGATGAGTTACTTATCTTTTGCTGCTTTCAGTATACCTTTTTTTTTTAATTTGCTTTCAACAGTTTGATTATGAAGTCTTTAGGCATGGATCTCTTTGAGTTTGACTTAGTCAGAATTCAATGAGCTTCTTGGATGTGTCAACTTTTTTTTAATCAAATTTAGAAAGTTTTCAACTATTAATTTTTGAAACATTTTTTATGTCTCACTTTCTTCTTTCCTCCTGGACTCACATAGTAAGCCTGTTTGTATATCTGATGATGTCCCACATTTTTCTGAGGCTGTTCTCATTTTTTTTCTTTTCTGTTCCTTGAACTGTATAATCTCAATTGAATCTACCTTTAAATTTGTGAAATCTTTCTTCTGCCTGCTGAAATTTGTTCTTGACCCCCTTTATTTATTGTTTTATTTTATTTATTTTATTTTTTAACTCCAGAGTTTCTATTTTATTCCTTTGTATAGTGTGTATCTTATTACTGATATTCTCTAATTGAAAAGGTGGCATTCTTACACTTTACTTTTTTGGACGGGATTTTCTTTCATTCTTATATCTTTAAAAGTGAATTTAAAGTCTTTAGTAAGTCCAACAGGAGGGCTTCCTCAAGGATAATATTTATTATATAATAGCATTTGTCTTGTGTATGGGCCGTATTTTCTTTTTTTAAAATATTCCTTGTTTTTGCTGTTGAAAACTGAGCATTTTTAATTATTTAATGTGACAACTCTGAAAATCAGTTTCTTTCTCTTCTCCATGGTTGACTGTTGCTGCTGTTAGTGGTTGTTTTTGTTCTTGTTCTTTTTTCTTCCCTTAACTTTCCAGAACTAATCTGTTAAAGTGTGTATTCTTTGTTTTCTATGGCTAGTAAAGTCTGTCTGTTTGCTTAGCTCATTGCTCTGCTTATTATTCGACAGATATTTCCTTAGTAAGTCTTCCAGTCTTTGCTAAGAGACCATGAATGTTGTGGCATGCCTTTGACACTCCCGTTGGCAGTTGACAACTGTGCCTTAGCTTTCACTTCCTGCCTCCTCAGACTCTCAACACTGGCCAGAGTTGAAAGCTTCAGACCTTCTAGAATTCTTCCTGAGCATGGACCAAGCCCTATGCATGTGCAATATGCATGTCCTGCTAGATTCCCAAAAACATATCATAGGTTTTCAAAATCCCTATGGACATCTCATTCTCTTCCTTTTCCTTTTAAGCTTTCTGGTTAACTTATTGTTTGGCTCCAACTATTATCCACTACCTTAGGCAGCTCTTGAAGGTAAACAATTACCTCAAAATGTTTCAACATACAGCTCCAGGGAGACTTTTCACATTGGGTAAATCTGACTGAGTTCAAATAAATACAACCCGGCAAGCAGAGACTCCCAGGGAACCACCAGCCAGGCCAATAAATAATGATTCCCTGACAGTGAAGCTTTGAAAGAGCTACAGCTCTTTCTTCTCCTTCTGTTGGCTGCCAAGATGTTAGATTTCACGATGTTTATGGTTTATTTGTTTTCAAGGTTAATACAGAGCTAAAGAGAGGAGGGTAGAAATAGAACAAGTTAAATTGTCATAAGCCTCACAGTTCATACTGAAATTCAACTATTTTTCCTGAATATACTTATTTCAATGCCTGAAAGCCTTTTGTTTCTATCCAGAGATCTGAAAAAGTTGATTCTGGCCATTTTTGTTAGTTTTCTTCTTGCTTTCAGGGGAACAGAAATTTCAGAGTTTATTTATTTATTTATTTATTTATTTATTTTTATTTTTATTTTTGAGATGGAGTCTCTCTCTGTCGCCCAGGCTGGAGTGCAGTGGTGCAATCTGGGCTCACTGCAAGCTCCGCCTCCCAGGTTCATGCCATTCTCCTGCCTCAGCCTCCTGAGTAGCTGGGACTACCGGCACCCGCCACCACACCCAGCTAATTTTTTGTATGTTTAATAGAGACAGGGTTTCACCGTGTTAGCCAGGATGGCCTTGATCTCCTGACCTCGTGATCTGCCCACCTTGGCCCCCCAAAGTGCTGGGATTACAGGCATGAGCCACTGCACCCTGCCCAGAGTTTCTTAAACTGCTATTTCTCTTGCCATTACCTACTGAGCCTGTAGTTTTTCAAGACATTTACTTAAGTTCCCAAGCACTTGTCCTCATGTTACAAACATTTTCATTAAAAAGAAGAGCATAAATATAGTCCTTCACTTCCCACCCAATATGAAGATTTTGCTACCAAGAGCTTTTCTGGTCAATTTCCAAATCCCAGCATTATAGACCATCGAGAGAATGAATAGTCATCATCAAAATATTATCAAAAAGTCTAATTTTCTTCATTCCCTAAGATCATACAAATTCATTTATTTCCATTATAGTACTAGCATTTAGTTTGAAGGCAATAGCTTGGAGTGTGAAGATTAAACTGCTGCTTGATTGAATTACAGTAGCCAATTTTACTTAATATCTGGAAAGCTCAGTTTATTCATATGTGACACAAGGGAATCCTGGTTATACCTCATATTTTTTTGCTGCTTGGATAGAATAAACCCTGAATTCAATTAACATTATTTATTATTAATGTCTTTCCTAAGTTGTTCCACTTCTCTAATATCTTGTTCCCTCACTTGGTCTCTTTTATGACTTACTTTTCTCTTCTAGCCAAGTATTTGAAAAAGAAAACACTTTTAAAAGTGTATGTCATTAATCAGTTGGTTTTCTTCCTGGTCTAGAGATTAGTTGTTTAAATGGCTTGAATAGAGAGTTGAATCACTCCACAAAGTGTAGTTAAATGTGATTGTGTTATCTTTATCATACATTTCACCTATGTTTGACGTCATATACACAAATACATAAATAGAAAATATGGTGAGTTGTTTTTCAATCTCATTTTCTCATGTAGATCATTAAGGGAAGTAAAGGGTTATATTCTATATCGAATGGATTGCATTTATATTCTTTCATTTCTAAAATAGGTTTCTCTCTTTGAAATGGAAACAGTTTTCTAACTTAAAGTAGGTAATTACACACTCCATTAAACAAGTAATTAACAGATTACAATTTGAAAAAAAAAGAAAAACTTGAAAATGAGCAATTTGGATTCTGAATGTGAAGAGTAGTGTTATAATTAGCATAATACCTTTAGACATAGATTAACAAGTACACAATAAAAATAAAAAAAGAAACAATCTGTTTCCTCTATACTGATCATACACCACAAATAGCATTTCATGAGTCAAATATCAACATGGTTTTAAGAAAGTTTGATCTGAGACTGATTGTTATGTTACTCTAAAATTCAAAAAGATAAGGTTTTGATGTATAAAATGTTTGCAATCCTAAAAGACTACAACTCTTCAGAGTCAATATTTTAAATTGTCATTCTACAGTAATTCCCTGAGGCAAATGGCCAATGCTAGTAACATGTGTAACTTAAATTGGTAATAAAAAATTGCAAAAAAGACAGGCTCAGTGTTGTGTAAAGGTGGTTCATTTCCACTGCAAGGTTAAAAATGTGCTTAATGGGAATTCAAAGGAAACATGTACATTAAGTCTGTATTATTCTGCCTTTTAAGGAAAATAATTCATCCTAAACTGGAAGAAGGGACCACTCTCATTGCTAATTTGCTGTTTAAGAGAAAAAAAAGGCCAACCTGTGCAATATGGTTTGACCCCATCTCCATGCGAAAAAAAAAATACAAAAATTATCAAGGCATGGTGGCACATGCTTGTGATCCCAGCTTCTTGGGAGGTTCGAGTGGAAGAATCGCTTGAGCTTTGGAGGTCAAGGCTGCAGTGAGCCAAGATCACACCATTGCACTCCATTCTGCGTGGCAGACTGAGACCCTGTCTCAGAAAAAAAAAAAAAAAAAAAGGAAAGAATAAAGGGGAAATGGGAGTACACAAAGGAGGAGGGGTGAGATGGGGTGGGGCGGGAGTGAGAGTGCTGAGTGACTAAAGGCACCACAAACAGCTTCAAATAGTAGTCGTAAAACAAAAGTCCTCAAGTCCAGGTAATAATAACCAGCCCTGAAATAAGATACTTATTTTGTTCCATGCAAATAACTGGGCTAAATGCTGTATTCAAATCACTGCAGCAAATGTAAAAAGGAGAGTTCTTCAGGCCAGGTCTTCTAATGAAACTATGTTCTTTTCTACCTCTAGTGAAATCACAGGATGTACAGCGAGTAAGTCATTAAGTCTGAAATCTGTGCTCCTGGTTAAAGTCTGATCATTTCTGTTCTGAAATTTGAGCTGACCTTGTGAGTAAAAAATAATTCGTGTAATGCATTTCGGTGAAAAAAAAATGTTTATCAACTGCCTTGCTAGAACCCATATGTTGTTTTCATTCCATATTGAAAATAAACAAAACAGAACACTCTATAAAAAGAAATTTGCTCCTACAATGTTACAAAAAACAGACATTCAATGGGTCCAAATCTGCCAGCATGAAGATGCTACAGAGAATGTCAAACAGCTATTGACTTTTGAGTCATTACTTCTACATGAGAGTAAAAATACACTGTTTTTGTGTGCTACCATTACATTTGCTTTACAGTTATCTCAGTAAAAACAAATGCTGGTTTGGATTAAAATATCAATTGTTTTCTATTTAAGAATGAAATTCATGTCAGAAGAACTCAGTTAAGGAAGTCTACAATTTCCTTTGTAACAATATTTGTACCTTGTGCCATTACTTGATAAACTTCTTTTGTGATCCTATGTTAATTCTTAACTCATTTATATCAGCATATATGCAGTACTCTTCTGGAAATGTTTGTTTCATGGATATTAATACTCTCCTAAATATTTGTAACATGCTGCTGCAGATTCTAGCCATTACAACACATCTAATGTAAATGCTAATAATGAAAGAATTGTGTAAAACAGGCTTATAAACCTGAGTGATTGATCTGTGGGATGCTACTTTGGCTTGTTTTAAAAGTAGCTATGTAGTGGGTGGTCAGTGGTAGGACACATTTCAACCTGAGTTTTCTGCCCATAAAGAATGACCTTTTGGTCAATCCCATCTCATTTCTTAAAAACAGATAATGCATCATCATGAATGTCTTCTGTGTGGCAGATGCAGGATTTGTTCATAAGAAATTATTGCTTAAGTGCCTATGCTTCTTGCCCTAAGCATTGTATTTGAAATTGACAACAGTATAAGAAACATACCAGACCTTAAGCTCTTAGACATAATTCAATAATGGCAGCTACTTTTCCAAAGATCAGGAATACTTTGGAAGCATATTAATTTCACAGGGCAATTCCAGGTGAAAACTGAAAACGCTTTGATTTCCCAAAAGGTTACAGAGAGTGTTCTGTTTTCTCATTTCAAACATCAATTTTAGAAATCACAGGTCTTTGTCAGCTATTTTTGATATAGAAAAGTTTCCAGTATTTCACTAATATACCTTATAACTCTTAAGCAAATATTTAGGCTCTTATGATAGTGTTAACTTCTAAGTATAGTCTGGAGCTGATTATTGACAGAGACTAGTAGCTAAGATTTTCCAGGTTCCTTATAGCTCAGGGTGTACCATGTTTCCACAGAATCATCAGTACTGGTGGATTTTTATGATACATCAAACAGTCTTCAACCATCTTTACCTTGATTTAATAAGGATTTACAAAATGCATAGATAGATATTCCAGAAGCTTCATGTCTGTATCTGCCATTCATTTACAAATATTAAATTTTGCTAACATTTATGGAGCTTGTAATGGTTAAATTTTATATGTCAACGTGGCTAGGCTATCGTATTCAATTTTTAGTCAAACAATGGTCTAGATGTTACTTCACTGTGAAGATGTTTAGTAGAAAAGATTACTATCTACAATCTGAAGACTTTAAGTAAAAGTGATTACCCTAGACAATGTAGGTGGAGCTTATCCAATCAGCTGAAGGCTTAAGAGTAAAAAACTGAGATAACTAATTTTCTGTGAAAGAATTATTTCTAAATAATTGGATTCAGCTAAATTTAATATAATTAGAAACATCCCGATAGATATTTGTTATTAATTATTCATTGGAGTATTTATCAGCTCCAAATGGAAAGAAACTATTTGATTATTTGTATTTTCAAAAATGTTGAGAGTACTTTATATATGCTCAATGCCTATTATGTGCTACCATTACATTTGCTTTACAGTTATCTCAGTAAAAACAAATGCTGGTTTGGATTAAAATATCAATTGTTTTCTATTTAAGAATGAAATTCATGTCAGAAGAACTCAGTTAAGGAAGTCTACAATTTCCTTTGTAACAATATTTGTACCTTGTGCCATTACTTGATAAACTTCTTTTATCTCAGATGCCATGCATAGTTCTGAGAATGCAGAAGTAAAAGATAATTCAAAATCTATGGTGGTGTTAGTCTATTAGGAGAAATATTCATAGATGGTGGAAATATAGGAAGTATATTTGGAATGATGTTTCAGACATGGGACACCATGTGCTGGGACACCTTAAAGAGAATGAAATAATGAATTCGACAGTCATGGTAACCAACGTATATTGAGAATACATGGCGCATGTGGAGGATATTGCTGAGGGACTGAAATCAGACAGTCCACCATGGTTACATTTTCTGATCTGTATTTTTTATATATACAATTTAGTATAGTATGGCTATGTGTCCCTGCCCAAATCACATGCTGAGTTGTAGTCCCCAGTGTTGGATGTGAGGCCTGGTGGGAGGTGATTGGATTAAGGGGGTGGATTTCTCATGGGTTAGCACCATCCCCTCGGCGCTATTCTCATGGTAGTGAGTTCTCATGAGATCTGGTTGTTTAAAAGTGTACGGCAGCTCCCCCTCCATGCTCTCTTGCTCCTGTTTTTGCCATGTGACATGCCTGTTCCCTTTCCACCTTTCAGCATTATAAACTTCCTGAAGCCTCCCCAGAAGCTGAGCGGATGTTGGCATTACGCTTCCTGTACAGCCTGAAGAACCATGAGCCAATTAAACCTATTTTCTTTATAAATTACCCAGCCTCAGGTATTTCTTTATAACAATGCAAGAATGGCCTAAAACACAATGATAAACCAAAAAATAAAATTCTAAGCCCATAAACCTACTGAATGGACCCCTCTTTTGCCAAGGGCATTTCAAAGATAACCTGAAAAGCTAGTTCAGGCCCTGTGGGAATAGGTGTCCCCTTGCCCCCGCAGCCCCCCGCACCTCCCCACCAACATGCCTCATTATAACCTCCTCCCTTTGGAATGCAGGCACAACCGACCAGCATTAACATTAAAACAGAGACCTTAAAACTGACAGTGGTGTCTTTGTATCAAAAAAATATCAGCATGACAGATAGCAGGCCCTAAAAAACATGGAAATATTTTATCTCAAAGTATATTTATTTGACATATTTTGAAATGGTATTGCAAAACTGTCTTTTGCAGGGAAAATGTACATTCTGCACAGAATCCTTTTCCTCTTCCAGGTCTTTTCTGTGATCCAGGAGGAGAATTAACTAAGAGTCTGACACCTTTATAAGTCTAAAAAGAAACATTTATAATCTATTCTCTCTGAGGCCTGCCACCTGGATGCTTTATCTGTATAAAAAGAACCTTGGTCTCCACAACTCCTTGTCTTAACCCAGACGCTCCCTTTCATTGATTCCAGGTCTTTAAGTGATAATTGTTCTCTTTCAACCAATTGCCAATCAGAAAATCTTTGAATCCACCTATAACCTAGAAACCTCCCCAAACTGCCACCCCACTCCCAACCTGATATATAACTTACATGTATTGATTGATGTCTTATGTCTCCCTAAAGTGTGTAAAACCATGCTGCAGCCTGACCACCTTGGGCACATATTCTAAGGGCTTCTTGAGACTGTGCCTTGGGCCATGGTCACTCATATTTGGCTCGAAATAAATCTCTTCAAATATTTTACAGAGTTTGATTCTTTTTGTTGACACAATTTTGTATCTGGAAAAAAGAAACAAAAATGTTTTTTATGGAAATTGAATGATCTTATTCGTAAAATGACTAATATATAATATCCAATCCAAAATATGGTAGCTTTTTTTATTAGCAGTGTTGACCTCATAAAACATGATCTAGTGGATATACAATTTCTGGCACATAGGGAATGCTCACACATGCTCTGTCTCTTTACTTTCATGTCACTTCTATCAACTACTCTTTAAACTCATCATATGTCAATCACTTATTCCTGTTTCTGATACATCACATACACCTGAATATTGGTAGGTAGCTTTATAAATGCACACACAGAAATCTGTATCTTTTCAACCACCAAGCATTTTAAGTACCTCTTTTGATGATGTTCAAAACCCTTAGTGAAGTGATTTCTACATAATACTATTACTTCTAACTGGTTACATAACAAAATATGTGGCCAAATTACTAATATAAATAAAAAAAAAATTCAGCGGTATAAAAAACCCTTTGGGAATGTAAACATTGGTTTGGGAATTGGAAGATGTAGGTTTTAGAGCTAGCTATAATACTAATTACTGCAATATGTTTTAAAAAGCTCTTAAAGTTCACCATTATAAAATAAACAAGTTAAATTAAAAGATTCGTGAGGCCCCTTTTGGCTCAAATATTTCAAAATTGTGGACATTTATACTCTGAGTCATATACAAACAAATATCACCAAAAGAAATTATAGAAGATACTGTTAAATCACTGGTATCTAAGCAATGAATTTGGTGAAACTTTTAATTGTCTTGGGATTATAGTATCAATAAAAAGAAATAAATGTGTCATGACATTTTGGGGCATATAAATACTTGGATGTCTGAATAATGTAAGCTAAAAACCCAAAATCATCTCTCTCTCTCTTTGTCCTTATAAGGCAAGCCTCTTAAATATCAGAGCCCTCTAGTAAAGTCTGCAAAGTCAACAATCCATTCTTGGGACAAATGTTTGAGGTATGAGCTATGGCCTGAGATTCTATTTAGGAGAAAAGAGGTGAAATGATCCTGAATGCCTGGGGTCACTATTTACTTTCCCATAGTCAACAATCAGATAAATCTAGATTCCATCACAAGTAGAGATTGACTAGCTGTTCTATAGGTACTTCCTTTCTTTCAAACATTGATAGTACATTTCTTCACATGCAGTTTAACTTGTGCCTCTCTGGGTAGGAGTTTCTTCCTAAGGGAAGTAGTTGATTTACTCAGCAGTTGCGTTTTTCTTGGAGTACCAAATCATGGTTTGTAGTTCCAAAAAGTGGCTATTCTCCCAAGTGTCCCTCTATTGTCACAGCCTGTCCTGACATTTGATACCAAATGTGATGTGTAGGTTGGGCGTGTAGGTTTATTAATAAAATCTGTCTAATAACCAAATGTGGCAACAGTCACTTGTCTTAGTCTCAAATACTTGGAACAGTTGTTCCCAAGAACTGGAAATATTTCTACATTTCTAAGGAAATTTTTTTAGGTTTCTAAATCAAGACATTTGTTTCCAGAGCATAGAAAACTATATCTCCCAAATGCCACCAGAATAATACGTATAATTTGTTTTGAAACAAAGTATTAGTTACGTTTTTATCACCAATAGCAATAGATACATAACATTAACTGAAGTACTGTTGACTTCTTTGCAGATTTTTAAACTATAATAAAGACTAATTAACAAATGAGAATCAAAGATTTATATGCTTTACAATATTATGCCAAAATCGTTTTTTTAACAAGATTCTGTCTGTCCAATGACAAACATTTTAGTGAAACTGTATATAAACTTAGTTATCCAACTACTTTAGCTACTTGATGCTATACTAGAATTTCTTTTATCATGGATGCTAAATCATATATTTAAACTGATTAAAAGTTAAGAAAGATATATCCTTCTATCTCTCATTAAGATGTTTAAATTTAATGTAGTAGTTCTCAAAAGTAAGTCATTTACATATTATGCTTATGTTTTTGTGCCTTATTTGTTTACCAGCTTTACTATTTATTTTTATATTGCTTTTCTTTTTGTGATTAATAAATGATTTAAAAAGAACATTTTTATGATCATTGTAATAATTAATACCATTATGTCAGAATATTATTTAATATTAAAAAATTTTTAAATCAACCAAAAAAATTAGCCATTAATTTAATCAATGTAATAATTGCATGCCTAATAATTAATTTTTCAAACAGAATAACATGTTTATTATCACCAAATAATAGATTTTGAATCTTTGAAACTTAATTAACATTAATATGAAGCTTAATATAGTAGAACAATTCCATTGCTTTTAATATTAGCCTATTAATGATAATCTCAACTGAAAATGTACATATTTGGAAATTGGAAGCACCGAGTTCTTTTGTATTAATTTATGGTATAGATAATTCATTATTAGTGAAAATAAGATAAATGACTTTGCATAAGAAAATTTCCTTTAAAAAAAATCTGAGGTGTTCTCTAAATTTTGTTCTTCTGAATGTGTCAAGTAATCTGGTAATGTGTGAAATACCAGGGAACAAGAGCATGTCTCAGCAATACAGAAGTGGTGTTCATCCGGGAAATTATGTGTGAAGGCCACTTACTTTTGTTATCCTTCAATGATGTCTTTATAATGGTCAAAATACTTTTCAACAACTATTTTTAAATAAGTTAATAACTAAGTCATTCTGACACGTAAAATAATCTAACATGCCATGATCATGGCTTGATGACTGATGCTCCAATTTTGTCATTAATTAATTTACTCTTTCACTTGGAAAACTGATACAAATGAATTTTGTAAGGTTGTCCAATTGTGCTGACAGCTCTGAAAAATATCCTGATATAAAAGGCAGTCCCTAGTGATGCATACATCACAACGTATTAAAGGTTTTAGCCAGAAAACGAAAGTTGTTATTTTGCCTCAAATAGAAAAGGATGGATTTTGCAGCATTTAAAAAAAATAGATTTCACTACAAAACTATGTTTCTCGTAATTTCCCATTTCTAGATAAATATTAGAAAATATTTCAAGAGTTCAATGGCCTCTCTTTACTATGATTGATATATTTTTACAACTTTAAGTACGCTTTTCTTGCATGTCTGGGTGGTGTGGGGTAGAGGATGGTGGGTGTAGGATACCAGGACATTACTTCCTGTGATACGGTTTGACTATGTGGAACAAGCCCTCATTGTGCATCAACTGTGAATGTAGTGCCTTTCATGCTTATCCCAATAAGTCACTTCCAGATTATGTCATGAACTTATCAGTAGGTTTTTTTGTTTTGTTTTGTTTTTTTGAGACAGAGTCGTGCTCTTGTTGCCCAGGCTGGAGTGCAATGGCGCGATCTCGGCTAGATGCAATCTCCGCCTCCCAGGTTCAAGCGATTCTCCTGCCTCAGCCTGCTGATTAGCTAGGATTACAGGCACCAGCCACCACGCCCAGTTAATTTTTGTATTTTTAGTAGAGATGGGGTTTCACCACGTTGGCCAGGCTGTTCTCGAACTCCTGACCTCAGGTGATCCACCCACGTTGGCCTCCCAAAGTGCTGGGATTACACGCGTGAGCCACCACGCCCCGCCATCAGTAAGTTTTAAAATCCCTACTCCAGTTGTACTCATTGGCAAAGACTGGCAGAACAAAAGGTCTCCATGGTCTCAGTGTTTAGCACGTACATAACACACACTTAATACTAAGAGAACATCAGAGGATTAACTGACAGTGAATAGAATACATTTTACTATAGTCATGAAAATATTTACTGCCTTCAGTTTGGGGCTATATTTGTAATTTTATAGTACACTATTTCTTTTGACAGAAGCACCTTACCAGTTCCTTTGCTTGTATTGACCCAATTTATTATTTAAAACGTCTTCGCAGCATATTTAGTGTTTATTTACTATGACTCCAGAAACTATAAGCTTCACAAGTTAATAAAATATAATAAATAAATATTCTTATATTTTTATTGAATTGGAATGCTAAAAAATTTCTAAAATTCTGGGATATCATTTTCTTTTTCTTTTCTTCTTTGGAAGTTTTACAACAGTCTTTGAGGTCAGACACTATAATATCAAATTGTGTGTCTGTGAGTGTGGGTCATTTCAGAATGTAGAAGCATGTCTAAACCTAAAGGAATTAGTTTGCTTTTGTTTATGACTTCATGAAAATTTTGATTTCAAATGCTTTTTCATAATATTTTGAATATTTGCTTTGCAGCTGATACTTTTACAATATTAACAGAAAACTAAGATTATCAATTAACGTGTCTCTTTGAAGACATAAAGATTTAATCACAATCAAACCTGACAATGCTAATAGTAGTAGGAGTAGCAGCTACAATTTAATATGTATACTATATGTCTGATATTATTCTGAATATGTTAATTCCATTGAAGTTTTTTAGCACTCATGATATATTTAAGTAACTTCCACTTGTATGCATTAACAGTCCTGTTTTAAAAAAAAATATTATCCAAAACAGGTTCAATAAAGAACAAATTAACACAAAAAGATAAAAACTTATGTGTATTTGTTACATACATGTTTTATTATAAGTTTTGTTATACAGATACTCCTTGACTTACAATGGGATTATGTCTTGACAAACTTATCATAAGTCAAAAATATTGTAAGTTGAAAATGCTTTTAGTACCCCAACAAACCCATTGTAAAGTTAAAAAACTGTAAGTCAAACCACCATTAAGTCAGCACCATCTATATATATGTATCTGTGTATATGAATGTGTACATACATGCATAGTATATTAATATATTAATTATATATTAATTATTATTATATATTATATTAATATATATTAATTAGATATAAAATATATTTTAATTATATTAATATATATGATGTGCGTGTATTGCTATAGTCTGAATGTTTGTGTCCCCTCCAAAATTTATATGTCAAAACCCAGTTCCCAATGCAATAGTATTAGGAGATGCAGACTTTAGGAGATGATTGGCTCATGAGGGCTGAGACCTCATCAATGAAATTTGTGCCCTTATAAAAGAGTCCTCAAGCCTCTTCTGCCCTGTGAGGATGCATAGAGAAGATGCCTCTTATGAAACAGAAAACAATTCTTACCAGACACTGAATATGTCAGCGCCTTGATCTTGGACTTCCCAGCCTCCAGAACTGTTTGAAATAAATTTTAGTTGTTTATAAGCAACCCAGTTTATGGTATGTTCTTATAACAGCCCAGATGAACTAAGGGGTGTGTGCGTGTGTGTGTGTGTGTGTGTGTGTGTGTGTGTCTTGAAAACAGCACACATACTTATTTTGTTTATACATATTTAGCAGGCTTAATATTAACTTCCTGAAGTGGAGTTCCAATACTCTGAAGAAAAAACTAAGATAAAATACATGTCAGTTAAGTATATGAAATCCCATGCCTCCAGTTTATATGATCCTACTATCTATACTTATAAACTACGATGATAACACTTTCAGTTTTGTCGGTTCAACCCCTTCATTGGTTTTCTGAGCGCCACATCTGTAATTCACTTGATCATCCTAAGGCAGATTACTATGCCACTGCTTACTGGAGCATCATCCTAAACCAGCAAAACCAAGCAATATTCTATGTTTAGTGTGTTGGTTATATTTTTCTAATGTGCATGGAAGCAAATACCCAAATACTAGAATAATTACTACATACCTACCAGATTAAGCTTTCATAAAATTAAGATTTCATATAGGTAATTTCACAAATTACCTATAAAATTATGGTAATAATTAGAGGTACTCTTTTTGAGCTGAGAGAATATAATATTTTCACTTCATCTATCCTTATCACTTGGTATGTCAACAGTGCCTTTGGTTGTTGTTAATGCTCGCGTTATCCCCTTGAGAATAAGAAAATGATGGGGATCGGGGGGGTAGGATTGCAAGAGAAGGAACTACAGAAAAGCTCAAAGTTACATTGCAGAAAGACTCTGTAAAAAAAAAAATACACAAATAAGAATATATGGATATTGCAGCTGTTAGTACCAGAACTGATGACTGTACATAAAACATTGAAGCAAGTGAATATTTTATTCTCTCCTCTCTGACTTTCTAAAATGATACAGAAGCTTGCATGTTCTGGGCACTATTCCCAGAAGTATTGCATTTTCTCCCCAAATCCACAGATGCTCTTCTGGGAACGAGGTGGCAGCACTGACAACACAAATGAGCTGACAGTGTGCAACCATTCCTGGAAGCACTGCCTTCTGGAGATGAGACTTTCAAGAAAAAAACACTAAATTTAATTCAATAAAAAAACACCCACTAAATTTTAATTCCATTCTGTTCTTCACATATCCTACATATTTTAAAAATTCACAGATTACTATTAGGTGAGAGGGAAAAGCTAGTTGCGGTTCTTTGGAGAAATTGCTAATATATTTTTTGAAACTGGAGACATGATGGTTTGAGTTACTGAAGACTGGAGTTTCTGAGGCACCATACAAATAAAAACTGGAAAGAGTCATTTAACCACCAACAGATCCATTTTATTACCCTTTGCAGGAGCATACCACACTGCAAAGTGCTTACTTTAAAACTAAAACAGTTATTGATAATACAGAAAATACAGTCCTTTGTTATCATAACTTGTATTTTGTAGTGATTTTATCTCAGATTCATAGGTTAATAATTTTTCAAAGTAATCTTAGTATTTATGGACCAACTTTTTCATTTTATAAATCCTTAGAGATAAAGTGACTTACTCAGGATAAGCCAGCCATGACACAAATGGAACTCTCCCAAATTCAAAGGCAATATTTCACTTTTATCAATTTCTAAAGGCCAGGCATAGTGGCTCACACCTTTAATCCCAACACTTTGGGAGGCCTGGGCTCAAGGATCACCTGAGCCCAGGAGTTCAAGACCAGCCTGCACAACATAGTGAGACCTCATCTCTACTAGAAATAAAACAATTAGCCGGTGTGGTGGTGCACACCTGTAGTCCCAGTTGCTTGGGAGGCTGAGCTGGGAGGATCACTTGAGCCCAGGAGGTCAAGGCTACATTGAGCTATGATTGTGCCTCTGCAGTCCAGATTTGAAGACAGAATAAGACCCTCTCAAGAAAGAATGAGAGAGAGAGAGAGAGAGAGAGAGAGAGAGAAAGAATTTCCAAAGAGTTTCAAATTTGTCTCATCTGAGAAATCTAGAGACCCTGCAGAGGTATTATTATTCTTTTTTTCAAATAAGAAAATGGAAGCCCAAACCATTTAAAGAAATTGCTTTACAACATATATTTAGTAGGATAACAAAACTTAAACCCACAATACAAGATTCTCTCTATATGATAAATACAATTGACCCTTGAGCAACACAGGGGTTGGGGCACTGATTCCCTGTGGCTAAAAATCCACATATAACTTTTGACTCCCCCAAAACTTAACTACTAATGCCCTGCTGTTGATCAGAAACCTTACCAATAATATAAACAGTCGATTAACACATATTTTGTATGTATTATATGTCATATCCTGTGTTCTCATAATAAAGTAAGCCATAGAAAAGAAAATGTTAGCAAGAAAATTATAAGGAAGAGAAAATACATTTACTATACTATACTGCATTTATCGATACTGTAAATTTACATCATTTGTTTACAAGATGAATTGTCTGAAATGGGGCAACCTCAGCTGCAGATCTCAATGTATGGTGTATATCGAATGATTCAACTTTTTCTTGTTATGTCATGACATTTTTCTGCTTCCTGAGAGCACTCCCAGCATCACTAGTGGCACTTCGTGCTGGTCCCATGGTGTTATTCAAAGTTTATGATACTGCACTAAACATGGTGAAAAACAAACAATAGGCCAGCACGGTGGCTCACACCTATAATCCCAGCACTTTGGGAGGCCGAGCTGAGTCAGGTGGATCATGAGGTCAGGAGTTCAAGAACAGTGTGACCAATATGGTGAAACCCCGTCTCTAATAAAAATACAAAAATTAGCCCGATGTGGTGGCAGGTGCCTGTAATCCCAGCTGCTCCGGAAGCTGAGGCAGGAGAATTGCTTGAACCTAGGTGGCAGAGGTTACAGTGAGCCGAGATCATGCTACTGCACTCCAGCCTGGGTGACAGAGTGAGACCCTGTCTCCACACACACAAAAAAAATAATAAATAAATAAAAAATAAACCCTAGAGATTACTTTTTACTGCAATAAATAATTTACTGGAAAGGAACTTCTCACGTGGAGCTGATTAGCACCATACACACCACACTGTTTTAAGTAGATACTCGCAATACTTGAGCTCACCACACCAGCAACCAGAGGTGGGTACAAAATTTTTATAGTAGTACAGTATAGACTACAGTTAATTTTATGCAGTTATAATTGTATACTGCATGGTTACATTTGTTTACATTTCTCTCAGCTGTAAATGGTACCATGTGCAATCTGTAAATGTGTGTGTAGATTTTGATAAAATTTAACTTTTTATAGTATATTTGTGTACCACATTCTTTTGTAGTAAATGATAAAATCAACTAGTATCTACATATATTTTATGAATTCATGACATATCTGAATTTTTCTTATTCTTTTGATATGTCTAGCCTACTCAGTTCATCTGCAAGTATTTTTCAAATTGTTATAATTCTGAAAAAATTTCAAAATATATTCATTTTTTAAAAATATGTGTATAAGGGGACCCATGTAGTTTAAACTCTTGTTTTATTGTCAACTATATTTACTCTTAAAGTAGAAAATTATTTTTCCTAATATTTTCTACCTAATATTTTTGTCAAGTTACATGAAAGGAAGTTCTCTGATGTTGTTTGGATGTGTCCCCACCCAAATCTCATTTTGAATTTGCACCTGTTGTGGGAGGAACCTGGTGGAAGGTAATTGAATCATGGGGGCAAGTCTTTCCCATGCTGTTCTCGTAATAGTGAATAAGTCTCACGAGATCTGATGGTTCTATAAG
This sequence comes from Homo sapiens, assembly GCF_000001405.40. NCBI lineage: Eukaryota > Metazoa > Chordata > Mammalia > Primates > Hominidae > Homo > Homo sapiens. The sequence continues at coordinate 31,326,329 of NC_000004.12, read as the reverse complement.
GGTGTGTTTCCCTGCACAAGCTATCTCTCTCTTTGCCCGACACCATCCCCGTAAGATGTGACTTGCTCCTCTTTGCCTTCTGCCATGATTGTGAGGCCTCCCCAGCCATGTGGAACTTTAAGTCCAATAATCTTCTTTCTTTTGTAAATTGCCCAGTCTTGGGTATGTCTTTATTAGCAGCCTGAAAACAGACTAATATACTCTCTTTACTATGTATACAGCAGTAACTTTTATATTTTAAATGCAAGACGGACTCAATCACAGTTCTTCTGGAACAAAATTAATTAAACAGCTACCCATCAGTTAACATAGAATAGCAGAGAAGGAAGTTTTCTGATACAGAAAGTTTTTATTTTAGATGTGTAAGAAATAAATGCATTATTTTCAATATAAATATCAATCAAATGCCCTCTGATGTTTATATTAGTGGGACCATTTGTGATGCAAGGAATATAGTACCTCAGCACATCATGATTCGGTTGGTATTTAAGTCTCTGCTATAATTTTTTGTTTGTATGTAATTGTGTCCTACATTATATCAGAGTGATCAAAAATGGGGTTATACTATTTATCCTTGAATGAGTGGTTCCCAATACAGAACCCGTTATATGTTAGGCTTTCATTAAACATTTTGTGCAAATAAGTGATTCTGGAGGTATAATCATTAAAGAGAGAAAGAGCTATTGCAGTTCAGTTGTTAGTTCAGAACCATACACAAGAAGCAAAGACAAATGAATAGGAATAATAGTCTCTGCCTGATATTACAACATGATTATTTTTGCCAGTTTGGCAATTCAATGTTTCAATCCAAATTGTTGAGCACTCTTATTGTGCAATGCCCTGTCTTCAACCTCACAATTTTTCCCCATTTCTTCTTCATGAAGAATAGTCACTGAAAGTCACACTACAAGATCATGAGATAATATAACTACTCAAGTTAATCGTTTCTTCCCTATATTTGTCTCCATGCTTGTTAAGGACCAATTCTTTTGGAAATTTTCTAGGGTTTATTCATTTCATAGGGTTTATTCATTTCATAGGGTTTATTCATTTCATACTTCAGCATTTATTTTTGTTTTATCCAACACTTACAGCATATTTATTAAAAGACAAAAACTAATACATTCATCAAGAAATTATTTCATTTTGCCAGGAGTAAAAGATGTAAAGACACAAAATGGTACTGCCTACATCACCTGTATCCAAGCACAGTGGCTTCTGATTGATAGGTAATTTAGAAAACAAAGCAGACACACACTAGAAACATTCCTACAGCTTCAGTTGCTTTAGTTGGAACAGATATGTTTGTGTATTACTTGGACAGTGGGTTAAGGCTTGACAGAGCATTTATTCTATCTACTGATCTGTCATGCTACTGAATTTTATCATGGAATAATGCCAGTAAAAAAAACCTCTCCTTTCTTTTCATTACTATATCTGGTAAGCCTATTGTTCTGTGCATTTGCAGGTAGCAGTCACTCAAATATAATGATCTAAACAGATTCTAAATATTGATTTCTTGGCAAAGATTTTTCCACTACCCCAGAAAAAAAACTGTATGAAATGTCATTATACATTATTTGTGCTCTGTCTGTTACTTCTTAGTGCTGGCCCTGCATATTGGTCTTCTTTTCTTTTTTTTTTCAGATAAAGAGTGACATTAGGCAGCTGAATTAAATAAACATATTGAGAGTAAACATAACTGTTAAATTAGCAAAAGAAGTTAATGCAGCAATGCAAAGAAAAATAAAGGAACATAAAAGAATAAGAAAGGCAAAGTATTTTGCCATTTTCTAGGATTTAAGTAATGACAGTTCTTACTTTATGAAAGAAGTATAGTTAGTCAGTCTTCAGAAAGCGAGGCAAAAAAAATATTCATAATGATGTACCTTAAAGGGCATGGCAAGACAGCAAATCATATGTAGTAAAAACGTTCATTTCTTAACTTTTCCATTATCCATTCAACTAATATTATTAAGTACCTACTCTGTACCAAATACTCTTCTAGGAACCAAAAGATAAATCAGTGAATAAAACAGATAAATTGCCTACTCTTGCTGAGCTTACATATTTACAAACAAAGTAGAAGTAGATAAATTAACAAATACATAAATTCTTTTTCCAATGATATTAAAAACTATAGAGAATTAAAAAGTGGTAAGTAGAAGAGAGAATAATAGGGTAAGATTCTAGTTAGAGGGCACATCAAGTACAAATATTCTGAGATGGAAAGATATCTGGTATGTAGAAGAAAGAGCACTGAATATAATGGTAAAGGTTTAGAGTTTTTTCTGTAAAATCAGAGAAGTGCATATTGTTTAGAATTTTTTTATCATGAGAAAATATACACAAGTTACCATTTAAGCCATTTTTAAGTGTACAGCTCAGTGCATTTAATACGTTTCCATTGTTGTGCAACCATCACCACTGTCCATATTCAGAACTTTTTCATCATCCCAAACTGATGGCTTTTTCTATTTCGGCAAAAAAAAAAAAAAAAATGTGTTGGGATTTTGATAGGAATTGCACTGAATATGTAGATCACTTGGGTACTGTTGACATTGAAGTGGTTAATTTTATATGTCAATGTGACTGTGCTATGGAGTGCCCAAATATTTGTTGAAACATTATTCTAGCTGTGTCTGTGAGAGTGTTTCTGGATTAGATTAACATTTGAGTTAGTAGACTGAATAAAGCAGATTGCACCCACTAATGTGAGTTGTTCCTATCCAATCAGTTGAAGGCCTGAAGTGAACAAAAAGGCTGAGTAACAAGGAATTTCTAACTCACTGCCTTCAACCTGGGACATTGGTTTTATTCTGTCTTCAGACTCACATGGAAACTTAGGCTCTTCTTGTGTCTCCAGATTGCAGACTACAAATGTTGGGACTCATTCACCTCTATAATCATGTGAGTCAATTCCTTAAAATATATCTATATATCTCTCTCTCTGTCTATCTATCTGTCATCTATGTACCTACCTACTCATTGTGTCTTTTTCTCTGGAGGACACTGACTAATACAGATGTCTTAGCAATATTGTCTTCCATTCCATGAACATGGGAAGTCTTTCTATTTGTTGGTGTCTGTTCATTTTTTTCAGCAATGTTTTGTAGTCTTTAGTGTAAAAGTATTTCTTTCCTGTCCTTAATTGAGTTTGTCTATAAGGCTATTATTTATTTTTATTATAAGTGAAATGATTTTATTAATTTGCTTCTTGGATTGTTCATATTGACGTATAGAAACACAACTGAATTTTGTGTATTAACTTTGTATTCTGCAACATGATTGAATTTATTAGTTCTAACAGTTTTTTGTAAAATATTTAGGGTTTTCCACATATGATTATGTCATCGGCAAACAGAGGTAATTTTACTTTTATCTTTCTGATTTAGATAACTTCTGTTTCTTTTTTACCTAATTGCTCTTGCTGGAACTTCCAACACAGTGTTGAATAGAAGAGGTACTAGCTTTTATTTATGATTTTTATTTCTATTCATTTTTCAAGGCTATTGAATGGACCTTGGCTTTTATTCTGAATGAAATGCAAAGCCCTCAGAAAGTTTTGAAATAAAATGATATAATCTGACATATTTTAAAATAATGACTTTTACTTTATCTGGAAATATATTAGAGTGATGTAACAGGAAAGCCATAAGACCAGTTAGTATTTGAAATAGATAAGAACAATAGTGGTGTCCTGAACAGAAATGGCTGTGAGGAGATAGTTTGCTATTCTAAAAGCAATCTGAAAGTTGAGTAACAAGGTTTATTAATGTATCTGACATGGATGTGAGGAAAAAAAGAGGTGTCAAGGATCATGGATCCAATGTTTTCAACCTAAGCAAATGAAAGAATAGAGTTGCTGTATAGGATGAGATGTAAACAGATCGATGATTTTGGAGAGGATAAGCAATTGTCTTTTGGGCACATTAGATTGTAATCTATACTAGACATCATTTGGGTTTATAAGTCTGAAGTTCAGGAAAAGATATATATTTGGAGCTACAAGACCAGTTTTTCAATAATGCTTTTCAGTGTAATTATCTAGAAGTTAGGATATATTAGAAATAAATAAATATTAAAAAATCTAATCCCTGAGATACTCCAAAATTTATTGTTCAGGAAAATGAAAGGAAATCAGAAAAGAAACTGAAAAGCAAGTACCACACTGCCAGTGAAGTGGAAAAAGTATAAAGAGATAGTAATCTCTCGGAGGTAAATGAAAAAAAAAAGTGTTTCAAGAATGGGAGAGTGATCCACTATGCAAAATACTGCTGATTATTTAAGATAAGATAAATAATCTTATTGACCAAAATATTTGGCATCAGGCAGGTAGTGCTCTTAAAAAAAAAGTTCTCTTGTTTGAGATTTTGAGACGTGTGGACAAAAATCTGATTGATATAGTTGGAGACAGAAGAGGAGAAAAGGAATTGGAATATATATCTTTTAGAAACTGGGTGGGAGGTACGTGTGAGGCCACGAGAAGGTTTTACTTAAAATGGAAACAATTCAGCAAGATTTTGGCCTGATGGAAACGATCAAATAGAGGGAGAATAAGGTAACAAAGCTGGATCAATGTCTGTAAGTAGCAATATTGGCTTGGATCTAGAGCTCAAGTGAAAGGCATACAGAGATTTTACCCATAGTAATAGAACCAAAGAGTTCAGCAGCTTGTAGGTATGTAAATGTACTTTTGAGAGCGTGTAGAAATTACCTTCTGTTTGCTTTTTTTTTTTTTTTAGCAAAATAGAAAACAGTGTAGCTTGCTAAGTAGGGTAGAAATTCCTTCACATTTGAGAAAAGATTGGGGGTGTGAAGTGATCAGTTAGCATAGTTGGGGACTGTGGTGATTAAGCAACTATAATACAAAGGCTAGATGATGGATGCTTGCTGCCTCCGAACATCAGACTCCACGTTCTTCAGCTTTGGAACTTGGGCTGACTTCCTTGCTCTTCAGCTTGCAGACGGCCTGTTATGGGACCTTGTGATCATACGAGTTAATAATACTTAGTAAACTCATATATATGTATCTATATATATATATCATATATATGAGATATGTATGAGATCAAATATATATGATATATATGAGATCAAATATATATATGAGATATAGATATGATATATATATCCTATCAGTTCTGTCCCTCTAGAGAACCCCAATTAATAAAGTGGGGAATTAGAATAAGCAGGTTTGTGAGTGAGTATGATGAAGTAAGAGAAAATAAATGCAATTCATTACAATGATGTACCAAAGGATTCAAGTTCAGTTAAGAAAGGGAGTTAGAATGATGTTTCCTATTGCTGCTATAACAAATTACTACAAACTTAACAGTTTAAAAAAAAACTACAGATTTATTATCTTACAGTTCTGGAGGATAGAAGTCTAACTCAGATGAAACTGGGCTGAAATCAGTGTCAGAAGAGCTGCATTCCTTTCTAGGATGCTCTAGGCAGAAAGCGTTTTCTTACAATTTTTAGCTTCTAGAGGCTGCCCACATGCCTTGGCTCTTGGTCTCCTTCCTCTATTTTTAAAGTCATTGACAATGGTACAGTTTTTCTCACATGTCAAAACTCTGACCATTTCTTCTGCCTCCCTCTTCCACTTTTATGAATGCTTATGCTAACATTAGGCCCACCAGATGATCCAGAATAATCTGTCTGTATCAAGATACTTATATCTGCAAAGTCCCTTTTGCCATATATAACATATTCACAGGTTCTGGGGATTAGGACATGGGTATAATTTTTTCTATCACATGTTGAAAAAAATAATTTAAAAGATAATAGGAAGACTGGATTTTAGGTCCCAATAACTTTGAAGACTGTTATAGTAAGCATAAGGCAGCCACAGAAGGACAAATATTGTAAATTCCACTTAGAGGTGAGTTATTCATAATAGTCAAACTCAGCAGCAGAGAATACAGTAGTGGTATTATATATATAATATACATATTTAATTATATATATATTACATATATATACATGTATATATTCTTTCCATACACATAAAAGAACACAAAGTAACTTCGGGAGGTGCTAGATGTGTTTATTACCTTGATTCTGGTGATGGTGTCACAGTGCTTGCATATGTCTAAACTCATAAAATTGTGCACATTAAATATGTGCAATTCTTTATGTATCAGTTATGCCTCAATTAAGCTGTTTTTTTATTTAAAGGGAATGATCTGCTATACTCTAGGCTGTAATTGTTCTCTAGTATCTGTTTTCTGTTATTTTTCCTGGGCACACAGGTAGATACATTGTACTTTCAAGCTTCCTTTGTAGTTAGATATGGCCATATGACCAAGCTCTAGCCAATGGGATGTGAGCGGAATTGATTTACATCAGTTTCATTCCTGACCCACAAAGCAATCTCATGCATGCTCCTCCTCTTTTTCCTCTGATGACTAAAAAAAAGTGTACATATATAAACACACATATAAAGTACATATACATGTATATACTATTGACACTTAAAATTAAAATTAAAAATTTAGTTTCTCAGTCATATTAGCCATATTAAAGTGCTTAATGGTCATAGGTAACTATTAGCCATTATATTGGTCAGTGTAAATGTAGAACAATTGAATCATTGCTGAAAGTTCTATTGTAGAGTTCTGGACCAAAGAAAGGCAGAGCCACAAGAAGGAAGGAGCTTGTTTCCCTCAGTGACGATGTATAGAAGAACCCCATCCCCACTGCTGATTAACTTTGCAACGTGCCAGGATCAAAAAATGAAATTTTCATCTGCCAAGCGGGTGGGATTTTATATTCTTTGTTATGACAGTTAGCACTCCTTATCTAATACAGCCAGAAAGAAAATAAATAATTTTGGTGGACATGGTGATGTACCACACGGATTCCCTAACACAGTAATTAGCCCAGATAGTGGGCATATTGACCAGCATTCAAAGACTGATTAATAGCGGGGTATAAAAGCCTGAGTCTTTTGCCCCAACTTGGGACAGCTCTGATGAGTTATCCAATTTCATATATCCCTGCAGGGCAATTTAGGACTTTTCTTGAGACACGTGACAACTGTATTTCTCCTCCTGCTCAATTCTGCTTATTTCCTTCTCTCTGTAGTTACTGTTTCCTTCTCTCTGTAGTTTCCTTCTCTCTGTAGTTACTGTATTCTGCTCTGTTTTGTCTTTCTCAAGATCACTCACTAATATACCTCCTGCATGCTAACCATCATCTCAGTGTCTGACTCCTGAGGAACACAACCTACAATAATTGGTACTGAAATTGGCCCAGGAAATCAGATGCTGGCTTATGATTCATGAACTAGATTTTCGGCCACCCAGCAATTAATAAGGCCCTAATAATGGTGGTAGGTGGAACACAGAGGGACCCTGTTACAAGTTGATCATTCAGTTGTTAATGTTTTCAACCAGCAGTAAATGCGGATGGTGTATTGTTGGAAGGGAGTGCATTAGCAGGTGCCAAGTGTTGGAGTAAAATGGAAGAAAGAGTAACTCTAAAGACAATGGTATTGGATGGCTATGGCTGAGTTTGCGTGATGCTTTGAAGAAAAGATAAGAAAAAGCTGCAAGCACCACAACTAAAACTAGGACTGAAATCCAGACGTCTTTTTTAACAGCATACAAAATGTCTTTTTCTTGCTCTGGGAGGTCAAATAAAGCTGAGTATCAATCCCAGAACTTAATTTGAAGAAAATCCAAGGACCCAAGAAAGTTACACTCCCAAAAAGCTGGGCCAGAACCCAGAAGAAGAAAGACTAGAATATATAGTGAAAATATCTTGATTGCTCTCATCCTTCTCTAAAAATTTTTGAATTTTCAGATCTCTTAAACTCTAAGCTTGAAGAAATGGCCCATTCCTCCCTTTTATGACCAGAACTCTCCTTGCCTTGAAGACAAAGTAATCCCTTCCTCCTCAAGACAATATCACCTCTCCTCAGGATTGCCCCAGTGTGCCCTCTTGGCCATAGGCCAATAATTTAGGGTTATGTTTTAACATAATCTTCCCAAAGGCATGCTAGAGCTGTTAAGGGAGGAAAGAGATTATACCACCAAAGAACTGCAGGACTCAGCCGGCATATATTAGCCGGAGCCAGGGTTGTATGTATGAGACTCTATTCTGAGAACGCTAGATCAAAGACAGAGGGTTAGATAAAGGAGAGCATATTAATTTGGTAGCACTTCTCAGCTAATAGGACCTTAGAAAGTATAGTGAGAAAAAATCCTTGCAATGGTACAGAGTTTTGGCTATTGCACATGGTCATCAATGTGTGTGAATAGACAAGTGGCTTGAGTTTAGAAATATATGCAGACTCAAGAGAAGTAACAAAAGGTTTAGCAGGCTATCAGAGGTGTGCCATGACAAAAAAAATGGAAGAATATGGACACGGAAATCTGAGTAGAGATGTGGATGGACTTATGGGAGAGGGCAAAAATTTGAAGGTCTTGTGTCTCCTGATAATAACCCTCAGAGAATGGCAGCCTAATACATAAAGCAACTTTCAGTGCTTCCATCGCCAGCATCTGTCATTAGCCATTCCAGTACAAGTACAACACGTATATTAGTAGCCATGGTGGCAAGGAGAGAGGCTATAAACTTATATCAAGTTTAATCTTGCTACTGCCACCACCCACCATCAGTGGAAACACTGAGTCTCCACTATGTCCCCATTCTTCAATGAGATCAACCATTCAAGAATTCACTTTGTGGCAAATTGCCTACATTGCGTCTCCTCTATGCTAGAAGGCCAGCAATTTCTTTTGAAAGGAATAGAAACATATTCTATATGTGGGTTTGCCCTTCTTGCATGCAGGACCTGAGCCAGTACCACTACCGGATAACATATTGAGTGTGTGATACATACAAGATCATGACATCCCATATACTATCATGCAAGACCAAGGACCAACCAGACAGCAAAAGAGTTTTGTGGTCATAAACCAATGACATACTGCAGAGTTCAGATGCTTTTGGCCTGACAGAGCACTGAGTGGACTATTGAAAGCACAGCTGATGCAGCAGCTTGAAGGTGATTACAAAGGCAGGATGTCCTCCTAAGACACTTTATAAAATTTAATTCATAGATTTTTAAATAATGCTTTGACCCCCAATGAGTAGGGTATACAGCTCTGGAAACCAAGTAGAGAAAACAGAAGTGACCATGCTTAACTTATTCCTAGTGACTCATTTGGATAATCTATTCCCTAGTACTGTCACTCTAGGCTTAATAGGTTTAGAGGTTGTGGTTCCCAGAGGTAGAATATTTCCATTAGTGATTAAATCAAGTTCTTATGAAATATAAGCAGCAGGCACTACCTTGGCCCTTTGGATTCCTTGAGTCAAGGAAGCAGAAGGGAAGAAGATGGGTTGTGTCTTTTCAGAGGAGATGATCCTGATAAAACAGAGTTAGTGGTCTGCTTTTGCACAATGTAGGGAGTAAGGAGCATATTTGCCATTCATATGATCCATTTGATATTTCCTTGTAATAATTTCCTGAATTTTGATGGAAAATGGGCAATGGAAGCAGCACTGTCTAAGAATAACATAATTACCAGGGGACCAGAATCCTGAAGGATGAGGGTAGAATCAAGTCCCCAAATAAAGCATTAAATCCAGCAGAGTTGGTAGCTGAGGGTGAGAGAATCCATAATGATTAGTAAAGAATGAACACAATGCGTATCAGTTTTGATTCTAAGATCAGATGCAGTGGAGACAGCTATAAATAATTGTTCCATTATCCTTCCTCTCGGACATCATCCCCAGAAAAGAGGCCCACAAGAATCCTGGAGGGAGAACTCCCAGAATTTATACAAAGAAGTTGATTTGAGTGATACAAGTATGGACTGTTGTGGATGTTATAATGTACTATCTATATTTTCTTTCAATAATAAGACTTCAATTTCCAATAGTGCTGCCAGCAGGCGGCCTTCAGCTATCAGGCATTTTAGGACTATGTTTAGCTGTAGAGCGTTACCTCACCAAAAGTTATGCCTTTGCCTAGTGAAGACCACATGCAATGTCTCTACCCCAAAATTAGAACAGCTCTGGAGAGTTATCTCATCTTCAGAACTCCCTGCAGCAGTATCTAGAGTTTTCCCTTGAGGCTGTGTTGCAGTTCAACTATTTCCTCTGTAGGCTTGTTTTCTTAATTTCCTTTTTAAACAGATGTTGATCTCAAGAGCCCTCCTTATTAAATCTCCTGCATGCTAACCTCTATTTTAGAGTCTTCACCTGTGAAGCCCAAAGTACAATAACAGGGGTTAAAGAATGACTCTTGAAATTAAAGTTTTGGCTGAGGAAATTACTGTTAATGGCAAGGTCTGGGATAAGATCATGGGAGTGTATGGCTAAGGTAGCCTGTGGATCAGTAGAGTAGAGGCAGCCAAAGAACTGAGATGCCATAATAATGAAAGAATTACCTTCAGAAACAGTAAACATCACCAAACATTTTCACAGAAATAGCGTTAGAGGAAGCATCAGTTGACCAGGCAACAACATTTTCAAGGAATTGAGAAGGTGATGAAAGGTTACATGGAAATTGTGACATGTGGATGATTACAAACAATATCATTGTGAGTATAGCCTGATGGCATGAATACAGAGGAAGGTGGGGTAATGGCCTTAAAGGATCTATAGAAGGTGGTAGAGGCAGGCAGATCATGAGATCAAGAGATTGAGACCATCCTGGCCAATATGGTGAAACCCCATCTCTACGAAAAATACAAAAATTAGCTGAGTGTGGTGGTGTGCTCCTGTAGTCCCAGCTACTCAGGAGGCTGAGGCAGGAGAATCACTTGAACCCAGGAGGCAGAGATTGCAGTGAGCTGAGATTGTGCCACTGCACTCCAGCCTGGCAACAAAGCAAGACTCCGTCTCAAAAAAAAAAAAAAAAAAAAAAAAAAAAAAAAAAAAGAAGGTGGTAGAGGAGAAACATGTTACACCTTGAGAGAAGCTACAGGGAGAATCCATGTTTCACTTAAAAGGAAAAAAGAATATTCAGCAAGGAAGTTCAGGATATTGGGAATTTTTCTTCAAGTCTATTACCTTACCAAAATTACTTGAATTGGTGATTATATATCTGGATAAGTTGTAACTATAATCAGCGTCACACAAAAGTCAACTGCAACAAAATATTATTACACAAGATAGATCAAACCCAAAATTCACTGTATTGTTTATTCTGTGAGAAAATGAAACATGAAATAACCATGTGAAAAATTGGTTTTAATATCTTTACCTTTAAATTTAATATTCGGTGAAGCTGAAACTCTTCTTAAATGTAAGAGCATCTGAAGGAAAATGCATATTTCTGACCTTTTCAGAAATTGTTAGATTTTCAACTAATTATTTCATATTTTTATACTATTTAAAATCAGACAAAATTTAAAATGCTCATTATTACTTTGTGAAATGAACAATGACAAAGAAGAATCTACTGTTCTACTATTTTTTATGATTTATACCTTCATACTTCCAGGACCATATTTTCAATTTCTCGCTGCTTTTAGTTATACTACGACAGGCCACTCACTATCAGCATGTTCAGAATAAAACTCTTATTTCTTGAACTCTTCTTTTAATGGAATCTGCTATTAATTTTCAAAACTTGTTTCTTTTTCTTCCTGGAAAATTGTAGAATTGCATTTTCTAACCTCATTTGCAGTCAGGTGTTCCTGAATCCTGCCCAATGAGACATATATTAAAAGAATCGCTTCCAGATTTAGCCCATTAAAAAACTTCCACCCACTCCTGAACTCCCTCTCTGTCTTGCTCTGTGAGCGAGATGCAGGGAATTCAGCAGATGTCTCTAAGACCCTGGAAGATGAAGTACCTGTAAAATGGAAAGAATCTGGATCCTTGTCTCCTAGCACACAGGGCCACCTACAAAATGCCAGCATTGCTTTGTTATATGAGTGAGAAATAAATTGCATTAGCATTAACCACTGAGATTTTTGTGATTTTTTTTATAGCAGTTAGCCTTCTCTGACTATATTGGTCTATTCCACCTGACATTCCTATTTCTGTGATGACCATAATAATATCCCAGATATACAAGGACCAAGAGTGGGAGCAAATGCAAAATGCATTTTCAGTCTGCACTTCCTTCCCAATTGCTCAGTCTAATTAATTGCTAAACTGATGTTGATTCTACTACTACAATATTTTCCTCCTTTGTTCCCATCTCTCTAGTTTTCTACCTACTAATGTACGAATGTTTTAAAATGAGCATTTAGACTTATCAATATATTTTCCCCAAAATTTAGCCAGAAATTCTTTTTATCAGCGTTATTCACTGCTATAGCCCAACCTTGATTTCCTTTTCTGTTACTCAAATTTTCCTCCATCTTGTTGACCCTTCAAGATGGTCACAATATTCGCTCCACTGGGAATTTATTTTTGCATATATTAAACTGAGCTAGCTAGCTGGATAAAGAGATGTAAATCATCCCTAAAGGTAAATGACTCATTCATTTCCCCATGAAAACTTCTCATATTTTTCCTATTTATAATTAACACTTACTTGTACTACAAATGCACAATATTACAATATTGATAGCAGTGATATCCTCTGCTTTTATTTTTATAGGGCTTATAAGTTTTCTATTGATATATGACAAGCTACCATAAACTCTTAAAACAATACCCATTTTTATGCCAGTTCTATAAGGCAGAGTCTGGTATAACATGACTGGGTTCTTTCCTCATGTTTTCAGAAGATTTAAATGAAAATGTTGACCAGACTGGGTTCTCATCTTGAGGCTTTGGAAATTTTTTTTTTCCAAACTCATTAGAACTGAATTCTAGCAACAAGAAAAATGAGCTTGTTGAGGTCCCTGTTTTCTGGTTGTGTGGACTCCTCCATCCTCAAGCCATCAACAGAGCACTGTATCCTTCATGTATTTCAGCTCTCTCAATTCGGTTATATTATTAGCTGGTGAAAAACTTGCTTTCAAAGGGCTTATATGATTAGGTTGGGCCTACCTGGATAATATCCCTTTCTTAAAGGTAGCTGTGCCATGCAACATAATCTAATCCCAGGAAGAAAATCCATCATATTCACAGTCGTAAGGATTATTCAGAACAGTACATCAGGAGTGGAAAATTTGGGGGAACGTATTAAAATTCTACCTATTACAAGAGTGTTACAATTAAAACAGCAATTATTCAAGTAATGTTATTGAACTTTAGTCTCACTGAATTGTAGGTTAGATATAGCAAAAGTATAATCTCATAGGTAAGTAATAAGAGTTTCAAAATATTTAAGCAACTTTGCCATATAATATTTTGATTTCAAGTCTAATATTATCTTTATAACACTTCATAAACTACATTTGGTTTTAAGTCTATTGTCATTCTCTTAAATATTATTTGATTATACAATGTCAGTGTTAAAATATCACATTAGTGTAGGAATTTAGAATTTTCTAAGTAAATTCATATAAATTTTTCTCTTTAATATAATTCATAGGCGCAGGGGAAAATTTCTTTATTCTCCAAATTACAAGCTTGGAACATACACAAAACATATACACAGTTAGTGAGTAAATATTCATTGATATGCATCTTGATTCAATCAACTGGTACCTGGTCAGGCCAGATCCATGGAGAATCAGACAAAATAATATACATTCCAACCTGCTCTTTATTGTCATAATTAATGAAAAAAATAATTAAAGAGGAAAAACTATAGAAGCTTATTTAAACCCTCTATAGCAATAGATGAAACTTTCATAATTGAACAGAGTACCAACTATCATTTTGGCTGGAAGGCTTAGACTTGACTCAAAGCTCAAACACATTGATGCTTTAACAGTTTTATCTAAATCGTCTCCAGTTAGAAAATATGGATCAGAAGGAAAAATTATGATCAAGGTAGTGATATATGTAATTTGCCAGGAGTATACTCAGTAGCTTTAAAAATTCATATATTCTGAAAAATACTAACTTTAGACCTGACTTATGATGCTTAATATGAGTGTTAGCATTGGGGGCAAGGGAGGTAATTCTCAAAATTTTTCAAACAGCATTACAAAGTCATGATATAGTTTGATAATATAATGGAAATCATTCGGTGCACTCCCCACTCATTAAGCTGCTGAAGGTTCAGCCTACAAATTACACTAAGTCCTGTGCAGTGATTTCATGAAAATGTCAGAATGGAAGAGTTCTAAACTCATTAACTTATAGAGGGATGGCATTTGTTTTCACTTTGCCAAATCAAGAAGCAATGAATAAACTTGAAATGTCACTTTTGGAAAGACTGACCATTGCTTTGACCTACTTAGGTAATTCAGAGGTTCTTATGCAAATATTCCTGTAGGGCTTTGGAAAATATGTTGAGTGCAATGTAAAAAATAAGAGAAAAATCTCAAGAAAAGTTACCATTTCTTAGCTATTGGATACAGTCATTAGCAATACTCAGAAATATTCTGACAGCTTTCACTACAATTTCCTCTTCTTTTGTTTTAAAAAATTCTACTCTAAAGGAAAACATTCAGCTAAGTTATAATTAACGTGGCTGTCAAAAGATATTATAAATCATCAACTACTTACTATCCTAAGGTAGACAAAGAGTAACAGTACTATTGTTCTCTGTCTAATCAGGTCAGAGCAACGGCAACTTTAATTAGAGTTATTTTCAAGGCACTGCTTAAAGCCTATAATAGTAAACTATATCATATGTTTCTCCTTGCATCTTTTATTTTAGCCTTATTGAAGGAATAGTCAACTATATCATATGTTTCTTCTTGCATCTTTTACTGTAACCTTATTGAAGGAGGGGAAATTTTTTGATGTATAAACTGCCAAGCTTCTTCTCGTGTATGTCGTAAAAACACTCTGTATATTTAGCAACCAATAACTAGCGGTACACCTACCAGTTCTATCAATCAGAATGTCGAAAGTCTAAGGAGATTGTTTTACCTTGTTAATAATATAACAAAGCCATTACAATTCCAAAGCATAAAAGTCATGAGAATCAGAACTGAATATTTGTGAAAAGGATTTTTTCTACATAATAGTTACTTTCTTGTGTAATATCGTAGTTGAGGGAAGAGATGTATTTTTTCATAATGCCAAATAATTGTTTATAAAACAAGTAGGGCTTGTTACTGAAAGCATCAAGGTTACAGGAACATTTATCATTTAAACTGGGTTCTAAACATAGAGTCTATTCCGATTTTTTCTTTTTTTTTTAAGTACATGACTTTCAACAAAGTCTAACCATAACAAATGTATTTTATGTGCAACAAATATTCTTTTAATTGAGAAAATTAGAGATAATTCTGAATTATTTTTAGATAGATTGACCTCTCAAGTTTTTATACATTCATTGTACAGTTTTTGTTTAGGGGAAAGATTCAGAGTGAAATAAGAAGCTTATCTTAATACATATAAACCCAGTTCATGAAAATAAATATGAATTATTTTGTTCTTCTTAGCAAATGTTTTGTTTAAAAAAATGAAGAATATTTGTTTCTACTCTGACTGCTAATTTATTCATTTGACTTATGTTAATTTTCCAGGAAATTATGTTCACCCCTTTAAGGAAACATTTCTTTTACATACTGACTTTCACATCATACCATATGCAGCTTAAGATAATAAGACTAGCAATTACTTTTCTATTTTGACACACTAGTCCAAGAACATTGTGCTGCGTTTAATGAAGTAGGCCATTGCTGCCTGTAGGATGTATTCAGGCAGTCCTTCACTTAGGTGGCTTAACTCTCCATTACACACAAATCATCAACCAAGAATGACCAGTGGCTCCTGGAAAACCTGTTTTCCTTTCCCAGCAGCTTTCTTTCCCTTATTTCTTCTTACTCTTTCTGCAAGACAATGCCTGGAGTGATCTGTCTCTTCTCTTCCAATGCCCATTCTCTCCTGGAGTGTCTGTCTTACCTTTCCAGGGGACTTATAAAAGGAGCTCATGATGATGGGTCTGAGCTGACTGTCAGAGCAAGAAAATGTAAGACAAGGAGGTAGATGGCATCTCCATTAATTTTTCACTGTGTACCTCAGCAACACCAGAGGTCTCATGCCTTCCAAAGAGACTATCCTAACTCCTCAGCACATGAAATTTATGTTGAATATTTATCTTTATAGGTATTCAACAAATCATTATTAAGCCCCAACTCTTTACTCCAGAATTCTACTCTACATCATATGAAAAATATATCTAGGATAACCTAAAATAAAAGAGAAAGAGATGGGGAGAGAGAGAGAGAGAGCACTATATATATATTCACCGTTGAGGCAAATCTAGTCTTAAGCCACTTCAAAAGATGACCGAGAACTGAAGTAAGCCATTCTTGAAGTCTTCAGTAAGAAGATAATAACAATAGCTCTCACCTGACCTTGCCAGAGTTGGAAAGATTTAGGATAAGTGTTTGCAGTCCTCCCCACTCCTTGTCTACCACCCAAAGCTCCGAACTGTACTGGAGTAGATTCCTCATTGTTCAGTATTTTCACTCAAGTCTTTCATTGCCCTAGTCCTACCCTCTTTATGCTCCTTGCCCCATGGAACAAGATTCTTGACACCCAGTATTATTTTCCCTGCCTGTGAGTGAGGTGAGTGGAAGGAGAAATGGGAAGATATCTCAACTCCTTTGAAGTGCATAAGTTGTTTTCCTTGTGCTGAAGTTCTACCGCTCTCTGTGAACAGTGCTACACTTCTGGCATTTTGGAGGATAAATAGGTTTCTGTGCGCTGGTTTAAAAACATAACCAAGACAGACAAACTACTCTTTCCGGCAAAATGCACTTTGAATTTGAAACACCTAAGTTACCTGATAAACTTTTGGAACATTCTATGGCTATAAATCCAGGGATGTTTTTGATACTTCCAAAGGAAGACAGAAACAAGCTTACTGAGTTCCTCTGAAACTTAAAAGTTTGCTCATCTTTGAGAAAGCTGTGCCTGACAGAGGAGAGTCTTGGAAAGAGGAGCAGGAGCAGCATAAACCCCAGTTTAAGATGTTCTTTCTGTTTGCTCCACTTCTTGACTTGGAATCCCCTCTCTCTTCCTTAGTGTGATGCTTTTTTTAAAGTGTAATTCATGGTCACTAGTGTATATATATTAGAAGGAGGGATGATTTGTTAAAAATATAGTGTGAGCAAGCAGGACATGGTAAGCTTAAGTCTTTGAGCAAGGGGCACTCTTAACTTCAGCCAGAACAGCAAAAGGATTCTGCCACTAAAATTTTTGAAAAGCAGCAGTTTGAAGTATTGTATCTCATAATGAAATGTACATTTGGACAGAGTTCCCAAGGATCAAAGGCATAAAGGCAGAGGGATGAAACTTTGTACTAGGTAAACAGGAGATACTGGGAGGAGACCTGCAGAAAACAACTTCTTTTACAGGTGCGGGAAAACACAATTCCATAATTGACATTGAATGCATTTGCAAAAGTGATCAGGGTTCTGTACATGTGAGACTTATTCATTGATTTTCTCAATAATGATTAATGCATATGAAAATACAGTTAAGGCTGGGCACGGTGGCTCACACCTGTAATCTCAGCACTTTGGGAAGCCAAGGCAGGTGGATCACCTGAGGTCAGGAGTTCGAGACCAGCCTGACCAATATGGTGAAACTCCATCTCTACTAAAAATACAAAAATTAACAAGGCATGGTGGCATGTGCCTGTAGTCCTAGCTATTTGGAAGGCTGAAGCAGGAGAATTGCTTGAACCTGGGAGGCAGAAGTTGCAGTGAGCTGAGATCACACCATGCCACTGCCCTCCAGCCTGGGCGACAGAGCAAGACTCCAATTGAAAAAAAAAAAAAAGAAAAGAGAAAAGAAAAGAAAAGACAAGACAAGACAGTTAAAAGGACTAACATCTAGTGTTCAGTAACACAGTAGGGTGACTATAGTTAAGAGTAATTTGTTGTGTATCTCAAAATAATTAAAATAGTACACTTGGAATGTTACTAACACAAAAAACCGATAAAATGCTTAAGGTGATGAATATTCAAGTTACCCTGATTTGATCATTTCCCATTGGGATGGTATGCTAATAGCAATCCATCATATGTATATATAACTATTATGTAGCCATAATAATATAATCTAATAAATTAATTAAATCAATCAATCAATATTTGCTAAGTACATATATGTCCCTAATGGACTCCACATTGGGTATGGGAAATGTAATGGTGAATATGATATAGGTCTAAGCCTGAAGGAACTTAGAATCTAGGAAGGAAGAATATGGTGCAATAGTGTGAGAGGTGGAAGCTGCCAAACAATAGGAAAGAGAACTTATAACTAATCAAACTTGTAGGGATTTGGGTGGAATAAAAGAATAAAGGGGTGGATTCTAGAACACTTTAAAAAGGAGAAACTAGGCTATTTGTCACAGTCAATTTAAAACACAGAAGAAAAACTGCCCCATTTTACCCTGCAATATTTCATGTCAAAGCTCAGCCAATCACTATCATCTTTCTATTTAGACATTCAAGGTAACATATCTCTTTAATAAACACTGGGAAATTTATGTTTTAAAATCCCTGTGTCATCAGGGATCTGCCATGTGAGCCATAAGATACGTTCACGAAATAAGGAAATACCCCATTTGAAAAGGACAGTTATGCTGAAGTGCCTGAAGAGCACTAGCTAACACAGTAAGAACGGCACAGGTCTAGCTGGAAGGTCCTATTGCCTGCACTCTTTTTTCTGTTGTTGTGTTTTTGTTTGTTTGTTTGTTTAGACAGAGTTTTGCTCTTGTTGCCCAGGCTAGAGTGCAATGGCGTGATCTTGGCTCACCACAACCTCCACCTTTTGGGTTCAAGTGATTCTCCTGCCTCAACCTCCCGAGTAGATGGGGATTACAGGCATGTGCTACCACGCCTGGCTAATTTTGTATTTTTAGTAGAGATGGGGTTTCTCCATGTTGGTCAGGCTGGTCTCGAACTCCTGACCTCAGATGATCCACCCACCTCGGCCTCCCAAATTGCTGGGATTACAGGCTTGAGCCACTGTGCCCGGCTGGCCTGCACTCTTTGCAAAGAGGTTTGGTGACTAAAGTTCTTAGCCATGGAAACATTGGACAGAGTTCAAACGGTTTGTTTCTCCAATAAACCTACCACAAACAGCATTCACTTCTCTGGCAAGGCAAGTTAAGCAGAGTGGTTTGATTGTCAGTGGGGCAACACACAGGTCTCAGGAGCTTTCACTGGCACATTTTTATTAGCAACAAAAGACTCCAGCAGCTCCAACTCATCTTCCCAGAGTAATTTACAAGTCCTTTCACTTGCTTTTTCATCCTTCTCTGGGAACACTCACGAGTTCAAGTTGCTACCCACAGCTCATGCACCACTCTATTTTGGTGGAGGGGAGAAAATACAACATGAGGAATCTATTTTATTTTTACTCTTTTGCATTAAATAAGCACCAGGGCTCAATTTTTACATGATTCCTTAGTCACAGGAATTTGGCTTCATTACAGCTCCTCCTATCATGGCTGACTCTGTCCTCCTTCATCTTCACCATAGCTCCCCTTCACACAAGGAGGCTCTCATACTTTGTGTTACAACACCCCTATTTGAAACCCTTAACATACTCTAAGTATTTTTTCACTTAACAAATATTCATGAAACACTGAAATCTGGGCATTGTGCTTGGTGATTGAGATAAAATCATAAACAAGACAGGGTTCCTGTCTTCAAGGGGCTCGCAGTCCAGTCTAGAAGGGAAGCGTAAAACAAGTGGTTACAAGATTATTGAAAAGGGTAATAAGAGAGGATGAAAAGGTTATTATACATTATTGAGTATATCTGAGATTAACCCACCTGAGTGAAGACTGAAGTTTTTCTCAAGGAAATGACAATGAAATTAAAACTAGAAAGACAAGATGGAATAAACAGGCAAATAAATTAGAAAACAATGTGGAATGAGCATATGTGGAGAAAGAGAAAATGCCCTTTCCTAAGGAACAAAAAGGTATTTGGTTTGACTTGCAAGAAAGAGATAGGAAAATGAGGTAAGACTATAGTCAACAGGAAACATATCAAGTTCAGGAGACTCTTCTTTTCTTTAGATATGGGAATAATTGAAGATTTGAAACAAAGAGTGCTAAAATCAGATTCACTTGTCCCTTGGATAATGTAAAATGAAATAGAACAAGACTGAAGATGATCACAGTAATCTAGCTCACAGGTGATCAGGATGATGGGCGTTATGAAGAGGATGATGAAGAGGGGTTAAGTGGACAGCTTTGAGCAATAAATAGCAGTCAGAATATCTAGCACTGGGAAGAGATTGAATTCTCGAGAGATGGCTTTTTCATTGAATGTATCTAGCTTTTTTTTTTTTTCGTAACGCAAATAGATTAAAAAAAAAAAAAAAAAAAAAAGAAGTGTACCATTCACTCAGAGAACACCAGAGGAGAAGTAGATTTGAAGCAGAACACAAAAAACTCCCATGGATTTTATAACACTACTTTACGTGCTTGTATAAAACATATTACAATCTCAGATACTCGTGTTTCACCTGACTCTGCAGTAACCAGTTCTGTGTAGGTTATGACCAAATGCTTCCAAGCACAGCCTGGTAAAACCTTGACTGATGCCTATACCGTGCACAGGGTTCCCACCCTGAGGCTGCTCTGTTGACACTGCTATGGAATACTCCTCAGCACCCAAACGTGTTAATCCAAAATACTAGAACGTTAATCCCCTTTGGGCACAACTCTGAGCTGGTGGATAAATGTGCCCCCTTTTTTCCCATGACCCACATCCAATGAGCAGTTTTAAGATATTGGTTATAAGACTTATGGGGAAACATTCCCCTTGAGAAGAGCAATCTTTCTCACGTAACAGTCACCAACTTACAAGTTCATTACTGTATTGGCTTTCCCTGTTTTTAGGCTTTACTCCACTTGTTCACTTTTGCTCTGCAAAATTACACTTCCTAATAAAGAAACAGCTTATAAGCCTCCTGCCTCTAGCTTTATTTTCTGGGAAATGAATTAAAAATAGACCCTCAGAAGGTGATATTGGGGTGGATTATCCCTGTTTTAATGGATACTAGGGTGCCGTTATTAGTGGGGAGATGATAACACCTGGCATATGGTGGCATCACAATGACTAAAGTTTTCACCTGTGCTTAATTTGGATGAAATTCAAGTAAATAGTGAGGTGTTAGGCTGTGTGGCAGCTCTAGCTCTAGAAGACATGGGGCAGGGATAATTATATGGAATTTGAAGTGGGCTGGCTTACTTTAGCTGCAAAAGAAACCTTGTAAGAGGAAAACGATAAGTGAAGGACATCTCACAGCCAATTTAGGCAAACTGTGAAAGGGCCCCTTTGCAGATTGAGCAGATTTTAAGGAGATGCACATCACCTGCAGCTGCTGATTGCAATGAAAACCCAAACCAGGGTCTTTCTTTAATAGTGTCAGAACCGTAAAAGAGGATGGCCTTGGAACATCAAGTGACTGTGAGAGTGAAAGTGCCATAATGAGCTGGGGATTTTGAAATCAACAAAACCATATGGTTAAGTGGGCAAAATGGCAATCTATAGTGCAATAAAATTACATGTTTGAGATTGGTTCAGATAGGTCTAGAAGGCAAAAGTACCTGACAAGGTAAAAAAGACATCTTGTTGACTGTCTTTATTACACAGATTAATCTTCTTCAGCTTATATTTACAACTAGTACTTATGCTTGCAATTAATAAAGGTATGAGGTAGGGATTCCTTTCAGCCAAAAAGTGGAAGAAAGAACTCGAGTCTGATTCACAGGTAAGCTACATTTGGCTAAAAGTTGTTGTTAGCCAAAAATGGGCAGAGGCTGTAGCGCAGCCCCATTTATCGGTGACCTTACAGAGCAGTGCTAATGCGAAATGCAATGGGCAATATATCCAGCTGTGTACTTGACTATCTTATGTGTACAGGGGTAGAAATAACCTGAGGTAGAATCACCTCACCGCTAGCCCAACAGATTCATAAAACGAGTTTATTCATTGATATTTATGAAATAAATCCAAAAGCAAGGGCTCATTTTTTTTCGCTCCTGTTCATTTCATTTTTCCAGCAACAGAGATCAAAAGAAGCCATCTAATTATGACCATTTCTTGGAGAGAAACAACCATTCACTCGGTGACAGCTAGATTATATCAAACACTTTATGCACTGGAGGAGAGAGAGATTTGTCCTTATTGGATCAACATTTATTCCATCTATGTCTTGAACTTCCTTACCCACAGTGCTCACTCTAGGAAAAATATCTAGAGACTCAGATGTCTTTGCCATCAATTAAAAGAAGACCTTGGGCCGAGAATGGTAGCTCATGCCTGCAATCCCAACACTTTGGGAGGCTGAGGTGTGCAGATCACTTGAGGTCCAGGAGTTCGAGACCAGCCTGGCCAACAAGGTGAAACCCTGTCTCTACTAAAAACACAAAAATTAGCCGGGTATGGTGGTGCATGTCTGTAGTCCCAGGTACTGGAGAGGCTGAGGCAGGAGAACCGCTTGAACCCAGGAGGCGGAGGTTGCAGTGAGCCAAGATTGCGCCACTGCGCTCTAGCCTGGACGACAGAGTGAGACCCCATCTCAAAAAAGAAAGAGACCTTGTACCAACAAGATGTAGTGAAATAGAATTCAAATATATCACCTACACATTATAACTGAGTATTATCATCTTGGTAGCTTATTTGCCTCTGTCAGTATCTGATATGACCTTGTACTTATAGCTCTGAAGTTAACAGCCACTCCATTTAGCTCTTGGCATCTATGACTTTTATATCCAGTATGATTCCATCTCCTTGGCCTGTATCTGTGCTTCCTGACATGTCTGACATTCTAATATTGCTTCATAAGAACTAGCTCTGCACTCTTGTACTATACTTATATTGCTATAAATTGATAATTAAGACTTTTCACATATTTTTTATAAATATGTTAAGTATTCTGCTTCCATTTGAAAATATAATTTAGTTTCCTTATCTTCTTTTTTTTGGGTGGGGGGGGGAAAGAATTTCACTCTTGTTGCCCAGGCTGGAGTGCAATGGCGCTGTCTTGGCTCACCACAACCTCCGCCTACTGGGTTCAAGTGATTCTCCTGCCTCAGCCTCCCAAGTAGCTGGGATTACAGGCATGTGCTGTTTTGTATAATCGCCCTGCTAATTTTGTATTTTTAGTAGAGACGGGGTTTCTCCATGCTGGTCAGGCTGGTCTTGAACTCCCAACCTCAGGTGATCTGCCTGCCTCAGCCTCCCAAAGTCCTGGGATTACAGGTGTGAGCCACCGTGCCCAGCCTGTTTTCTCATCTTTTAAATGGAGTTCATATTGACTGTATTGCCATGGGGATAAAATCAGATTATATATATGATAATCTTAGAAGAGTGCTTGGCATATATTAAGACACTGTAAATATTTTTATTATTGTTTGTATGAATATTGTACATATGGAATTTGATATACATATACTAGAATAACTAAATTAACAATAAACTTCAACTTCAATTCATCCACTGAAATGACTGAAAAATAGTAACCATTAGATAGATAGATAGATAGATAGATAGATAGATAGATGCATAGCTTTCTATTGAACTGTTATGTACCTTAAATGTAGAAGTTCTTAACTTGCTGAATTTTTTTCACTTACCCTATGGAAATGAATCATAGTGCACTTGAACATGTGGTAAGATGTCAGCTTCAGTGTGACTCCTAATCAGATGAAATAACTTCTAGTTTTCCTGCCAAGAAGAGCCTTTACCTTTTTAAGAACACCACTTAATCATTTGAGTACAGGTTATAGATCACTTTTCTTCCATGTAAGCAGTAGACTTCCAAATTGAAAAAGGAACTGCAGTATACATGTTTTATGGCTTAACATTATCATACACCAAAGGACGTATTTTGCTCTTAACTCTTTCTAATTGATAGGTGCATGCAGAAAGGTATTAAATCTTTTAATATCCTAGAGTATTCTTAAATTTTTCATGCTTTCAAGCCTTTACATATATTATTCCCTCTTCTTAAAATATTTTTAACTCTTTTCTTCAAGACTCATCTTATATGTCACTTCCCTGTAACTCAATTTCAAATTAAAGAGTAAAAATAAAAATATTTTAAGAAACCTTGTACAATCTTTTTCCAAGTTCAATCTTTGACCCCTCTAGGCTTTAACCCCATATGTCATCAGAACTTTGTACAAATATCACCTTCTCAGAGTCATCGCCTGGATACCATGAGTTTTAGTTTCCTGTGGCTGCTCTAACAAATCACCACACATGAGGCAGTTTAAAACAACAGAATTGTATTCTCTCACAGTTCTAGAGGCCAGAAGTCCAAATTAGTTTAACTAGGCCAAAACAAGGTTTTTGGCAGGGTCATACTCCTGCCAGAAGCTCTAGAGGAAAATCTGTTCCTTGCTTCTTTCACCTTCAGGCGGCTACTGGCATTCCTTAACTTGCAGTAGGCTCACTCTAATCTTCAAAGCCAACATCTTCAAAAGTCTCTATTCTCTATCTTCACTTTGCCTTTTTTGTACGTGTCAAATTTTCTACTGCTTTGCTTTTTTAAGGATACTTAATGAATGCATTTAGGACTCACTCTGCTAACCCAGATAACCTTCCCATCTCAACATCCTTAGCTTAATCACACTTGCAAAGCAATTTCCATATAAAATAACATTTAAAACTTCAAGGATTAGGACCTAACATCTATGGTACCATTACTATATCTATACACCTTTTTTTGCTTTAAATTCCCCGGAATACCACGTATGCTTGCCGATACATCCCCCATTTTTGCTTTATTCTCCTCCAAATAATTGCAATTACCAAAGACAATAACTGTACTATATGTTACTTATTAATCTTGTTTTTTTTTCACTCCATTAGCTGCAAACTTTAGGAAATCAGAATTTTTTATTTTTAAGCTATTATGGATAAAATTTTTGTCACTTAATAGTTCCCCAAAAATATTTATTGACGAGACAAGGAAGGATGGAAGGAAGGAATAATTTATGTCATAAATGTTTTTCCTTTAGTTTTGGTTATAGAACATAAAATTAGACCCTATAAGTAAATTCTATAGTAGTAAATTTTATACCACTAGCATTTTTTTAACACTGTACAACCCTTTTCTGGGAATATTCTCAAGGGGTTTATCTGCCTAATAATAATTGATAAAACATATATCTCTTTCAAGCCTGGATGAGACAATTTGAGCCTATTATATAATGTAAGGCATTCAGTAATCCTAGGGTGTCATATAATGCTTTTATTCGCCATTAATATAGATGCCAACACTTTGACTTTAGAAGTAAGTGATATTTTAACTCTGGGTTCACCAACTCCACTTGTAAAATTCAATGATTTTACTCTTTTTAAAAATATCCACTGCAAAGAGAGACAAAGAAGACAGAGGCAGGGAAGAAGAGGACATTTTCTAAGAATTGACACTTAATTAGCTATTAAATGGTGCCAAGAAAGTTAGATGTCCACACCTGGGTTGATGGAGAAAAAAAAGGCAGGATAGCCCAGAGCCAGGTGTTGGAGCCCAAGCAGGGTGAGAAATGCTGCCATTTAGGAAGAATGTGTGGTGACTCAGATGTCAGAGTTGAGCAGAAGAGCAGCTGGGCACAAAATACCACAACCTGAGGGGAGGCTAAATAGGGTTTTTATATAGGGTAGGGATGACCCCCCAACAGTGACAGAGCTTGAGTTGAGTCTAGGTGGGAAGGAAGCCAGTATGGATGTCAGAGTCCAAGTAGGGTGAAGAGAATTTCTTTAAAATGAGGTTGCCTGATACAGACTGTTAGAACACAGAGGAGGGTGTCAAAGTTCAAGGATAAAAAGGGCTTTAAGTAACAAAGGGAGTAGCACACCTATATTAAACATACCTATATTAATACTACTATAGATCAATTATTGGGTTTCATGTCCAAACTACAGAGATATACAAGTTCTAATTCCAACTTCAATCAGAAAACTCAAATGCAATATAGGATAATATATAAACCTGTAATACAATATAGGATAAGAACAATATAGTACTTTACCTCTAGTTGATCATGAAACATGAATCATTGAGTTTTACACTAAGTTTAAGCATTTAATATTTTTTTAGGTGTGTCTAAACCAACTTGAGCTATTGGATAAAAGTATAGAAAAT
This sequence comes from Homo sapiens, assembly GCF_000001405.40. Taxonomy (NCBI): domain Eukaryota; kingdom Metazoa; phylum Chordata; class Mammalia; order Primates; family Hominidae; genus Homo; species Homo sapiens. Next base: position 31,300,208 of record NC_000004.12, on the reverse strand, counting down.
TTATGTCCCTGTGCCTTGACATAATCATGAAAACCTGGACAATGAAAACAAATTAATGCATAGTAAGATAGTTAAAATTAAAACAGAAAAGCTCACATGATGTCTATGGCATCTTAAAGGTGAAATACTCAGATACTCAAATCTTCTATCAAGAAATTGCTAATTAGCTGTAAAAAACAAAAAGTCCTGCAGTAGCCAACACATAGACCTGTAGTACTTTCAGGATTTACTTTAGCTCTCAAGTAAAATACATGTTCATCATGGGCAGGCCCAAATCAATAACTGAGCTGATAATGCAATGGGCCTGGAAAAAGAAGCAAGGGACTATATATTAGGGTAGTTGCAAGCATTAATCAATAAAATATAGTAATATTTTCAAACACAAGGGAATTTTAAAATACACTAGAAAATATCAATTTAACACAAAAGAAGGCAGAGATCTTTGAATACAGGTTAAAATACATACAAGGCACAGAATACAAAGAACAAAACAGCAGACATAAATACTAATTTAGCAGTAATAAGACTAACTGTAAATGGATTAAATGTCTAACTCAAAAGGCAAAAATTGTCAGAATGTATAAAAAACATATACAACTATATACATTTACACAGTAAACAGCAAAAGTCCCAAAGTGGAAAAACAGTTGACGAGTAAAGTAATAGAAAAAGATATATTACACAAGAAGCTACCCAAGAGAGCTGAAGTGACTATACTAATTCATAAGAAATAGACTTTCAGAAAAAAATTGGTCACTAGAGACAAAGTACATTGCATAAGAAAAAGGGTGCCAATCTTTCAAGGTGATTGTATTACTTAGTTTTTATGCTGCTGAGAAAGATATACATGAGACTGGAAAATTTACTGAAGAAAGAGGTTTAACGGACTGATAGTTCAACCTGACTGGGTAGGCCTCACATTCATGGCAGAAGGCAAGGATGACCAAGTCACATGTTACATGGATGGCAGCAGGCAAAGAGAAAGCTTGTGCAGGGAAACTCCCTCTTATAAAACCACTGGATCTTGTGAGACTTATTCACTATCATGAAAACAGCACAGGAAAGACCCAACCCCATGATTCAATTATCCCTCACCAGGTCCCTCCCACTACATATGGGAATTGTAGGAGCTACAATTCAAGATGAGATTTGGATAGGGACACAGCCAAACCATATCAGGCATATAACAGTATACATACATATACACCAAACAAAAGAGTACCAATATAATTTTTTTTAAAAACTGACAGACTTGAAGGTAGAAATAGACAAGTCAGCAATAATAGTAGGAGACTTTTAATAATAGGTAGCACAAATGGGCAGAGGATAAACAAGAATATAGAAAATTTGAACAACACTATAAACAAACTGGAATTAATAGACATCTATAGAACACTACCCCCATCAACAGCAGATACCCACCAGGCACATTACCAAAAATAAACAACGTGTGAGGCTACACAACCAGCTATCATAAATTTAAATGAATTACAATCATACAAAAAAAAGTATCTGGTCTCTGACTGCAATGAATCTAATTTGGGTATCAAAAACAGAATAAAATTTTGGAAATTTATAAATATATACAAATTAAATCACATACCTTTAAATAACAAATATATTATAGAAGAAATGAAAAGGAAAATTAGAATATAAAATAAAAACACAACAAACCAAAACTTATGGGATGCAAAAACAGTACTCAGAGGGCAACTTATAACTGTAAGTATCTCTAGTACATTAAGAAAGAAGAAAATTTCAGGTCAATATATAATCTTTATATCAGAAGTGCAAGGTTGGTTTACTATTAAAAATATGTTAATGTAATATACTATATTAAAAATATAAAGGACAAATATGACATAACCATCTCAGTAGACGCAGGAAAAGCATTTGATGATATCCAACACCCTTTAATTATAAAAATATTCAACAACCTAGACATGAAAAGAAACATCTTCAACCTGATAAAAGCCATCTATTTGTTTAAGAGCCTCAGCTAACATGATACTTAAGGATGAAAGATATATTTTCCTCCAAGTTGAGGGGAAGACATTTCTATTTAGCATTATACTGGAAGTAAGAAATAAAAAACATTCAAAATGAAAAAAAAAAGGAAAACTATATCTGTTTGAACATGGCATGACCTTGTATACAGAAAAATCTAAGGAATCCACTATTAGGATTCCTAATAGAAAAAGAAAAAAAAACTATTAGAACTAATGATACAGTTCATCCACATGAGTGGAAAAAGCAACATACAAAAATCAGTTTTATAAATATTTACTAGCAATTAACAATGGAAATGAAACATTTAAAGAAACAATTCTATTTATAATAAAATTTATTTAAAAAGATGTGCAAAACTTGTGCACAGAAAACCAAAAACATTGTTGAAAAAATTACAGACTATCCAAATCCAGTAAATGACTCTCTATGGTAATATTTATGAATTTGAAGACTTAACATTTGTCAAAATGCCAACTGTTTTTTGTTCAGAAATCAGTAAGTTGACAGAAAATTTCACATAAAAATAACCAAAATAATTTAAAAAAAAAAAAAGTTGGGGGACTCACTTCCTAATTTCAAACTTATAGAGCTATAAAAATCAAGACAAAGTGGAAACATAATAAGGTTAACATATTTTGCAGCTCATACATCTAAGTCTCTAGTATCTAGAATATACAAGAAACTTTACAATTCAACAAGAAAAAGATAAATGATGCAGTTAAACAGTGGGCAAATTATCATGACAAATATTTCCCAAAAAACAGTTATACTAATAGCCAACAAATGCATGAAACGATGCTAAACGTCATTTTCAATACTGGAACGCTAATCCAAATCATAATGTGATATCCCGTTAAATTCACTAGGATAGCTAAAATAAAATTTTTAAAATGTGAGATGAGTTAGTGGAAAATTTCGACACCCTTATACATTGCTAGTAGGAACATAAAATGGTGTGGCCACTTTGCAAAACAGCATGGCAGTTCCTCAAAATAATAAACATGCAGCTATTTATACCCAAGAGAAATGAAAACGTATGTCCACACACAAAAAAAAATGTACATGACTGTTTATAACAGTTTTATTCATAATAGTTCCAAAGTGGAACAACGTAAATATTCATCAACCAATGAATGGATAATAAAATTAGGTATACCAATACAATAAAGTATTATCCTACAATACAAAAAAAAATGAAATAGAGATACATGTTGTAACACAGATAAGCCTTGTAAACATTATGCCAGAGAAAGAAGTCTGACGCAAAGGTTGTGTATTATATGATTAAATTTACGTGAAATGTTTAGAATTGGCAAGTTCACAGAAAGAGAAAGCATATTGGTGGTTCTGTAGGGGTGGGTGTCAAGAGAGTGGGGAATGGCAGCCAATGGGTAGGAACTCTTAAGGAAATTGAAAATGAATAGATATTGGTGATGATTGCACAAACCTGTGAATATACCAAAAACCACTTGACTATACGTTTCAAAAAGGTGCTTGTATGGTGAATTAAACATAACTCAATAAAGTTGTACACAACAATAACAATAAAATGTATTAACCAGCTGGTATTAATAGGAGTTGGTTATACTTGTAAGATTGTATTGTGAATGTGTTTGACTAAGGGCCTAAAGCATAAGATTGAATAAAAGGAAATATGTTTATTTGGCATATATCTGAATCATGCAAAAGCAACATGTCAAACATGTAGATAAGTGGGCGGGTGGCATGATGCATGGACTATGCAGTCTTCCTTCAAAAAAGGACTCATTTAGCTGCAAGGAGGGCTATCAGCTGACAATCTCTATGCAAAGAGCTTCAGGATTCATCTCAACTTTGAAACCCACCCAATGATTGATTATAGTGTAGGTACAAGAGTTTGTCCATTGCTGGCCAATATAGGTCTTCTTTCATGGGAAGTCTTGGCTTTTGACCTCCCAGTTGGGTTGGCCAGCACTATCCAATGTGCATAATGGATGGAGATTCTCCTTGTGCAGTCCTGCTTCTTTCCTCATTTTCTTTTACAGTTCTCTGTTTTGTATCATATTCTGAAGAATGTTGCCATTGAATTTAGCTCCCACTTGTATTTCCCCAATAAACTGTTTGCATGGCTATCTCGCCATCTTCTTTCTATAGAAATCAACTGACACAACACACAATTGACCAAATTTAAATGCAATTATAGTTATATCTGACATATTTCTTTTAAAAAGTTCAAATTTAAGAATGAATTTTTGTCATAAAAACAAATATATACATCAATAAATTGAATTTAAAAAATTTTTAAATATCAATTTTGGAATTCATTGTTTAATGAAATGAACTACTTAATATGACTACATATAATAGCATGTATTTATTTCACTTTCACTGGTGTCATTGTTATTCTGTTGATGATTCAAAAGATTTTTTAAATTGCCATAGTTAAATTAGAGTTGACATGAGTGCTTGAGATTTCTGAGTGTAAACTTGAAGCAGTTCAGTTTTACCATAGAAACAAAATTATCTCCATTTAATTTTAAAATAACAACAATAATAACAAAAGAAATATACTAAATCAGTCCTATAATATGTAATATCAAAAAGAAATATCTAGATTTTACCTGAACATTTAATAAAAATAACTGTTCTCTACCAGGTTATTGTTGTATAGCATTTTTTATTTAAATTTCACAATGAAAATGTAAATAGTTATTTCCCTGATTAAAAGACTGCATGTTATATTCAAGCAAATAAAGATTTTTAAAAATAACAACTTGGATATTCCTCTATTAGAAGAGTCAGTTTTGGTGCCATTATGTATTTTTTTAAACCTGCCACCATAACTTTTTTACTCTTGTGATTAAAAGTCAGTCATCCTCACTCTTTACCACATTTATAGCTCAGCCCACAGGACATTGGCAACGGTGCTATGACCACAGGCTGTTTCTTGAATCAGAGGTAATGAGCAGGCTCATGTGCCAATTCTTGAACAATGAGTTTGGTTTTCTGGCATTTCTGGAAGAAATTTTCATCTTTTGCCATTTTTTTCTGCTCTCGTCTCTCCACAGCATTCACAGAGCACAGATTTTGACCATCTGGGGTCTACACATAGAACAGTATGAGACACGACGCACTTGCTGAAAACAGATTTATCTCCTATTTTAGGAATTGTAGTAATAAAATTATGTAACCCAGGCTCTTACGGATTGACCTGGGTCACCAAAAAACCGGTATGTTGGATTTTTAAACCCCATATCTGAGAATGTGAACTAATTTGGAGATAAGGTCTTTATAAAGGTAATCTAGTTAAAATGGAGTCATTAGTGTAGACCCTAATCTAATATAACTGGTGTGCTTAGGAAAAGAGAAAATTTGGACACAGAGACAGACATGTGAGGGAAGATAATGTGAAAACACAGAGGGAACACAATCTACAAATAAAGAAATGCCTGAGGCTACCAGAAGCCAGGAGAGAGATATGGCACCGATTTTCCCTCACAGCTCTTAGAAGGAGCCAACTCTACTAGACAATAAATTTCCATTGTTTATGTCACAAAGTTTGTGATACTTTGTTGCTGCAGCTTCAGAAAACTAATGCACAGGCTATGTTTAATTCATTGTAGGCTCACCTGGATAATCTAGGGTAATTTCTCAATCTCAAAGTCTGTAACTATAATTACACCTGCAAAGTCCCTTTGGCCACACATGGTATCATACTTAAATGTCCCAGGGATTAGAGTCTTTATTCTGCTTACCATAATTAGTTATGGCATTTGCTTAATGACTATTACATTTAAAATGATAAAATAAAGTTTAATTCTAAAATTTCAGCATCAGTGTATATACTCAAGAAAGTAAAGAAAGATGTAGAAATTTAGGCATGCAGCCAGGCTCAATGGCTCACGCCTGTAATCCCAGCACTTTGGGAGTCTGAGGTGGGCAGATCACCTGAGGTCGGGAGTTGGAGACCAGCCTGACCAACATGGAGAAACCCTGTCTGTACTAAAAATACAAAATTAACTGGGGGCAGTGGCGCATGCCTGTAATCCCAGCTACTTGGGAGACTGAGGCAGGAGAATTGCTTGAACCCAGGAGGTGGAGGGTGTGGTGAGTGCCATTGTACTCCAGCCTGGGCAATAAGAGCGAAACTCCATCTAAAAAAAAAAAAAAAAAAAAAAAAAAATTAGGCATGCATACATTTACCTTAGATTGTCACTTAGAAAATTAAATTAAAATTTAATATTACAACAAACAGACTTTATTTTAAATGAAAACTTAATGCCTTAGAGAAATTGAGTCCAAATAAAACAAACTGAATACCTTGCATACTTAGTACCTTAAAAAATAATAAACATTCTTATTAAAAATCATTTAGACATAGCTGGCAGCTGATTTTTCCATTTCCTTTCTCACTGGAAATTATAAGGATTGTCAAATTGATCAACTTTTAAAAACCTGAATTCTAATAAAAATAATTTATTTCCTTTATCTACATTTACAAAGGAAATTAATAACATATTAAATAATTATACCATTAAAATTGTAATGTGGATATGGAAGCAAAAATATGAATAATTGTGAATATTTCAATAAAGTTAATAGCCTACTGTCCATATTTTTGGAAATGTATTTTAGTCCATTAATATTATAATGGTATACATTTAAGGTAGATCTGCCAATGTCTTAATATATATACTATGTAATATTCGTGTTATAAACTTTGGTTTATTGTAGTTCTCCACATAATAAATATAAATTGAACTACAAATAAATATTATTTTCTCTACAGAAGGTGATTGGTATTAAGGAGGTAACATAAGACACTTTATTATATTTATTAAATCAACCTTAGAAGGCACAGCTCTGACTATTTCAGGACTCGGCATACAAATGATCACTCTTTCTTTCATGTCCCAGATAATGGAACTGCTATTTCCAGGGCATATTTGGAAAGTGCATAAATTCAAACTCTCTTTGCCCAACAAAAAATAATCACTACAGTTTAAATCAAGGTAAAAATAAATTCCAAATCCATTTATATCATTAACAGAGTCAACATGAGAAAAAAACTAATGCTACTTTTATGGTTTTAAAATGTGCAATATATGTTTTAATCAATTAAGTTTTGGTAATATTTTAAAAGTATTTATACTATTCAGACTTAAAAGGAGAGATAGACTGCAATACAATAATAGTAGGGTGCATTAACACCCCACTTTCCACATTGGACAGACCATCTGGAGAATAATATTGACAAAGAAACACTGGACTGTAGACCAAATAGACCTGGTGTATATTTACAGAATAATCCTTCCAATTGCTGCAGAACACACATTCTTCTTCTCAACTGCATCTGAAACATTTTTTAGACTAAATCACATTAGGATACAAAACAAGCCTTAACAAATTTAAGAAGACAGAGATCATATCAAGTATCTTTTACCATAATACTATAAAATTAGAAATCAACAATAAGAAAAACTCAGGAAACATTACAAATATATGGACATTAAACAACATATTCTTCAACAATGGGTCAAAAGAGAAATTAAAAGAAAAATTAAAACTATGCTAGAAATAAATGAGAATGAAAACACATCGTACCAAAATCCATAAGCCATAGGAAAAGCAGTTTTAAGAAAAAAGTTTATATAATGGTAATAAATTCCCATGTCAAAAAAGAAGAAAGAATTTTAATAAACAACCTAATGATTTGTATCAGGGAACTAGAAAAATAAAAATAAATCCAAAATTAGCAGAAGAAAGGAAATAATAAAGCACAGAGAAGAAATAAATGAAATAGAGACAAAAACATTAAAAAGAGCAAAACAAAGAGTTGTTTTTGAAAAGACAATAACAAGTCTTTAGCTAGACTAAGTAAAAAAAGAGAGAAGAGCCAAAGAAATCAGATCAGAGATGAAAGGAGAGACATTACATCTGATACCACAGAAATACAAAGGATCACAAGAGACTACTATAAACAACTACACACCAACACATTTGATAATATAGAAGAAACAGATACATTTCTGGACACATACAACCTACTAAGATTAAATTATGAAGAAATAGAAAATCTGAACAGACCAATAGGAAGTGAAAACGTTGAGTTGTTAATAAAAAGTCTTTCATCAAAGAAAAGCCCAGGACTTGATGGCTTCACTGTCGAATTCTACCAATCATTTAAAGATAAACTTTAAATTTTCCTCAGAATATTCCAGAAAACCAAAAAGGAGGGAATATTTCTAAACTTATTTTACAAAGCCATCATTATTCTGAGTCCAAAACCAAACAAAGACAAAACAAAACAAAAAATATAAAACCACAAACCAATATTACTGATGAACAAAAATTAAAAATTTCTCAATGAAATACTAGCAAACTGAATCCAAGAGCACATTAAAGAGATCATTCACTATCATCAAGTGGTATTCATCCCAGGGATGTAACGATGTTTTAACATATTCCACTCAATAAATGTGACACACCACGTTAACAGAAAGACAAAAACCATATGATTATCTCAATAGATGTGGGGAAAAAATTGGATAAAATTCAACATCACTTCATAACAAAAATTCTCAGCAAACTAAACATACCATGTATCTTTCTCAGAACAATTAAGGCCATATATAACAAAACTGACAGATAATATAATACTTCATGAAGATATGCTGAAAGCTTTTGCTTACGGATAAGGCACATGCCTTTCACCACCACTCTTAACATAATAATGGAAGTTGTAGCCAGAGCAATTAGGCAAATGAGAGAAATAAATAGCATTCAAACTGTAAAAGAGGAAGTGAAATTGTCTCTGTTTGCACATGACATGATCTTATGTAAAGAAACCCTAAAGACCCCATCAAAACAAACAAACAAAACAATTAGAATGAACAAACAAATGTAGTAAAGTTACAGGATACAAAGTCAACATACAAAAATCAGTAGTGTTTCTACATGCTAAACATGAACTAAAACAATGTCATTTATATAAAGTTAGTGGAGAGAAAGGACAAGAGACAGAGACCCAAGGTCAGGCAAGTGAGTTTATTAACCTGCTGGGCTGCTCCACCAGTCAGAGGAGGCAGCCCTGAGCTTACAAAATGAGGGCTTTACATGGGGGAGAGAGACCCTGGGGTTGCTTGTCAGTTAACTTTACCACATATCATCTCGTGACCGGCTTACAATATAGGAATTTACAAGAGGGTGTAACTTAGGTTTATCTAAGTTTCTTGTGACCTCCCCCATGCCACGTGGAGGGCTGTAAGCAAGTCTGGTGACCTTGCTGTAGTGCCTAGATGAGGGTTCAGGAATGCAGCTGCAGAGTATTCAGGGCAAGGATCAGCTGCATTGAAGTGTGTGGGGTGGGAGGTTCCTGGGGTAGCTTGTCCCTAATGGTTTACAACAGTTACCAAAAACAGTTACCCAGTAATAAACCTGACCAAGGAGGTGAAAGATCTCTACACTGAAAACTGTAAAACTTTAATGAAAGAAATTGAAGAGGACACAAATATATGAAAACATATCCCATGTTCACGGAATGAAAAATTAAAACTGCTAAAATGGCCACACTACGCAAAGCAATGTATAGATTTAATGCTATATCTATCAAAATGTCAATAACATTCTTCACAAAGATAGAAAAAGCAATCATAAAATACATATGAAACCACAAAGGACACCAAATATTCAAAGCAATCCTGATGCCTGGAGGCATTACTATCTGACTTCAAAATATATTGCAAAGCTATAGTAACCAAAACATCATGGTACTGGCATAAAAACAGGCACATAGACCTATGGAACAGCAAAGACCCCAGAAAAATATCCACGTATTTACAGCAAACTGATTTTGAACAAAAGTGTCAAGAACACACTTTGGAGAAAACAGAGTGTCTTCAATAAATGGTGCTGGAAAAATGGAATATCTACATGAGGAAGAACAACACTAGAACTCTACCTATTACCATATACAGAAAAATAAAACTCGAAATGGATCAAAGGCTTAAATGTAAAACACAAATCTGTGAAACTACTAGAAGAAAATTTAAGAAAAATGCTTCATGACATTAGGCTGGGCAAGGATTTTTAAAATAAGACCTCAGAAGCACAGGCAGCAAAAGCAAAAATGGATAAATGAGATTACATCAACCTCAAAAGCTTTCATATGGCAAAGAAAATTTGTGAAAGATTGTGAAGAGACAGCATACAGAATGGGAGAAAATATTTGCAAACTATATATCTGACAAAGGGTCGATGTCCTAAACATGTAAGAAATTTAAACAACTAAACAGCAAAAATAAAGCCTGGTATGTAAAAATGGATAGAATACCTTAACAGACATTTCAGAAAAGAAGATATACTAATGACCAATAGTTGTATAAAAAATGCTGAATATCACTAATGATCAGAGAAATGTGAATCAAAACCAGAATGAGATATAACTTCACTCAATTTAGAATGGGTATTACCCAAAAAATGAAAACAAATATTGACAAGGATGCAAAGAAAACAGATGCTTATCACTGTTGGTGAGATTGTAAACTAGTGCAGCTATTATAAAAATACAGTAAGGAGGTTCCTCAAAAAATTAAAAATAGAAGTACCATATGATCCAACAATCCCGCTTTGGGGATACATTCAAACAAAATAAAAATCAACGTGTCAAAGAGATACCTGAACTCTCACGTTTATCATAGCACTATTTACAAAACCCAAGATATAGAATCAAACTATGTGTTCAACAATAAATGAATAAATAAAGAAAATGTGATATATATACATAATTGAATACTATTCAGCCATAAAATGTAATAGAACCCTGTCACATGTGACAACATGGATGTACCTAGGGGTCATTATATTAAATGAAACAAGCCAAACAGAGAAAGACAAATCCTGCATGATCTCACTCAGATGTGGAATCTTTAAAAAAAATTGACATAATAGAAGCAGAGAGTATAACAGAGGTTATCAAAGATATGGGAGGGGAGGGTAGATTTGGGGGGGTAGGGAAATGTTGGTAAATGGGTATGAATTTACAATTAGGTAACAGGAATAAATTTTAGTGTTCCTTTGCACAATAGGGTGACAATGGTTAACAGTAAAACAATGTCTATTAATATAGTGTAGAAGAGAGGCTTTTGAATGTTCTCACCACAAAGAAATGATAAATGCATATGGTGATTGATACACTATTCTAATTAAATCATTGTACAACATAGATATTTATCAAATCATCAAATTACAGTGTGTCAATTAGAAAATAAATAAATAATATTTTAAAAATGAGAGAAATTCTGCAATATATCATGTTTTAATCAACTATTAGTAATAATTCTTTTAGATGTACTCTAGAAAGAATAAAATAATAGAGAAAATGGTAACTACTATGAAAATAAATTTAATTACATATACACACAGTTGTAAAGAAGTATAAAAGGATGATTAACAAATGATCTTTAAAGAAAACATTAAGACAAAGTTTTATGAGGAAATTGATGGGAAATACCAATTAAAGGAGAAAAGAGGAAGAAGTAACACTTCCCAGCTTCAAGGACGAAATTTTCCTTATGTTTCTAAAAGGATAGAGTAGAAAATAAAACCCTAAATCATTTATATTCCATTGGCTAGAATTGAAAAATGATGACACAGTTTTATTTGAAAATATTAATATTTACTATAGTATAAACATTACATCACTGCATGATTTTAAAATATGTATGTCAATTTTAATGCTCGTGGAGATTACATAGTTTCTCAAACTTTACAAAAAAGTTTGAAGACTATTAGTCTAAATTTAGAATTTAGACTTAAATTCAGATAATCATTTATAGACCCCCATCTGTCATGTTAAATTTTCCTTTTGGAGTCCTCTGTATCTTTTTTTTTTTTTTTTTTTTTTTTTTTTTTTTTTTTTTTTTTTTTTTTGAGATGGAGTCTCGCTCTTGTTGCCCAGGCTGGAGTGCAATGGCACAATCTTGGCCCACTGCAACCTATGCCTCCTGTGTTCAAGCAATTCTCCTGTCTCAGCCTCCCAAGTAGCTGGGATTAAAGGCACGTACCTCCTCGCCTGGCTAATTTTTTTTATTTTTAGTAGAGACGGGATTTCACCGTGCTAGCCAGGATGGTCTTGAACTCCTGTCCTCAGGTCATTTGCCCACCTCGGCCTCCCAAAGTGCCGGGATTACAGGCGTGAGCCACCCCACCCAGCCTGGCGTCCTCTGTATCTTATTCTGCAACTGCAGATCAATTGAAATCCTATCTCCATAAACCCTCCAGATAACAACAAGCTCCGTTAGGCCCAATTTAAAATTTTCTGTTCCTTTTCTGAGCAGTTCTTTATGTAGTAATAGATATTTCATGAATTTTATTCTTTCTTAGAGATTTTTTGAAAGAAAAAATACTTATTTTTAATAGAATGAAATTTAATTCTACTTACAATTACCCTAACGTTTCATTGTACCTTATGTAAATCTAAGATACATTATCGGATTTGAATGATATCTTTCTATACCTTGAAACTTTTTAAAAAAATTTTCCACCTTATTTGCTACGTAAGCTGCTAATCATCAGTATTAATCCATACTGTTGCTATTCAACCATTACTCATGAATTATTCACACTGCATTAAAATAGACTAAAATAATAAGAAAACAGAAGAATGATGTACTCTCTTCAAAGAGTGAAATGAATACCTGTGGTGATAAATACACTAACCACTCTAATTGAATCAACAGTGCAATACATCGTCACTAATGCAAACTTTTGAAGTATTCTTATTACATAGGCTAAAGTATTGCATCAGCTTTCAAGAAACTGTAAAATAAGACCAGAAGCACCATTTTTGCATTTGGCTTTCCAGCTTTCATTGAACAGAGACCAAGTTCACAATTTATTCTTTTCTGCTCTTAAAGGTAAAGAGAAGAAAATTATCAGAAGACACCTCACTATAATTACATGCATCAAAACATAAATGTAAAAAGATAGCAGCGCTGAGTCCAAGCTCTAAAAATGGTGAAACTGATCTTATATAAGTAAAATTCCAGATGATGTGTCTTTAAACAATAATATCGTGAATGAATTTGCTCAAACCCAGCATTTAATGTGTGAATTACATGTTTATAAGGACAAAAATAAATTATGTCATTCTCATCCAAATAGCCAGTCAACAGGAAGGACTTCGTCGTTAGTGTTTTGTGACAAACACCTGGATTATCCCATTTTGCTGAAAGAAACTGGGGCAGTATTTCATTTTAAAAAATGTTCAAGTGCCAAAATGCACCTGATAGAGTTTGTAAGCAGACAAATGCTAAAGACAGATGAATATACAGAGTAGCAGGAAATAGTCAAAATGAATTTATTAATCAGTTAAGTCGTTCTAAATTATGTTTATAAATTTATAAATTAAAATGTTTTTCAATTATGGAGTAAGGAAGATAGTGTGTTCTTTGCCACAAAATTAGCAGCTGTCAAAGGTTTCAAAATATATGTCAGCTATTTTGTTTTAACGATGCAAGTATAAGAAGCAGCAGAAGTAATGATAAGCTAGTACTCATTTGAGATGTACTTGAAATAAGGAATCAGTATTTATAAGATATGATCCAGGGTCATGAATGACAGTAGAAAATGGGTAGTTACATTGAGAGGCAGACTGTTCAATATTTTGACAAGGATGGTGGTGTATGTTGTGGAAACTACATTTGTTATAGATGGAATTGGGTCCCCCTAAAATTCATATGTTGAAGCCCTATCCCCCAACATGATGGTGCTTAGAGATAGAGGCTTTAAGCAGGTAATCAGGTTAAATGAGGTTATAAGTATGGGGCCCTAATCCAATAGGATTGGTGTCCTTGTACAAAGAAGAGGAGACACCAAAATCAGCGCTCTCTCTCTCTCCCTGTGCACACACAGAGAAAAGGCCATGTGAGAACACAGCAAAAAGGCAGCCATCTGAAGCCTGGCACCCTGACCTTGAACTAATGGCCTCCAGAACTGCGAGAAAATAAATTTCTATTGTTTAAACTACCCAGTCTGTGATATTTTGCTATGGCAGTCATAGAAGATTAATGCATGTAGTATAAAAGTGATTGAACTAAATTCACATGCACAAATGTAAGTAAAATTAAGAAAATTTACATAAGATCAGTGCATCATGTCAATATCCATATCCTACTCATTATATTGTAATATGGATTTGAATAATGTTATCGTTGGAGGAAAAAAAAAAAAACTCAAAAAAGAGGGTGGGTGTCCATTGGACCCAGATGGTAAATGATAATGAGAATTTTCCTGAAATACAAAATTTTAAGCTCATGCAAAACTGCTCAGCCCTGAGCTCCACACATTAGAGGAACTCACCTTGGTACTCTTCTGGCCACATGCCACCCATGAATCAAGGAATTCATAGGGCCAAGAAGACATGGCCATCGTATGTATACTTGAGACCCCAGAAATCACTTCCCAAACAGCCTGAACTTCCAAGGCCTTCAGGGACCTCCTCTTTGAGTCCATCCTCAGAACAGCAGATTATGCTAGGCCTGTTCAAAAACCTAGAACTATGAAAGGACCAAGGAAATACTATGTATTAGTCCTTTTTCATACTGTCATAAAGAAATACCAGAGACTGGGTAATTTATAAAGGAAAGAGGTTTAATTGGCTCACAGTTTCACATGGCTGGGGAGACCTCAGGAAACTTACAATCATGGTGGAATGTGAAGGGGAAGCCAGCACCGTCTTTAGAAGGTGGCAGGACAGAGAAGAGCAAGAGCACAGGGGGAAGAGCCCCTTATAAAACCATCAGATCTCATGGGAACTCACTCAGTATCACAAGAAAAGCATGGTGGAAACCACCCCATGAATCCAGTCTCCTCCTACCAGGTCCTTCCCTCAACACATGGGGATTATGGAGATTACAATTCGAGATAAGATTTGGGTGGGGACACAGAACCAAACCACATCAGGCTATTAGAGCAGGTATGGATGAAACTTAAATACTTGTCCTGTTGTCTACTGTGTGTGCACGAGATCCTAACCAGTGAGCACTGGAGCTGCAGTTAGAAGGGGGAAGAGATGGCTCTGTGGGTTAGCTCACTCCACATGGTCACAAAAATTCTAAATTCAAACCTGTCTTTCCAAGTCACTCTAAAGATGTATTTGTCAAGGTTTCAGATTTGTTGTCATGCTTTATAACCTGTAAGCATTAAGACATATGCTATTTGGCCCCCATTTGTACTTTTTACTTTGACATTCACAAATATTAAATGCAAATTTGGTTGAAATAATCATAATTTATTGGAAAATTTTAAATTTATTTTCATTAGCTTCTTGACTCCTGTGTAAATATATTACCTTTTCCCAAAGGACTATGTTGAAAAAATACTTTGGAAGAAACAAACGCATTGTTCCTCCTTGTACATTCCTACCAAGCAATGGATATTTACTTGAGTAAGTCAAGCTCTTTAAGCTACTATTTAGTGAAAAAGTTCTATTTATTTTTCAAAATGACTACAAGCAGCCTCGTAGGTAGAAAAAGTACTGATGATAATATTCCATTAAAAAAAACTGAGGAG
The DNA here is from genome assembly GCF_000001405.40 of Homo sapiens. Lineage (NCBI taxonomy): Eukaryota > Metazoa > Chordata > Mammalia > Primates > Hominidae > Homo > Homo sapiens. The sequence goes on along the minus strand of NC_000004.12, from coordinate 31,284,647 downwards.
AATTCTGCTGCTCAAAGCAGATTGAAATAGAAGATCAGTGAAGGAAACTGAGGCAAGAAATAAGAAACAAAAGGAAAAGAAGAGATGGAGAAAGACAAAAATGGAAGACCTGAAATATTAGATCCTTAATTCTACCTCCACCTATGCCAGGAAGTTACTAAATAATTTTTAACCAAACAATTCACTTTTGAAATTCTCTGCTCCACTAATAAAAACTCATTTTATTATGGGAAAATAGAGACCAAGATTAAAAATTAGGATTCCCAAATGAAGTTCCAACCCTGAGTGATGTGTCAGTTTGACCTTGGAATATGTCATATTTTTTCTGTAATAGTCAATTTGCATTTATTTTTATAATGTTTTAAAATATAAAGCTAATAAAAGTAATGCATGTGCTTACTCTGGAAAGTTTTGGAAATATATGATGGTATAAAAAGGAAATATAAATCAAGTACCCAGAGATAACCAGTATTAATAATTTGATATATACCTTCCTTTCATTTCTTCTAATGAATGGTCCTGTTTTAATGCTTTTTCCACTTCAAATTGTGAGCCTTTTCACATCTCTTAAATATTCTCTTAGAGTATCCTTTTTATTATACGAATAAATATGCCAAAACACAGTCTGTAATGTGTTTACCCTTTCTCGTATTTTGGACATTTAGATGGCTTCCAAATATTTTACTATTCTATATAATAGTCAGATGAAAATCTCTATACATAAATCTTTGAGTTTATGACTACTTACCTAGGCTATGTTCCATAAAGAAAGGATTACAGGGTCATAAAGTATGACCTTTCTGACAAGCTCTTGATAAGAATTCCCAAATTGCTCAAGCCTCAGTTCATTGGTAAAATGAGAAGCTTGCATTAGATGATTTCAAAAGCGCTTCTCTCAGCTGTAAAATTCTATGACTCTACGACTTTTGCCAGCTCACCATGGACTTTGTGTTAAGAAGTCTATGATTTATTAATCATATAATGTTCTCTGACCCTTAATAATATCTCAAAAACAATATTGCATTCTATTTATCTCTATATTTTATGCAGTGGATTTAGAGCTTGATTTGTTACATTCCCAAATACTGACTTTGATGCAAAGATTTAAGTGTAAATGGTTTATTGGGGAAATAATCTCAGGAAAAACTAGTAAAGGTATAGAAGAAACAAGGTAGAAAATGGGAAGAAGCCAAGAAAGTCCCAGGCTCAATCTGACCTCATGATATCTGCTAGAGGAATCAACAAATTGTGCTGTATGCATTGATTTGTCTTTCTCTCCAACTTCAGTTTTGTCCTGGTTCCAGCTATGTTAAATCTTTCCCTTCCTCAAATATACTAAATTCCCTCCTGTGTCAGGACCTTTGCATATGCTACACTGTCTGCCTGGGGGGTTGTTCTATTTTTTGCCTAGCTAATCTCTCTACATCTCTCAGAACTCAGCATCAATACTGTTTCTTCTTCTTTTTCCTGATGATCTATCTATAGTAGATGCCTTCTGCCAGGTGACCTTTTCTGTATTTACTTCATTCTTCTTCTCATATTGTAATGATTTTGTCTACTTCTTTCTTTTTGGCTTTGCTTTTAACTTTTTATTTCAAATTCTCATTTTATTGTGGTTATAGATTTAGAGGGTACAAGTGCATATTTCTTACATGTATTTATTGCTTTGAGTGCACCCATCTCCTGAATAGTGAACATATTGTACTCAACAGGTAATTTTTCAACCCTCAACCTCCTTCTACCTTCCCATCTTTTGAAGTCTCCAATATCTATTATTCCACTTTGTACGTCCATGTGTACACATTGTCTAGCTCTCACTTCTAAGTGAGAATGTGTTATTAGATTTTACTGAGTAGCTGGGATTACAGGCACACTCCACCACTCCCAGTTAAGTTTCTGAGTTATTTCACTTAGGAAAATGGTCTCCACTTCTATCCATGTTACTGCCAAAGACAAAATTTTATGCTTTTTATATGGCTGAGTAGTGTTCCATGGTGTGTGTGTGTGCATGTATGTGTGTGTTTATGCATGTATGTGTGTATACATATACCTCATTTTCTTTTTCCAATCCTCCATTGGTGGACACGTAAGTTGATTCCGTATCTTTGCTATTGTGAGTAGTGCTGCCATAAGCATATGAGTGCAGGTATTGTTTTATATACTTATTTATTTATTTCCTTTTGTGTATACACCCAATAGTGGAATCGCTGGATAGAATGGTAATTCTATTTTTAGTTCTTTGAGAAATCTCCATACTGTTTTCTATAAAGATGGTACTAATTTATATTCCCACCAACAGTGTATAAGCATTCCCTTTTCTCCATACCCTCACCGACATTTGTTGTTTTTTGACATTTTAATAATAGCCATTCTGATAGATAGAAGATGATGTCCTACTGTGATTTTAATTTACATTCCTCTGATGATTAGTGATGTTGAACATTTATTGATATATTTTTTTGGGTCACTTGTATGTCTTCTCTTGAAAAAATGTTTGTTTATGTCATTTGTCCACTTCATAATAGGGTTATTGGCTTCCATCTTTTGATTTTTTTTTTTTTTTCTTGTTGAGTTGTTTGAGTTCCTTGTAGATTCTGGATATTAGCCCTTTGTCAGATGCATATATTGCAAATATTTTTTCACATCCTGTAGGTTGTCTGTTTACACTGTTGATTGTTTCTTTTGTTGCACAGCAGATTTATAGTTTAATAAAGACCCATTTGTCTACTTTTGTTTTGTGTTGTGTTTGCTTTTGAGAATTTGTTAATTTTTTTTGCCTAGGCAAATGTACAGAATAGTTATTTCTAGGTTCTCTTCTCGGATTTTTATAGTTTTAGGTTGTACATTTAAGCATTTAGTCCATCTTGAGTTAATTTTTGTATATGTGAGCAGTATAAGTCCAGTTTTGTTCTTCTGCATGTGACTATCCAATTTTCCCAGCATGATTTATTGAATAGGGTGTTCTTTCCCCAGTATATATTTTCACTGAGTTTGTGAAAGATCAGTTGGTTGTAGGTATGTGGCTTTATTTTGGAGTTTTCTATTCAGTTTCATTGATCTATGTGTCTACTTTTATACTACTATCATGCTGCTTTATTTACTATAGCTTTGTAGTATAATTTGAGATCAGGTAATGTGATGCTTCCAGCTTTGGGTTTGTTTTGTTTTGTTTTGTGGCTTAGGATTGCTTTGGATATTTGGTCTATTTTGGGTTGCACATAAATTTTAGGATTGTATTTTCTAATTCTGTGAGAAATAATGTTGGTAATTTGATAGAGATTGAGTTAAATCTGTAGACTGCTTTGAGCAGTGTGATCATTTTACTGATATTGTTTCTTCAATCCATGAGCATGGGATGATATTCCATTTGTGTCATCTACAATTTCTTTCATCAGTGTTTTGTAGTTCTTTTTGTAAAGATCTTTCATTCCTTGGTTAAATATATTTCTAGGTTTTTTTGTAGCTATTGTAAATGGGATTCCCTTTGTGATTTGGTCCTCAGCTGACTCGTTATTGATGTGCAGAAATTTATGTACATTAATTTCTGTACACTACTAATTTCTGTACATTAATTTTGTATCCCAAAACTTTACTAAATTTATTTATCAAATCTAACAGATTTTTGGTGGAGTCTTCAGGGTTTTCTAGGTATAAGATTATATCATCCATGAACAGGAATAATTTGATGCCTTCTTTTCTAATTTGGATGCCTTTTATTTTTTTCTCTTGCCTGATTGCTCTGGCAAGGATTTCCAGAAGTAAAATTTATTAAGTTATAAGACATTTTTCAAAAGAAGACTTACAAAAGGCCAACAGGTATATGAGAAAATGAGCGACACTACTAATCATCAGGGAAATGCAAATCAAAACCACAAAGAAATATGATCTCACCCCAATTAGAATGGCTCATATAAAAAAAACAACAAACACAGATGTTGGCAAGGATGTGGAAAAGAGGGACCCTCATACACTGTTTCTGGAAATATAAATTAGTACAGCCATTATGAAAAAAAATGGAGATTTTTCAAAAAAATTAAAAAACTAAAATTAGAACCGCCATTTCATCCAGCAATCCCACTACTGGGCATTATGCAAAGTAAAGGAAATCAATATGTCAAAGGAATAACTCCACTCCCATGTTTTTTACAGCACTTTTCACGATAGCCAAGATACGAAATCAATGTAAGTCTCCAGCAATGGAAGAATGGATACAGAAAATAAAGTATATTTACACAATTGAATATTATTCTACTATAAAAAGAATGAAATCTTGTCATTTGCAGCAACTTAGATGGAAACTGGAGGTCATTATATTAAATAAATAAGCCAGTTACTAAGAGACAAATAGTGCATGTTCTCACTCATATGGGAGCTAAGAAAGTTGATCTTGTGGATATGGAGAGTGGAATGATGGTTCCCAGAGGCTGGAGAGACTTGGAGTGTGGAGATAAAGAGAGGTTGTGTAATGGATACAAACATACAGATAGAGTCTGTAATAAGTTCTAGTGTTTGATAGCACAGTAGGGTAACAATAGTTAATAATAATTTACTGCATATTTCAAAATAGCTAGAAGAGAAAATTTGAAATATCTCCAACACAAAGAAATGTTAAATATTTGAGGTAATAAATATCTTAATACCTTGATTTGACTATGACACCCTATATGCATGTATCTATCAGAATATCACATGTACTTCACACATATGTAAAATTATTATATATCTCTAAAAAGAAGTTGTAAGAAACACCACTTTGGGAGACTGGCAATTTCTTATAAGCAAAATGTTAAAGATAAAATAAACAATGTTTTTGAATGTCTGTCAGTTCATATTGGTGTGGATATTTCTTCACAGTTATGTTCAGAAAATGAGGATTTGTAAGAAACATCATGGAAGGATTGCTGGGTTCTTCTCAGTGCTTCATATAGGAAATGCACAATGCTGATTTTTCCTATGGTTGGTGATGTTAACATTTATTGCTAAATTAAAATGGTATTTATAAGGTTTCTCCCTGTAAAAGTAATAATTATTTTGGACTTATTAACTAACAAGTAATTGATAAATATTTTGTGAGGAGAAACATCTTTTCCTTCATAAAATTTTTATCCCTCATTTTAATACCCATTCTTACTTGCCTGATACAATTATTACTATGATAATTTCCTAACAGTGAATTCCTAATTGTACCATTTATTCTGTATTTACTGGTATTCCACTGTAAGGCAAAGATTTTCTTATTTTTTTTATTTAGGTGTTTATTCATTTTCAATGTATGTTAGTATGATTTTATGCATTCTAATTGTATTCAGTGATTTAACATTTTTTACTACCTTGCTTTATTTTAATGATCAAATTATTGCAAATTATATCAGTGAGACTCTCTTCAAGCTGTTTCCTGTGTCCTTTTGATGTAATTGTTCTGTGAGCAATTCCTTAGATTCTGGTATTTTCCCTCTCTATTTCTGGAACCAACTACTCCTCCAGGAGTCTTGATCCTTGTTGGTGGAGAATAGTATTCCGGGCATGTTTTTGCTAGAGCTTTGGCTAACTTCCTGAAAACACTCTCATAATAAGCAAATGTTTTCATTCTTTGTCTCCCCAGAAAGCCAACAAGGCAAATGCCTTGAGCATCTCAGGAAACTATCACCATGGTCTTTGCTCTTGACTGGTCTGCTTTTGCTTTGACTGGACCACCTCCACATCTTGGTAGCCATTGCTTTGATTGTGCTTTTTCTTGAGAATTGTATTGGTAAAGCCGTGTCTCCTCTCCTGTTACAATTCTTCAAAGAAATGCTTCGAGATCTTGAATCCATTTGTTTAAAATTCCCATTGAAAGCTTTGCTCCTGTCTGCAGCTGAGTGTAACAGTTTTGGTACCCATCAAGTGGAAACTTTGCTCAATTTTAATGTTTTAGTCAGAATTGTGTAAGCTGAACAAATAGAAATGTCTATGGCATTGGCTATTTATATTTTATTTATTTAATATGTTTTGTGCCATAAATAATTTGTCCTCTCCAATTAGGGCACAATCAAGATGAATTTTTTTCCTTACAAACGGGTTGAATAATTTGTTGCTGTGGGCTTCACCTTCAATATCATCTGGTCCCTTCTTAAAATAAGTATCCTTTTGTAAATGGTTGATTTTTTCAGGACTTTGTCCCTTTAAACTTTTTGTAAAGCATCAACGATTTCATCATTTTTTCCCCCAAGCTTCACCATAAATTTGGGGTTTCTTCTTGCTTCAATTTTAGCAGAATTCATGTTGCTCTGATAGGGGCTATTTTTAAACTGATATCTTATCCTTATTAGGGCCTCCAAGCTGATCCTGTTCTGATATGTTATAATAAGTTAGTATAAGTTTATTTTGATGCCAAAAATATTTTTAAATCCATGCATAGTTTTTTTTTAAATATGTATGTTTCCATGAGTTTTGTTTTTATAAATTTAAGTGGTACAAGTACAGTTTTGTTACATGGATACACTGTGTAGTGGTGAAGTCTGGGCCCCTATGAACTTTTTAAACGCCCTCATATATACAGATATATGTGTGTGTATGTATATGTAGAGAGAGAGAGAACCAATAGAAATCAGCCGTTTATAAAAGGATACTCATTTTTTAAAATTATACTTTAAGGTCTGGGCTACATGTGCAGAAGATGCAGTTTTGTTACGTAGGTATACATGTGCCATGGTGGTTTGCTGCACCCATCAACTCGTCACTCATCTTAGGTATTTCTCCTAATACTATCCCTTCCCTAGCTCCCCACCCTCTGACAGGCCATGGTATGTGATGTTCCCCTCCCTGTGTCCATGTGTTATTGTTCAACTCCCACTTATGAGTGAGAACATGCGGTGTTTGGTTTTCTGTTCTTGTGCTCATTTGCTGAGAATGATGGCTTCCAGCTTCATCCACGTCCCTGCAAAGGACATGAACTCATCTTTTTTATGGCTGCATAGTATTCCATGGTGTATATGTGCCATATTTTCTTTATCCAGTCTATCACTGATGAACATTTTGGTTGGTTCCAAGTCTTTGCTATAAGATACTCATTTTAAAAGGCGACTAGAGTATGTTGAAGGTGAATCCCACAATGACAGATTGTGTACATCCATTTATGAGGGAAAAATAATACACAAACATTTTTATATTCACATACACACACGCACGCATGGGAGAGAGAGAGAGAACCAATAGAAATGTCTGTAGCTAAAACTACAGGCATTTCTATTAGCTACAGACATTTCTATTAGTTAGTGTTAGTGCCATTACTCATTTGTCCTCTTCAATTAGGGCCCAAACAGGATGAATTTTTAACAAGATCAATAATATATATGTGTATACACACACACATGCACATGCACATTTATATGGTACAAATACACACACACACACAAACACACACAGATAGATAGATAGATAGACGATAGATAGATAGATAGACAGATAGATAGATGTTAAACCATGAATTGGCACATATATATCCATTCAAATTCAACATCACAGGTTTATTTTTGCCTTCTTTTTTCCCCCCATAAATGTGTAACTTCTTTATTTTACAATGATAAACTTGCCTTTCTTTATTCTCATTTTCTTTATTTACTCAATGTGCCACTACATAACTAGTCTCCTAACCATGAAGACCTGTGCCAAAAAATTATTTTACTACAACCAAAGAAAAAAAGAGTGAAAGAAAGAGAGGGAAAGAGAGAAATATTATTTTCTACTAGAATACTCTCAATATTAAGTTCATATTAAAAGCTCAATTATATTTATTGAATCAAGGAATAAATACAATTGTGTATGTCATAGAAATCTAGCAGTACTCTGTAATGATTAAATAAAAATCAACTATATTTTTATAATAATTACACACAGTAACACAGTTTTCTAATTGCTTAGAACATACCTAGTAGATATTTGTTGGATAGTTAATAGAATTAAAGTTCTGATTTATGTGCTTATAATTACATTATTTTAACAACTTTTCCTATTTGACATATTTCCTATTTCCTATTCCTATTTCCTATATCTTTCCCTATGAAGAATCAATAGTTTGTTTAATAATGAAAGTAATTCTAATAATTTTATTGAAAACAATGTATGATTTTGAACACTTAATGGATTGCTAGAATGCCCTGTTAATTATGTAATGAGGCATATTTCAAAGCAAACAAGCAAAAAACTAGGGGAATTATAGTCTAGAAAAAACAAATCTACAAATAATCAAAGTAAGAAATTGCTATCATATGCTGAATTCTGTCTCTATAAAAAGCAGTACAATGAGCATTTTATTTATACCTATACCGTACAGTAGATATGAGCATTATTTAAAGATGAAGAAAATGCAGATAGAAGTCTAATAATTTGTACAAGGCCATCCAGCAACTGAGGAGTTGAAGCAGAATTCAAATTCAGGCAAGTCTTTACAAAGCCTGTGTACTTAACACTCTCTTCAAAATAATAAGGCCCTCAGTGCCAAGTCAGATTGTGATAGGTAAGATCTTATCTACATCTCCTTTCATATTCAAACCTTATTGTATTGAAAAGACTTCCTCCCTGGAAAAATTCCTGGGCAAGCCTGGTAGGGAAGAACATAATTCAAGTTATAAATTTAAATACAGATTCAAGGTTAATTGGAAAACCAGACATAAAGGAGAGCATTCAGATATAAAAAGGGTCATGTATTTCAACTTGATTAGAAGTGCAAGGAGCTAAATGCTCTTGGCCCAGTCCTATTCACTCTTCTCGTTTAAACTTGATACCTCATCAATTATACCTCAATAAAGCTGAAAAAATATTGTACTTCAACCACAGAACTATTATAAAAATCAGACTGGTATGGCTTTATTTCTGGAACAAAAGAGAGAATAAAAGAAAAAGGCAGGAGAGAAAATAAATCAAATAGATATATGAGAACTATGATCCATGCACATTGAACTTTCTGTTCAAATGGTGCAAGCCCTTTTCAGCTTCAAGACCTTTAGATGAGCTGTTTACATACTCCAGGTCAATTTCTCTGTTCCTGCATGATCAGCTCTTTTTCATCATCTGGTTTCCAGAAAGACCATTTCTACAGCTGGGTCTTCTCTGCGAAACCTATAAGTATACTCCCCAACCTAATTCCTCATCCCTGTTACTTTATAAATGAAAGTGTAACATACAAAATTGCATTGGTTTATTTATAGTGATTTCATATTCTCATATTCTGTAATGCTGTGCTGTGTTGTTTTATTTTTCATTTTTTTCTGTTTACTGATTCTCCAGCTCCGTAGCCTTTCTCACGTGACTAGAAATTATATATTTAGTTATCCAGCACTTAGCATGATGTCTGAGATACATAGATCGATCTATGGATGATACACAGACTGACTCGATAGGTAATTATTGAGTGAATAAAATGTCTATAAATTCCTTGCCCTAATAAAGTTTCAAAAGGTGGACATATTAAGATTATTAGGTACATGTACTCCTTTAGGGCTATGGACTCGGCATCATCTTTGACATAGTAACACCAATGGAAAACATCCAATCAAAATTTTTTAAATCAATTTTTGAGTTAATGTTATAGACTATTTCATCTAGAATGATTTTTTGACATATTTGTCATTTTCATATTTTAACTGAAAATGATATAAAGAAATCATAAACTGAAAGAAAATGAATCCATCTCAGGTCATGCCCTGTGTAATTTCCTGGTTATAAAGGTTGTGACTTCAACTGACTACTTCATGTTATTATTCTGAGAATTTTCATAAATAAGCAATGCCTGCTTTTGGGGCTTAGTATTATCAAGATCCCTAAACATGAATGAAAAATAACTGTACTATAGCTATTAGTGATTTGCTTAATATTAAACAAGTTTGTTGGCCTGAAAATATATATAAGATAAAGTGGCACACCACTACAAAAATCATAATTTGAACAAAATTTCTATACAACTTAAGATAATTCTTTCATTTACTCATTAAAATTTAGAATTTAGGGAATAATGACAACAATTATATGTCAGAAAATGAACAAAAATCATGTTTTCTCAAAATTCAATTAAAATGTGCTAGTACTTATTTTCTTAGGATTCTATGCCATTTTTATGATTTTCTACAAGAGGAAAAGCTGTTAAGAATTAAGACAAATTTGAATAATGTATGCTATAAAAACACATCCTAGAGAAAATAATGTGAGACCTATATAATCTAAATATGTTATCCATATAATCCAATAGGTTAATTATTGTCTTTAATAAATTTAGTTTGTGATGTAAAGATATCACAGATTCCACTGACGATTTTTAAATAATTGTCTTCTGGGACAGGCGCAGTGGCTCACGCCTGTAATCCCAACACTTTGGGAAGCCAAGTCAGGTGGATCACCTGAGGTCAGGAGTTTGAGACCAGCCTGGCCAACATGGTGAAACCCCACTGCTACTAAAAAAAAAAAAATACAAAAATACAAAAATTAGCTGGGCGTGGTGGTGCACACCTATAATCTCAGCTACTCAAGAGGCTGAGGGAGGAGAATTCCTTGAACCTGGGAGGAGGAGGTTGCAGTGAGCCAAGATTGAGCCACTACACTCCAGCCTGGGCAATAGAGCAAGACTCCATCTCAAAAAAACAAATAAAAATTAATGAATAAATAAATAGTTGTCTTCTGAATCAACATTTTCTACAAATTGTGATTCCTCTTAGGAATCTTGTGTCTATCATTGAGGCTGATTCCAACTTCAAGTAATAGAAAATCTTGACTTCCTAACCTAAATATTGAGAAAATGTATTATCTCACATTAAAAGAAATTAAAATTAGCCAGGTGTGGTGGTGGGCGCCTGTAGTCTGAGCTGCTCAGGAGGCTGAGGCAGGAGAATGACATGAACCCGGGAGGCGAAGCTTGCAGTGAGCCGAGATCACACCACTGCACTCCAGCCTGGACGACAGAGCAAGACTCCACCTCAAAAAAAAAAAAAAAAAAAAAAAAAGAAAGAAAGAAAGAAAGAAAGAAATTATGAGGTAAGTTAATTCAGCAGTTTACTAGCATTATCCAGGACTCAGGTTTATTCTGTTTCTTTATACCAACGTCATTTGTTGGCCTTATCCAGAAATGTTTCATTCACAGTTACAGAATGGTTACAAATGGATGATGGGCCTGCTTAACTCAAGGCCTCCTATTTGTACAAATCATGTAGGAAAGGAGTCCCTACATACACATTGCACTAACTAAATCACGACCCATACTCACTCCTAAACCAATCACTGGCAAAATACATATGAGTTTTAGAATAGATTTATTGCGTTTACCCCTGAAAGAGAACGGAATCACAATCCAGTGGGGTAAATACTTGAAACTATTCAGCGTCCTATATACAAGAAACAATCGAGAAGATTGCTGTTAGATAAGCAATGGACTCTCTGCTTCAGTGACTCACGTAAATGCACACAATAACACAAAGAAAGTTGATAAATCCTGTATTCTGAAAATACCAGTGCAAGAATTTGTTCTAAGTGACAGGGATACTACAAGGAGAAGTCACTGCTTACCAGCCCCCAGTTTTCTATCTTTTGTTTTTCATTACTGGGTTTCTCCAGTGGCTGGCAACAGCATTTTAAGCTGTACCCCAGAGAAGTCAAGAATAAACTTCTATCTTCATTATTATGCAGTATGTATTTGAATAGTTTTGTTATTCACATATTTTACTGATATTTATGCTCAGTTCATTATGAACTTTTATAGGTGAGAATGTATGATTTACAATATTTACTGTGGCTCCGTAATGGTTTTATTATGCAGGCATGGTTAAGGTAATAAAACTAAAGCACCACCTCACCTTGAGAGCTTCTTGCTGTCACTGAGTGTTTTATTAAATTTTCTGCGGCCATGGTAGTTAGCTCCAGTGACATGATTCCCCTGTGGAACAAGATTCTGGGATTTTGTAACTCAGAGCAGATGAAGCGATACAATTTCCCCTCTTCCCATTGCTGGATGTAGTGTTTTCTGAAACCAGATCTTAAACATCGGAGATTATTTATTGCTGAATATCATACAGAAGCACGTTTGTCCAACTACAATGAGAAATCCTTTAACAACGAAGATATGCCTTATTCCAATGGCATTTCAGGAAATGAAATTCAAATTTTTGGGCAGTGAGCTGTCCTTTTTGGGAGACAGTGTCTTCCACATTTTCTTGCCTCCCATTAAGAAGGTTAACTGTAGGTAAAACTGGATAGCAGTCATTTATCATACTTCTCATCCTGAAAATCTGCTAATGGTTAACATAATCAAAAGCTTTTCATCCTAAATCATTGTCCTCTTTTTTATTCTCAATGTTTCAATGCTAAGTTATCCTCAATAATCACAATGATAAATCTCTATGAAAGAGAGTATATTGATTGCAAGCTTTTAATATTCCATTTCATATACTTTGTAAACCAATCTCATAATAGCATAGGGAACCTGAAAGAAGACTCTTCATGGAGGCAGATACCCACCCCTCTCTCTCTCACACATACACACACACACACACACACACACAAATATGTATGTATATAGTTAGATATGCGTATATATATAACATTTTATAGAATAAAGTTCAAAAATTATAAATATTCTTTTTTTTTTGAGACAAAGTCTCACTCTGTCACCCAGGCTGGAGTGCCATGGCACGATCTTGGCCCCCCATCAACACAAGCTCAAGCAATTCTCCTGCCTCAGCCTCCCAAGTAGCTGGGATTAGGCACCTGCCACTACACCCAGCTAATTTTTGTATTTTTAGTAGAGATGGGGTTTCCCAATGTTGACCAGGCTGGTCTTGAACTCCTGACCTCAAGTAATCTGCCCACCTTTGCCTCCTAAAGTGCTGGGATAGCAGGCCCAAAATCATAAATATTCTGAAACTCCAAGTAACGAACGTCTCCTCTCCTTTATGTCTGAATTCTAATTTGCCCTGTCTGCTTTAAACTCTGAAGAACATTTTGATTCTGCTTTTATAAAACATCAAAATATGAAAAAGGATATGCCTTTCCCTTTCATTAGATTTTTGGCAATGGCTATCAGTGGTTCAGCTGATTTCAGTTTATTTCTGCAACCAGTTGTTGAGTGTATACTCAGGGCAAGACACAGTTCAAGGTACTGAGAAATACTAAAGAATGAGTTACACCAAGAAGTTTATGACACAAGAAGGGACATTAAGAAATAGACACATATAGGCCAGGCGCGGTGGCACATACCTGTAATCCCAGCACTTTGGGAGGCCGAGGCCGGTGGATCACCTGAGGTCAGGAGTTTGAGACCAGCCTGACCAACATGGAGAAGCCCCGTCTCTACTAAAAATATAAAATTAGCCGGGCATGATGAGGCATGCCTCTAATCCCAGCTCCTCAAGAGGCTGAGGCAGGAGAATCGCTTGAACCCAGGAGGCAGAGGTTGCAGTGAGCCGAGATTACGCCATTGCACTCCAGCCTGGGCAACTCCATTTCAAAATATATATATATATATATAGAGAGAGAGAGAGAGAGAGAGATCATTCATTTAAGTATACCAAAGCAGCCTGTAAAAAGTGATATACATATTTTATAAGTTGAAGATTCCCATCTCTACCACTCACCAGAGGAAGAATTACATGAAACACTTTGTCACTGTTTAATGAATCAAAACATCAGTTTGGTTAGCATTGGAAAGAGAGAGTTCAGTAAGTTGCCCCTAATGCTAGAAAGTGAAGAAGATAAGATTGCTCTTTGATAATTAAATCTTAGTATTAACCCAAGGGGAAGAAGGATTCCCTGAGCAGAAGGACACCACTAAAATGCTAACATAAAACTGAAGGATATATTTTTACAGAAGGAAGAACCATACAGATAGAGATACTTGCCTTCTGTGTTTAATTTAGCCATTGCCTAAGAAAGTGGATATATTGCTCATGGAAATTTGAATATTTCTCATTCTAATGTCCAGGTTATCATATGGACAGGGCTAAATATAAATCACAAGAGAAAATAAATATCTTTTACTACTTATTGACAAGATAGTGCCTATGATTAGATGTTTAGAGTAGCTAATTAAACCTGATGTTATTAAACATTTAACACAGCCAATTCCCCTTATTTTGAATCTTGGCTCAATATACAGTTTTTAATTCCCATAAAAATCTACTTTCTGATATAGTGCTCAATATAAAGCTTTGAGTATTTCCTATCTCTATATTCTGGAGTTTCCATAGCAAATAAAAATGTTGCCTTTTACTGACTCTTTGTCTTCCCCCCTTGAGATTTAATGATACAAATACTCTGGTCCATGGTGACGTTTTATTTCTTGTTATAAACACACATTATTCTGGTGTCTCCCTCAGTCTCACTAGATTTTTAGTTAAGTGTGATTCAAACTCATAGAACCAAGTTTTCCTTGCGTACTGACTAAATTATATTTGGACATTTCATGAACCGCATTCCCTCAGCCTTTCTTAGGACCTAATCATGGCCATTTGCAGATGTACTTCCTCCACTGATCTTTTCAATTAGCAAGCCCTCCAAATTTCGGATTATTTGACTCTACCACTTTTCACTTACATTAATTACAAATGATCATATTTCATTGCTAAACTTAATTCAGCAAGTGACTTAGTTACACACATGGAAATATTAAAGAAAAAAAATCCCTTCAGTGCATTCCTGCTGTAAATATTTGTAGGATATACCCTACTAGGATATTTGTATATCTGCATTTGTTGCAACATATTTGTTTAGCATTTATGCCAAAAGTATACATAATTTATATTTATAATCATCAAGAATTTGATTAACTGAAAGTCAATTTAAATAAAAATTATTTGTGGATATTAAATAGACTATGAGGACAAAAAACATAGTTATTTTCTTCAGAGTTAATGCAATATTTTTAAAGAGTTTTTTCATTTGTTTTTATTTTGTATGTGAAGTAGAACTAATACATACAGTAAAAATTGGAAAAAAAACATTTGCTTAGTGAAACAGAACAAACAAAACAAAGATTATAAAAATAATAAAAGTCACTACAAGAGGAACATAACGTAGTGAAAGAGAAAAAGGCTAAACATTTTATTAGAAGAAAGACTTGATTTAATCATGACTCAGTCCTCCCATGAAAAATTTATTTTGTTTGGAGTAATTTATATAAGTTTTCTATATCTCATTTTCCTTATAGGTAAAATAGAAATAATAGCACCTACCTTATTTTGTTGTCATGGTAATTACGTTAAATGTGATATTTGCAAACTGCCTTGTAAAGTGTCTGCCACTTGGTAAAATTCAATTAATAGTAGATATCAATATTTTAAATATGTATGTGCTTGTAAAACTCTCAATGGTGTAGATACTTTTGTAAGGAGATGGTTTCAGTTCCCTACCTGATAACTTACTACTGACCGAGGTACAGTGTTACAAATTTTGAGTTCAAGAATCTCTGGTGTCTGAGATGGGAAATTATAGGGAGTTTGAGGGATTTGAGGTTGATCAAGGAAAAGACAACCACAATAGCCAATAACACACAATGAGCATTAATGGGTGGTACTTGGACAGGATTGCATGAGATATGAAGACCCTTACAGCATGATACTAGCTGGAGCCTTAGCCCAGGAGCCACCATCCAGAAGAGGAGGGTAAGGGAATTACCAGGGGTGAGGGGAATGGAAGTGGGTGCTTACATGTCTAGGGGATGTTGCTCTGCAGTACATCAGGGAGTCTTTGGGTCAGAGAACTCTGAAGGGTCATAGCAGCTTGGGGCCTTATAACTACAAGGTCTTATCTTATCAATGGGTAACAGTTGTTGGATGAAGTTTTACAGGTAGAATAAAACAAACAAGTTCTAAATGGCTATGAGCTTCTTATGTGGGTTATTTTTTTTAAATTGGATATGTAAAAATTTGGGTTTGATATTGGCAGATTTTTGAACAAATAGGCCTCAAACTATAGTGAAAAAATAAAGCACCTCAGGGCCAATGCACAGAGGCTATCTGTGGCTCATTTATATAAATGTAATTTTATGTTACAAATGTGAATTGGAGGGTCTGTAAGTTATCTACTGAAACTATGGTTTGCATAATCTAACTTGTAAATAATGTGGATTTTTAAAAGAATTTTCTAATATATTGAGTTTTTATTGTTATCAGAAACATGGTTGAAATGAGATAGAATAAGTTTCAGATTCTGGAAATCAATTAATACACAGATCTATTTATAGCAATAGGTCATTGTTGAAAGTGTCAATCTCAGAAAGCAGAAATTATAGAATTAAGTGAAGTTGGCAGACAGGTGGTAGTTATTAAGGAGATAGATCAAGATATACGTATTAGTCCATTTTCACACTGCTATAAAGAAATACCTGACTGGGTAAAATTTATAAGGGAAAGACATTTAATTGAGTCACAGCTCCACATGGCTGGGGAGGCCTCAGGAAACTTACAATCATGGTGGAAGGCGAAGGGGAAGCAAGAACTTTCTTTACATGCTGGCAGGAGAGGGAAGCAAGCAAAGGAGGAAAAACCAAAGCACTTTTCAACCTGCAAGAATTTAGTATTTGAAAAGATATATATCAGCGTGCATTAGGTAGAGGAAGTGCCAAATTAGATAGAGAACACTGAGTTTTTACTGAAAGCCATAAAGTGAAGAATGCAGAGTATGGCAAAAGAGCCAAGAAAAAGGTCAAATATTTTTCTGATGTGAAGGTGGAGACTTAGGGAAGAGGTAAAAAGCGAAGAAGAATGAAGAAAGGTAGATCCTACTCTGAGACTTACTTGGAGCTTTCTTTCTGGTTTCCCTTAGGGCCAACATTCTGCATGGATGAGTAAAGAATTCCAGGTAGGTGGACAAATTCCAGTGTAGAAGACCTTCTTCTATAAACTCTGTGATTAAACTGACTCACTAGCAAATCTGTCCATGAACATCTGAATGTCACAACCTACCTAGCAGTATATACGACCTAATTGAGTTTTAATGTTAAACCTTTGAAATGTGTACTAAATCTAAAAATGATGTGAATTGGCCAGGCGCAGTGGCTCACGCCTGTAATCTCAGCACTTTGGGAGGCCGAGGTGGGTGGATCACAAGGTCAGGAGATGGAGACCATCCTGGCTAATAAGGTGAAACTCCATCTCTACTAAAAATACAAAAAATTAGCTGGTGGCGGACACCTATAGTCCCAGCTACTCAGGAGGCTGAGGCAGGAGAGTGACCTGAACCCGGCAGGCGGAGCTTGCAGTGAGCCGAGATAGCGCCACTGCACTCCAGCCTGGGCGACAGAGCGAGACTCCGTCTCAAAAAAAAAAAAAAAAAAAAGATGTGAATCATTCTATATAAAAATACTTCATATTCACAGACTGGGAAACATACTAGCACTGTGTAAGTACTCATATCTCCATGGCACTTCAGTGAATTCAGTACAAATAAACCTATGTGACATGATACAACCTCTGAAATGCATTTAATATTTTTTTAGAAAAAATTTTACCTGGATTCTGTCTAGCAGTGAGTGGGCCATTGTGTAGGTCTGCAGGAGTCATTCCTCTTATTGATGGCTCACTGCATATGGATCATGAATAGAAATGGCATGGTGAAGTTGTTATGGCTTGATAGAAGGTAGGAGTTAGCTTGCAGGCAGTACATAGTATGGGTGGGGTTCCCAATTTATCACACTCTCCCGTAATGGTTACAGGATTGGAATAGTCGATAGAGAAAAGAATTTAGGGTAGGCATGATTCAAAGGAGGTGAATCCCATAATCAGAAGCCAAGCTAGAGAGCAGAGATATTTGTAGCCAACACAGTGAGAGAAGAACTTCATGAGAAGCAGGTGTACAGTGGATAGAGGCAAATATGCAATGATGAATCAAATCAATCATCTCAGCAGAAATTAGCAAGGAAGAGGGAATGGAATGAAGATCAGACTCCTCCCTCTCAAACTCTTGAAGTCATTCCAATCTCCACCCCCTCTCACATACTGTCATCTTAGAGAGCATGAGTAGTAGAAGAAAGAGGAGGATGGAGAAAAGGTGGAGAGACTGTTTAAATGAGAGGACAGTTTTAATATTAAGCTTCATTTTGAATGGATTTCTTTTCTTTTCTTTTTTTTTTTTTTTTTTTTTTGATGGAGTCTCACTGTCTCCCAGGCTGGCTGGAGTGCAGTGCAGTGGTGTGATCTCAGCTCACTGCAACCTCTGCCTCCTGAGTTCAAGGGATTCTCCTACCTCAGCCTCCCGGGTAGCTGGGATTACAGGCGCATGCCACCAAGTCCAGCTAATTTTTGTATTTTTAATAGAGACAGGGCTTCACCATGTTGGCCAGGCTGGTCTCTAACTCTTGAGCTCAGGTGACCTGCCCACAAACCTCAGCCTCCCAAAGTGCTGGTATTACAGGCATGAGCCACCGTGCCCGGCCTAAATTTATTTTCATATTGTCTGTGACTAAACATCTGAAAAAAACTAAATTTGAAACTGGAATAGCTGGGCTGAGATTCTTAGCTTCTACAGATGGGCTCTGGGTAATACCCATAAAAATCTCTCCAGATGGTTCTAATTTGTCAGTAGAATTGAAAAATCATTAGCGTTGAAAACCAATGACTTTTCTAGGGTTTAATCCCAGGAATAACAAAAATATTTCAATAATTGATCCCATTATTCTTCAATTTCCTTCTAGATATCATCACTCTTTCCCTTCTCCTTCCTCCCTTCTCTCCTACATTCCTTTCTTCCTTCCTTTCATCTCTTTATTATTCTTTTTATCCCTCCCTCCTTTCTACTTCCTTACTAAATTTATATATATGGTGAAATCAACACAAGAGATCAAATTATTACAGACTCTTCAAAAGGACACTCACTGCCCCATTGATCCCAGAATGCTGGAGGAAATGTTGAGAAATAAGGACACATAAAATCCAAGTATATCTAACCTTTCTCCCTTCTCCTCTCCGAACAGGCTTCTATTTACATTTCCCGTTGAATGAAAACTTAATCTTTGGTTATAATCTGAGCTCTCTATACTTGTCGTTTATAGTCAATTTTTATTATTTGAATCTAGGCAAAAATCCAAAGAGCACAAAGAAGTTGGCATTAAAAAAAAAGCACTTTTTGTCCAGGCACGGTGGCTCACACCTGTAATCCCAGCACTTTGGGAGGCCGAGGTGGGGGGATCACCTGAGGTCAGGAACTCAAGACCAGCCTAATCAGTATAGTGAAACCCCGTCTCTACCAAAAATACAAAAATTAGCTGGGTGTGGTGGCAGGCGCCTATAATCCCAGCTACTCGAGAGGCTGAGGCAGAAGACTCGTTTGAACCTGGGAGGTGGACATTGCTGTGAGCTGAGATTGGCCATTGCACTCCACCCTGGGCGACAGAGAGAGACTCCATCTCAAAAATTAATTAATTAATTAATTAAAAATTTAAAAAAACATTTTTTATCTCCAAAATGCCTAGATTTCTAATGCATTGTTCAATCTAGACTCTGAAATTCAGCTATAAGTGTCAAAGTAGATATGGCTGACTTATTCTCAATGGCATTGCCTTGGGTTTAATCTTAACAGTGGAAAACTACAAGAAAACATTCTCTATGGCTGACTGAAATATAAATTGCTTTAATATTTCCAAATGTTCTCACCATAACATTATTTGATATTCATGCCTACATTTCCTTAAAAGTAAAAGAGGATAAAAGGGAAGTCCCATCAGGTAATTTTAATTAATTAATTAACTAATTAATGCAGTTTGTAACAAGTTTAAAAAATACTTGGCATATGGTAAGCTTTCAACAAATGTTATTTCATCGTTGGCATCATTTTGCATACAGTGAAAATTTACCATAGATACAGATATAAATCAATTTCACCACAATTATTCCAAACACACAAAATTTCATGAATTGGCAAAATAAATTATTCCTTTTGAATAACAAAAATAACATTTTTTTCAATTTTACATGAACAAGAAGTTTTTTGATTGCTTAATGTAGACAGATGAAAAAAGACAAAATTTGATTACCTTCCAGTAGTTTGTCTATGTATCTACTCTTTTACATGATCTGAGACAATATTTTAAATACAGGTTCATTTTCTTCTTTTTCTCCCTTCTCTTTTCCTTTCTACTACATGCAACCAAGTAGTTGAAGTTAGGTCAATCAAGAATTGGAAAAAAAAAAAAAAACAACTCTATCTCTATTGGATAATCTTCAAAGACCATGTAAAAACCATACTGGCAGGAGATTTCTGATCCTAGAATATCTATTGTTCTGCAGCTCTGACTATTAATAGTTTTGGGAAAAAATAACCTATTCAAACTTTGAAATAAAAACTCACACATGGAAATTTAAGTCAAAATATTAATATAATATATTTATTAAATTTTACTATGTATGATTAAGTAACACATTTACTAGTAAATATTTGTTGAAAATAAAATCACATATGTAACTTAACTGAAGTAAAATATATAATAAATACTCTAATTAATGAAACCTGAAAAACATTATACAACACAAGTATCAGTTCAAAAGTCTACAGTGTACTTAAACAATGAACATAGTTTGAATATAGAGTAAGCCATTCTAGCAGTTAGCATAGAGCATGTCTTTCTACTTTGAAATATCATCCTTCTAAGAATATACAATATGTAAGAAAGTTATATTTTAAATACTCAAATATTCATTTATTTCCAGAATATGTCACTCTCTATATAAGGGTTTTAACCAGTACTACTGTTTTTTTAACCTGTTATTTAAGTAGAGAAAATTATCACATACAATTACTATTGATTAATTGCATTACCAAGCAGATAAATATTTCCTTGCTATATGGCTGATGTGGCCAAAATACTTTCTACATACTGAATATATGTTCTCCCACATTTCCCAGTCTAGTTGCAGTTACCTCAGACTGTGTAATAGTACTGGACAGTGAACTGAAAGCAGAGGTTACACTCCAGAACTATCTTCCTCTACGCAGTGATTATGAAGGATGTGCATTCATTGGGATAAACAAAATACAAGGTAATAGTAATCTAGATATCTAAGTTGCCAGATCCAGTAGCTGCCTGAGAGAGCCAGTAGCCCCACTTATCAGCAGTTCCTAATCTATCCTGCCTAATACAGATGGGGTCTCTGGGATATCTTTACCAGTACCTATAAATAATTATTAACATTGATTGCTTTTTCTAATGCCAAACACTAAGCTAAGAACAGTTTTACTACATCAACCCTTAGAGTAGGTATCAAAAAGAATATTTTTGAAATCCGTAGGGGAGGCAAAATTTTATCTCTACCCTACTAAGGTTTTCCAGCTAAGCCTGAGAATTAGACTAGCATATGATAGATTAATAGAAGAAAAATATGCAAATTTATTTAATATAAGTTTTACATGACATGGAATCTCTCAAAAAGAAATGAAGACCCCAAGAAGCAGAGTTGAACACTTATCTACTGAGTTGAACCAAGTGTCAGACAGTGTGAAAACGTGACAAAGAAAGGGGTTTTGGGACTACACTAGCTAATTGTAAAGAAATGACTAGGAATATAAGGATTATTTGAACAAAGTTTGCTTGTACAGATTTCTCTGGGTTTTGACTGCCCTTTCTCAAAATAAGAACGTCTTTCTTCCTTAAGGTACAGAGAGGGCACCTCTTCTATGTGGGAGTTTTATCTCTTGCTTTTAAGGTCAAAATGCCCATTCTGCATCTGCTATTTTTTTGAAGTTTCTTCAATTTAAAACAATCAATATGCCAAAGTGGCATGTTTAGGGTGGGATTTTCTGAATTCCCTGAACTCCAAAACGTCTGTGGTGCAGCAATAAATGAAGAAAGAGGGACTACAAAGTTGAGAAAGGGTGCATCTCGATGGCTTTTGGATCTCCTGCTCCTTTATAGGTATTTTAAAACTGATGTATTTTGATCTAACAGTTTTTTGGGTCGTATCCCAGTTCTTACAAAACTTTGTTTTTTAAATTTAACTAATCATTTTTAGTTACTAAAAGCTTTTCATGAACACATATTTCTTTGTTGTTGTTGTTTTTGAGATGGAGAAAAAGAGGGAAATAGTCACTAATAATAATAATAAATGAATAACATAAAAGACAAATAAATAAGATTTTGTAAACCAAGCAGTTGGAGCCCCAAAAGTGGTCTTTCTAAAAAGTTACTCCCTTCCACCAGATTCCCAGTATTGGCTATGGGCTAAATGATAACCCACTAATATCTCTCTCAAACAATTCATTATACATACCTAGGTGCTCATATATGTGCCAAACCCCATGCACTATTTGTGAGCAAGTAGGCATCACAGAAATTTAAAAAAAAAAAAAATTTCTCTCTGGAGAACCATCATTTCGCTAAAGGCTGTAAGAACCACCTTAAAATGGATTTTAGTATTAAAAGAAAACTGGCATCACAGCCCATTAACTCATAAAAACAAGTTGACTGAGCCAGGAAGTGTCTCATTTCATTTATAACTTTAAAATAATTTGAAAACAGATGTTTTTTATATTTTATTCTATTTCACTTATTTGCAAGAGTAGAGTTTATTTCACGTTAAACTTGGCAAATGCTGGTGTTTGTGATAGCATCAAGCTCTGGTCTATTAAAATATATCTGTTCTATGGGCACCACATACTGAGACCTTCTGTCTTCATTCTGGATGAGATTAATGGTGTGGCCCTGGGATACAAAGGGATACACACCTTCTTGTTTTGCCTCCAGAAACAGTGATAAAACGTGTATAGAACCCCCACTGGCAAAAAAACATGGTTTTAATCACTGTATACATCCTTTCCCTTGCATATGCCTCTCTCTAGCTGAATATCAAACTGCCTCTAGTCAAAACAAAAGTAACTCCAGCAGGTGTTCATTTCTTCTCTAACACATTTTATCTCACTTTAGGGACTATGGTCACCGATGCTGTGAACCACAGACTGTGTTGTAAAAAAAACAAACAAAAAAACCCACCATGGTGATGATAAAATTATTTAAATGAACCCTCACTAGGGAAAACATTCCACTTCTGGGTTACAATATATTTCACATATCACAGAATGTATTTCTTTGTCTAGAAGGTCAGCAAATATATGTGTACAATATTATGAGAATCCCAGTAGAAATAATTATATACAGAGCAGCAGGGCAGATTTATAACTCAATTTCTTTTTGCATTTTGCAATAATAATACGTGTACTAATATAGTTTCCACTATTAAATATACCTTACCATTCTCTTGTTAATGCATATAGTTGCTGAAGATGTACATTATCTTTTCAACAAAATCAATGGAATAAATAATGCAGGAACCTAGTCTATTCTAGTTAATGGGATATTAAACCAATGACAATTGTTGGTAGTCAAGCGGTGTTTTATACCTTGTTAAGACCATAAAATTTCATGATTTATCCATTTTTCTTGCCCAAACCTTATTTATGTTAATAATATGAGACAATTTCCATCAGAAAACAGAATCTCCTAAGTAAGAGAAAGAGAAAAAAATGAGAACAGCAATTAATGAGACAGAGAGAGAGGGGGGCTGTTGAGATCATTTGAGCCAACTGTAATGGAAACCAGAATTACCTGTCTGCCTCACAATTATATGAATCAATAAGTTCCAGTTAAAACTTAACAACTGTAGCACTTCTGAATATTTATGTATGTAACAGAATGTTAAAAGTAACATTTTGGCTGGGCTCGGTGGCTCATGCCTGTAGTCCCAACACTTTGAGAGGCCAAGGCAGGCGGATCATGAGGTCAAGAAATCAAGACCACCGTGGCCAACATGATAAATCCCCGTCTCTACTAAAAATACAAAAATTAGCTGGTCGTGGTGGTGTGCGCCTGTGGTCCCAGCAACCCGGGAGGCTGCGACAAGAGAATCGCTTGAACCCGGGAGGTGGAGGTCGCAGTGAGCCAAGGTTGCACCACTGCACTCCAGCCTGGCGACAGTGCGAGGTTATGTCTCAAACAATAAATAAGTAAATAAATAAAAAAAACATTTTCCTGTCATCTCAGATGTTTGGAAACGGCTCAAAATAGGAGACAATATTTTTAAGTCCTACATTCTCAGTCAAGTTTCCAATCTATCTAGCCAGACTTGCTAAAAGATAGGGTTACTCATTCAGCCTGCAACTACCTCTAACCCTAAGACTATATGTGAGGAGAAAAACATTCCTTGGAATTTGAAAGGTCCAGAGATAAGGAAAGACTTGTTGGTACATTCTGGCTTTCCCCATTACCTTCTGCCCACAGAGAGGAAGAAAGAACAGTTCCCTCTCTCCCGCTCATTTCAATCCAGGTGATGCAGACTGAAAAAAAAAATTGGAGAGTTTTAGGTGGTTCCCTGGAGATAGAGAAACATACAGCTAGGTTTCTGATTTTCACCTACCTGGAATAGTCTAAAAGCTAGAGACTTTGGCTGGAATATCCTCTGCCTGTTGGCTGAGTAAGAAGAAAAGAAATCTTAAGTATGGCTAATGCTTTCAAGTGTTTGGTAGGACAATGGCATGTATGTAGTTAGGTTCCGAAAAAGGAAGCCAGATGGAATGGTCCTGAGAGTGTGTCGGGAATTCGTGGGTTCTTGGTCTCCCTGACCTCAAGAATGAAGCCACTGACCCTTGCAGTGAGTGTTATAGTTCTTAAAGATGGTGTGTCCAGAGTTTGTTCCTTCTGATGTCTGGACGTGTCCGGAGTTTCTTCCTACTGGTGGGTTCATGGTTTTGCTGACTTCAGGAGTGAAGCTGCAGACCTTCGCAGTGAGTGTTACAGCTCATAAAGGTGGCACTGACCCAAAGAGTGAGCAGCAGCAGCAAAAGTGAAAGAACAAACCTCCCACAACACATAGCAAAAAAAAAAAAACTTCCACAGCATAGAAGGAGACCTCAGCAGATTCTCTCTACTGGCTCGGGTGGCCTGCTTTTATTCCCTTATCTGGCCCCACCCACATCCTGCTGATTGGTCCATTTTACAGACAGCTGATTGGTCCGTTTTGACAGCATGCTGATTGGTGCGTTTACAAACCTTTAGCTAGACACAAAGTGCTGATTGGTGCATTTACAATCCTTTAGCTAGACAGAAAAGTTCTCCAAGTCCCCACCTGTTCCAGAAGCCTAGCTGGCTTCACCTCTCACTGGCACTCCCCACGGGACTTTGCGGCACCTAGCCTGGGCACTGCGACAGCCCAGAGGGAGCTCGTCCCAGACAATCAGGAGGAAAAGAGAGGTAGCGAGAAAGAGATGGAGACTTGCTATGGTGGCCAGCCATCCCGGGAAGAGGGAATGGCGGTCCACGCATGGGACCCAGCCTCTGATCAAGCCCAGCAGGCGCTGGCCGGCTGTATGGCCTCAGCCCCAGCTCCCACCCGCACCTCTCCCTCCACACCTCCCTGCAGCAGAGGGAGCTGGCTCCAGCCTTGGCCAGCCCCAGAGAGGGGCCTCCACAGTGCAGCCGCGTGCTGAAGGGCTCTTCAAGCGTGGCCAGAGCAGACGCCAAGGCCGAGGAGACGCAGAGAAGAAGCAAGGGCTGCTAACATGTTGTCACCTCTCAAGAGAATCCCAGCCCACAAGGACAAAAGAATAGTATAAGGACACGAAATGAGCACAACAGAGAAATAACCCACTAGAAGCCAAGGGGATGAGTGGAAAGTGGTAAGTGTCCAGCAGCTGTGTATTTCTACATCAGTGGAACTTTGCATAAGAGAGTCCCTTGGGTGGTCTCCAAACAACCCAGAAAAGAACCCCATTAGAGAATAAATTAACCTTTTAAATCTGCTTAACTGAGAATGCACTACACAAGATTTTTTTTTCCTTTCTGACTTTAGATTCAGGGAGTACATGTGCAGTTTGTTACATAGGTAAATTGCATGTTGCAGGGGTTTGGTGTACAGATTATTTCATCACTCAGGTAACGAGCATAGTATCCGAGAGGTAGCTTTTTAACCCTCACCCTCCTCCCATATTCCACCATCAACTAGGCCCCAGTGTCTCTCGTTCCTGTCTGTGTCCATGTGTATTCAATGTCTAGCTCCCATCTCTAAGTGAGAATGTGCCGTATTTGGTTTTGTTGTTGTTGTTGCTTTAATGCACTTTGGATAATGGCCCCCAGCTCCATCCATGTTGCAGCAGAGGACATGATTTCATTCTTTTTTATGGCTTCCTAGTATTGTGTGGTGTATATAGGCCACATTTCCTTTATCCAGTCTACCACTGATGGTCATTTAGGTTGATTCCATGTCTTTCCTATCGCAAATAGTGCTGCAATGAGTGCACATATTCATATGTCTTTATAACAGAACAATTTATATTCCTTTGGGTACATACCCAGTAATGAGATTGCTGGGTCAAATAACAGCTCTGTTTTAAGTTTTCTGAGAAATCGTCAAACTCCTTTCCACAGTGGCAGAACTAATTCACATTCCCATCAGCGGTATATAAGCGTTCCCTTTTCTCCACAACCTCACCAGCATCTATTTTTGACTTTTTAATAACAGCCATTCTACTAATTTCAAGATTCTTATGAAACCAGTAAAAATCTGTATTTTGCTCTTCCTACAGCTCCAGTGATGGAGGAGCCCAGTAAAGCTTAATGAGCGGGACGGGAGAAGTTAAAGATCCAGGTGTAGAAACTGAGAAGCAGCAGCTCATGCCCAACTCCCTGACCCACTTCTGGATTCCAGGAACTATGATGTTCAAGTCTTGGGAGACAGAATCTTTAAATGTCATGAAACTTTTGAGGAAGTGAGCCACATGACTTAATACTAGTCCTGGATCCACAAAAGAGGCTGCCATATATTCATTTCTCCACTTAATATTTATTAAGTACTTCTTAGACGTTCGGCAGTATTCTCAATGGTGGAATAAAACAGCAAACGAGTTGCTGCTATCACGGGACTTACATTTCTTTGGAAAAGACAGAAACAAGTCAAATGGCAAAATAAACAAGACTACTTCAGTTAATGTTAGGAAACAAATAAGCAGGGTAAAAGGAATCTAGAATGATTAAGATCATGCACGACTTTCTAGTCTCAGACTGCCTCTCTAAAGACGTGAGAAAAGGAAAGTAGACCCTACTGCTATTCCAATCACAATGTTCTTAAGATAACATGAACAGTGTTTCCAACAAACACAGAGGGGCCAACAATACATGTTTCTAACAGGAAACGGACATGGCCAGAACGAAAGCACAAAAATAAGTAGCATTTCCTTCTTTTAAGATAGTTGCTCCTTCCTTCCCTCCCTCCCTCCCTTCCTTTCTTTCTTTCTTTTGACGGAGTCTTAATCTGTCGCTCAGACTGGAGTGCAACAGCACAATTTCGGCTCACCGCAACATCCGCCTCCTGGGTTCAAGCAATTCTTCTGCCTCAGCCTCCCGAGTAGCTGGGGCTACAGGCGCCTGCTACCACGCCCGGCTAATTTTTGTATATTTAGTAGAGACGGAGTTTTACCATATTTGCCAGGCTGTTCTCGAACTCCTGACCTCCGGTGATCCGCCTGCCTTGGCGTCCCAAAGTGCTGGGATTAGTAGTTGCTGCTTTCTTAACAATGACAGACCTTGCTTTGTCCCATTCTTCCCTTCTGTCATAGAGAGTTATTCACATTTCTACAAAGAGCCAGAAGGTCTGTTTTCCTGAGTCTTAGTTAAGGAGGGAAAGAAGAGTAGGATATAGCATTAGAAAGGTAGTAAGAATAGGTGGGAACATAAACTATTTAAGTTGATTGAATTTTATTTGATGTGGATTGCAAGTCCTTTGGAAGATTTTAAGCAGGGGAATAAAATGATCTAACTGTAAAAGATTACTCCCATTGCTGTGTGCAAAATAGATTAATGGGGCGGGTATCAGAGTGAGATGGCAATAAAGAAAGCAGTGCAACCAATTAAGAGACTACTTTCAGTTATCTAAGAGTTGATGGTGGTTATAACTGGTCTTAGAAGTTAAAATGGTTTGAAATAGTTGAGTTATGGGTATATTTTAAAGGTATGACCAAAGGAGTTTTGGAAAAATTTGACGTAAAGATAAAGAAAAGTGAAAAATTAAGACAAAAAATGGATTTTGGGCTGAACAACTGGGTTACAGGTGATGGTATTGGCAGTAGTGGGAAAACATGGGACACCTAAGTTTATGGGGAAAATAAAGATACATCCTTTGATGAAATTTAAGTAAATATGTTGAGAAGAGAGATGGATATTAATAAGTATGAAAGTGATGTGTATATTGATGTCTGGAATCAATCAGCCTAGGAGGGGTGCAAAAGTTTGCTTGTGGAATTTGCTTAAGGAATTTGCTTACTGTGTGCAAAAGGACAACAGAAGACATATAGAAAATAATGAAACAAAAGAAAAATAAAATAAAACAGAGGATAGAGAAGAAAAAAAGTAGGATAAGAGGAAAGAGAGAACAATTTTTGAAAAGAGAAGTAGAGTCATCTGGCCAGGGTGGCCTCAGGAAAGGTTGTAACTTGTATATTATTGTGGTGTGGTACAAGGAAAGTTATCTGAAATTGGAAGGAACGTTGTAACAACAGATGTAGATGAGAGTAGCTCATTGTCCTCATGAGATATGTGTATGTCTGTCCTATATGGCTTAGCTCAACTGATTACAGTTTTCTACATTAGCCTAGCATTATTCTTGGGTGAAATTTACATTGTACTCAAATTGTTTCCTAATAGATAGCCCTCATTAAAAAAAATTGTGTTCCCAAAACAAGCATTAACAACAGGACTAGCTATATTTAAAACCAAGTGGCTAGATAACAATGATAATAATAATAGTAATCATCATAATTATTATTACTATGATTATGAACATATGGCACTTATTATGTGCCAGACACTATTCTAATTTTTATGAATATTAATTTATTTGATCTTTGTGAAAAGGCCATGGGAGAAAAATATTTCAGGAAGAAAGAAGTGGATAAAAAATTAACCATTTGATTTTGTGTGGTGGAGCTTGTTGGTAACTATGACAAGAGGCGGTTTCAGAGAAATTAAGTTAAGATCCCTTTGGGAAAATACTTGTCTAATTTTAACTTTAATCTTCAAGATTAGAGGCACACGCTTCTTTCAATGAATGTTGTCATATATGCATTATGCCTTAACTGTTGGAGTAGTTTTACTACCAGATAGAGAATAAAGTAAATATTCTGATCACTGAGAGGTATCAACCATCCCTGAATCTCGCCTATAGCGGATATTAAAATTTGACTTATTCAACTCCAATTCTCCAGGTTCTAAAGTAGGTGGAGATAGATAGATGAAAGATAGATAGATAGTAGATGGATAGAGAGACGAAGACAGATGATAGATAGATGATAGGTAGATAGATAGATCTCTGTGTGTGGTTTTCATATTTTCTTTAAACATGGATTCCATATGGGATTGAATTTATGAAGTTAATACATTTATTTACAAATTAAAAATTTATAAATTAGGTGGAATCTGGATTTTCAATAATTTCTGCTGTTTTTCTCTAAAAAGCTGGATGTTGTGATATAGTTTGGCTCTGTGACCCCACCCAAATCTCATCTTGAATTGTAATCCCCGTGGGTCTAGGGAGGAAACTGTAATCCCACAACTCGAGACAATGAGGTGATTGGATCATGTGGGCAGTTTCCCCTTTGCTGTTCTCATGATAGTGAGTGAGTTCTCATGAGATCTGATGGCTTTATAAGTGTTTGGACGTTCCTCTTTCATTCTTCTCTCTCCTGCCATCGTGTGATCTGTGCTTCCCGTTCACGTTCCACCATGATTGTAAGTTTCCTGAGGCCTCTCCAGCCATGTGGAACTGTAAGTCAATCAAACCTCTTTCCTTTATAAATTACCCAGTCTTGGGTAATATCTTCTTCTTCTTCTTTTTTTAAAATTTTACTTTAAGCTCTAGGATACATGTGCAGAACGTTCAGGTTTGTTACATAGGTATAAATGTGCCATGGTGGTTTGCTACACCTATCAACCCATCTAAGTTTTAAGCCCCGCATGCATTAGGTATTTATCCTAAGGATCTCCCTCCCCTTGCCCCCTACCCTTAGCAGGCCACAATGTGTGATGTTCTCCTCTCTGTGTCCATGTGTTTTCATCGTTCAACTCCCACTTATGAGTGAGAACATGTGGTGTTTGGTTTTCTGTTCCTGTGTTAGTTTGCTGAGAATGATAGCTTCTTATGGCTGCCACTCAAAAGAAGACATTTACCTGGCCAAGAAACACATGCAAAAAAGATCATCATCACTGGTCATTAGAGAAATGCAAATCCACAATGAGATACCATCTCATGCCAGTCATGATGGTGATTACTAAAAAGTCAGGAAACAACAAATGCTGATGAGGCTGTGGAGAAATAGGAACATTTTTACACTGTTGGTGGGAGTGTAAATTAGTTAAACCGCTGAAGACAGTGTGGCGATTCCTCAAAGATCTAGAACCAGAAATACCATTTGACCCAGCAATCCCATTACTGGTGTATACCCAGAGAATTATAAATTATTCTTCTATAAAGACACATGCACACGTATGTTTATTGGGTAGTATCTTTATAGCAGTGTGAAAATGGACTAATACAGGCTGATTGCAAAATGGTCCCCATTCTTCACCTTTCCCTATAACCCCTCCAGTGTCTCTAATGAATTCCCCCCCGCATCAAGTTTGGAGTTTGTTTATCCATCCCTTGAATCTGTACTTGTCTTGTGGCTTTCTTTGGTCAATAAAATGCTGCAGAAAGGATGAGTGCCCATTCTAAAGCTATGCTTCAGAGGCATTACTTGCTTTTGCGCTGTCTTTTGAATCTTTGTGATCACCATGATAATACATCTGGACTAGCCTGCTGGACATAAGACTGATGGTGAGAGTTAGTCATCCCAGAGGGCCATCCCAGATGAAACAGCTCCCAACAGACCCAGACATCAGTGTCCAACCAAGATCAATCCAGATCAGTAGTTCTGCCCAGCCCACCCATAGACCCTTGAGCAATAATAAATGGTTGTTTTAATCCACTGAATTTTGGGGTAGTTTGTAACACAGCATTATTATGTAAACTAATAACTTCAGTGAGCTTTTAGATTCTGTGGCAGCACTAACTGAAAGCCTAATACTGGGTTTCTAACTACATGGATGTTCAGAGGAAAGAAATAAGACATAAAATAGTCTTACAGTGTCCTCCCAAAATTCACATCCACACAAACCCTCATAATATGTAAGAGTATCCTTACAAAGAAACAAAAAAGGACAGAGAGAAACACAGTGGAGAAGGCAATGTGAAGATGGAGGCAGAGACTGGAGTGATATGTCTGCAAGCCAAGGAACAGAAAGGCTTGCTGGATACCACTAGAAAGTAGGAGAGAGGCATGGACCAGCCTTCTCTGGGCCCCTCAGAGCCTCCTCAGAGCCTCCAGAAGGAACCAACCCTGCTGACACCTTGACTCCAGATTTTCATTTGCTAAATTATGAAAGAATAAATTCCTATTGTTTTAAGCCACCCAGTTTGTGATAATTTGTTAAGGCAGCCCTAGGGAACAGTGGGGAACAATAGAAATGATATTGTTCTGGAACGCTATTGGATAGACAAGTATTCTGAGTCTCCACTTTCAGACGGCAGCAGAGGTAGCAGCATCCCTGGAAGACTAGTTATGTGGTCAGGGAGATATTGTTGGAAACTCAACCTACAGTTTCTGTCACCAGGCCTTTTAATATTTTCTGAGAATTCAATTTCTTGTATTAAATCCCTTTATTTTTACACTAGCCTGAGCATTATTGTTGTTTCTTTAATTTAATCTGCAGCTGAGTACTGAATAATGTGTTCTCCAACTACATGACTCCAATTATGAGAATAAATAATTTCTTTACTTCTTACTTCTTACTTAACTTTCTTACTGTTTAAGCCAGTTTAATGCAGAGATTTTGTTTCTTTCAGTGAAAAACAACTTTGCATTATCTATTATCTGTATTAGCTGTAGTACGATGAAGTTAGGAAGATGATAGGGGTTCAACAGGGGATGATAAAGTAATTATCTCCTAATTGTATATATCTTCTCTCTTAAATTGATACAGAATATGATACCTGAATTTAAGAAGATGAGACAGGTATTTTGTAGTTTGAAAAGAAAATATCATAAAATGGTTAACTTGGAGAATAAGCAAAAAAAATTGTCAGAAAATGTAGCAAATTGTCTGACAATGTTGAAGTTCTTTGGCACATTTAAATTACATGAAAATATTTGCATCATTGTGAAACTTTCTCCAGTAATATTTATAAGGTTGGTGCAAAAGTAATAGCGGTTTTGCCATTACTTTCAATGGAAGAGCCTGCAATTACTTTTATACCAACCACAGCTATTTGAGTCCAAGTATAATGTCAGCAGAAAGTTAGGTTTGATCAAGTTACGGTTTTGCCTAGCAAAACCGTAACTTTCTAGGGAAAGAGGTGAAGAGATGCAAAGAAGTTGAGGCGAAAGGAAAGAAGCCACACATTTGGGAATGACAGAGCTTCTGTCACTGAAGCTTTTATTTTAATATTTAAGATCCAAATGCCTTTTTTTCATCTGAATACATATTTATTTACCTTGGTTAAAGAATGAGAGAAAAACCCACTTATGGTTCTATAATTTGTTGTTTTCTAATAACATTATGTTTAAAGATCTTTCCATGTGAGCAGTACATATAGAATATTCTAATTATTTTCAACTTTTGCATGTAAGGCTATGTAATGAATTTACTGCTCTATGTAAACATTTCTTACTGATGTATATATCAGTAAAGGCTGAAGTGTACATTTCTCTAGAAAACATTTTAGTTATTTAAAAACACTTTTGGCAAGGCATGGTGGCTCATGCTTGTAATCTCAATCAACACTTTGGGAGGCTGAGGCAGGAGGATTGCTTAAAGCCAGGAGTTGGAGACAAGCCTGGGCAACAAAGGGAGGCCCCCCAGCTCCTAAATAACAACAACAAAAAATTTAATTATCTGGGTGTGGTAACCTGCGCCTGTGGTCCCAGTGCTTGGAAGGCTGAGGCAGAAGGACCACTTGAGCCCAGGAGTTCAAGACTGCAGTGAGCTACCATTGAGCCACTGAACTCCACACTCCAGACTGGAAGAGAGAAAGATACTCTGTCTCTAAAAAAACCACAGTAAAGTAAAGTAAAAATCTTATTTTTAAAGAGCTCTACAATTTGTTGGATATTAGTCACATGAAGATATGGAGTAGGTTTGTTTTGGAATAATATCATTTCCTATATGTTTTAAAATCAAGTTTATTTTTCTTGTGTATTATTCTTTTTATTTTTTATTGATGCATAATAAATGCACATTATTTTGGGTACATGTGATAGCTTAATACAATCATATAATTGGGAATGATCAAATCAGTGTACTTGATATATCCATCACCTTACATAATTGTCTTCTCTTCATGCTAGAACAATTTAAATTATTCTCCAGCTATTTAAAAATATACAATAGATTATTGTTAACTATAGTCACCCTACTGTGCTATCAAACAAATAAGAAGGTCTTATTTCTTCTATTAAATCATACATTTGTACCCATTAATTAACCTTACTCTCCATCTTCATGAGATTCACTTTTTAGCTTCCATGTGCAAGTGAAAACATGCAGTATTTATTTTTCTGTGTTGAGCTTGTTTCACTGAACATAATGACCTCCAGTTTCCCCCATACTGTTGCAAGTGACAGGATTATTTTTTATTTTTTGAGATGGAGTTTCACTCTTGTTGCCCAGGCTGGAGTGCAATGGCAAGATCTTTGCTCACCGCAACCTCCGCCTTCCTGGTTCAAGCAATTCTGCTGTCTCAGTCTCCTGCGTAGCTGGGACTACAGGCATGCACCACCATGCCTGGCTAATTTTATATTTTTTTTAGTTGAGACGGGGTTTCTCCATGTTTGTCAGGCTGGTCTCAAACTCCCAACTTCAGGTGATCTGCCCGCCTCGGCCTCCCAAAGTGCTGGGATTACAGGCTTGAGCCACTGCACCCGAACAGGATCTTATTCCTTTTTATAGCTGAATAGTATTCCATTGTGTATGTGTACCACGTTTTCTTTATCCATTCATCTGTCGATGGGCACTTTGGTGGATTCGTTTTGGCTATCGTGAATAGTGCTGCAATAAACATGGGAGTGTAGATATCTCTTCAATATAATGACTTTCTTTCTTTTGGATATATACCAAGCAGTGGGACTTCTGGAACAAATGGTAGTTCTATTTTTTTTGTTTTTTGAGGAATCTCCATACTGTTCTCTATAGTGGAGGCTCAACTAATCTCCAATCCCATCAATAGTGTATGAGGGTTCCCCTTTTTCCACATCCTTGTCAGCATCTGATATTGCCTGTCTTTTTTATAAAAGCCATTTTAACTGGGGTGGGATGATATCTTATTGTAGTTTCAATTTGCATTTCTCTGATAATTAATGATGTTTAACATTTTCTGTATACTTCTTAGCAGTTTCTATGTCTTCTTTTGACAAGTGTATATTCAAACTTTTGGATATATAAATAGTAATGGGATTGCTGGGTCTAATGTTCTGGGTTTTTTGTTTGTTTGTTTGTTTTTGTTTTTGTTTTATTTATTTATTTATTTGAGACAGAATCTCATGCTGTTGCCAGGCTGGAGTGCAGTGGTGTGACCTCGGCTCACTGCAATCTCCACCGCCCAGGTTCAAGCGATTCTCCTGCCTCAGCCTCCTGAGTAGCTGGGATTACAGGCCCATGCCACCACACCCAGCTAATTTTTGTACTTTTAGTAGAGACTGGGTTTCACCATGTTGGCCAGGATGGTCTCGATCTCCTGACCTCGTGATCCGCCCACCTCGGCCTCCCAGAGTGCTAGGATTACAGGCTAATGTTCTGTTTTAAGTTGTTTGAGAAATCTCCAAACTGCTTTCCACAGTGGCTGAAATAACTTGCACTCCTACTAAGAGTGTATAGGTGTTCCCTTTTCTCCACAGCCTTGCCAGCATCTGTTGTTTCTTGACTTTTTAATAGTAGCCATTCTGACTATTGTGAGATGGGATCTTATTACGATTTTGATTGGCATTTCTCTAGTGATTAGTGACGTTGAAAATATTTTCCTATGTTTGTTGGCTGCTTGTATACCTAATTTTGAGAAGTGTCTGTTGAGGTCTTTTGCCCACTTTTTAATGGGGTTATTTGTTTCTTGCTTGTTGAATTGTTTAAGGTCTTTTGCAGCACTATTCACAATAGCAAATGGAATCAACCTAGGTGCTCACGGATGGTAAGCTTTCTCTTCCCTATGTTGATTTTTTTCCTTTACTGTGAAGGAACTTTGTAGATTGATGTGATGCCATTTGCATATTTTTGCTTTGGTTGCCTGTGCTTTTGAGGTCTTACACAAAATAATTATTTAGCCATATGAATGTCCTGGAGCCTTTTCCCAATTTTTTTCTAGTAGTTTTATAGTCTCAGGTATTACATTTGAGTATTTGATCCGTTTTCATTTTATTTTTATATATGGTGAGAGATAGGGTTCTAGTGTCATTTTTTTGCATATAGTTGTCCAGTTTTCCCACCATCATTTATTTGCCTCTCATGATAAAGAGGAGGTTCTGCTCTATTCTGGTCAGAAAATATACTTGCTATATCAAAGATGAGTTCACTGTAAATGCATAGATTTTCAACTGGTTCCTCTATTCTGTTCCATTGGTTTATGCGTCTGTTTTTATGCTAGTGCTATGCTAGCTTGGTTACTGTAGCTTCGTAGTGAATTTTGAAGTCAAGTAGTGTGACGCCTCCAGCTTTGTTATTGTTGCTGAGGATTGCTTTGGTTATTCAGTCTTTTTTGGTTCCCTATGCGTTTTAGGACTTTTTTTTTTTTCTATTTCTGTGAAGAATGTCACTGATATTTTTAAGGGAATTGCATTGAATCTGTAAATTGCTTTGGGTAGTATTGTCATTTTAACAATATTAATTCTTCCAATTTATGAGCATGGAATGTCTTTTCATTTTTTTGTGTCTTCTTTAATTTCTTTCATCAATGTTTTGTAGTTTTCCTTGGATAAATATTTTACCTCTTTGGTTAAATTGATTCCAAGGTATTTTATATTCTTTGTAGGTGTTGTAAATGTGATTGCTTTCTTGATTTCTCTTTCGGATTGTTCACTATTGGCATATATAAATGCTACTGATTTTTGTATGATGATTTTGTATCCTGCAACTTTGATGAAATCCTTTATCCAGTTATAACAGTTTGTTGATAGAGTCTTTAGGTTTTTCTAAGCATAAGATTATGTCTTCTGCATACAAGCCTAATTGGTTTCTTCCTTTTCAATTTGGATGTCCTTCTTGTCTTTCCCTTGCCTAATTGCTCCAGCCAAGACTTTCAGCATTATGGTGCATAAAAATGATAAAAGTGGGCATCTTTGCCTTGCTCCAGATCCTACAAGAAAGGCTTTCAGTTTTTCCTCATTCAGTACAATGTTAGCTGTGGGTTTGTTATATGTGGCTTTTATTATCTTGATGTATGTTCCTTCTACACTCAGTTTGATGAGGGGTTTTTTTTAAATCATAAAGGGATGTTGAATTTATCAAATGCTTTTTCAGCAGCTATTGAAATAATCATATGTTTTTTGTTCTTGTTACTGTTGATGTGATGTATCATGTTTATTGATTTGCATATACTGAACCATCCTTGCATCCCTGGGGTAAATTCCAATTGATCATAGGGCATAATTTTTTTAATGTAATGTTGAATTTGTTTTTCTAGTATTTTGTTGATTAATTTTGCATCTATTTTTATCCTCGTCTAGTTTTGATATCATGATAAGGCTGGCCTCATAAAATGAGTTTGGAATAATTATCTCTTCAAGTTTTTTTAAGACATTAAGTAGAATTGGTATTAGTTTTTTTAATGTTTGGTAGATTCAGCAGTGAAGACATCAGATCCTGGGCTCTTCTTTGATGGAAGTCTTTTTATTACAGCTTTCATACTCATTGTTGGCTCATTGATGCATTCTATTTCTTCATAGTTAAATCTTATTATGTGCATGTGTCCAGGAATTCATCCATTTCCTCTAGATTTTCCGTTTTGGTGGAGTATAGTTATTGATAATAGTTTTAAATTATTCTTTGTATCTCTGTTGGCTCAGTTGTTATGTCTCCTTTGTCACTTCTGAGATTATTTATTTGGGTCTTCTCTCCTTTTATTTTTAATCAGTCTAGCCAAAAGTTTGTTGATTTTATTTTCCTTTTCAAAAAAAGACATCTTTTCATTTTGTTGATCTTCTATATTGTTTTTAGTATCAATTTCACTTATTTCTGCTCTGATTTTTATTATTTCTTTTCTTCTACTAATTTTGAGTTTGATTTGTTCTTGCTATTCTAATTCCTTGTGGTGCATTTTCATGCTGTTTATTTAAAGTCTTTTTACTTTTCTGATACAAGTGTTTATTTTGAGAACTTTCCCTCCTACTATAGCTTTTGCTGTATCCCATAGATTTTGGTATGTTGTATTTCCGTTTTCATTTGTAGCACAAAATTTTTTAATCTCCTTTATAATTTCTTCATTGACTCATCAGTCATTCAGGAGCATGTTGCTTACAATCCATGTGTTTGTGAAGTTTCCAAGGTTCCTGTGATTGCTTTCTAGTTTTAATCTATTGTGGTCAGAAAAGATGCTTGATATGATTTCTGCTTTTTGGAATTTGCTGAGACTTGTCTTGTGGCCTAGGATATGGTCTATTCTGGAGAATGTTCCATGTGCTGATAAAAAGAATGTGTATTCTGCAGGAATTCTATAAATGTCCATGAGGCCAATTAAGTCCAGTTTGTAGTTTAACTCTGATGTTTCTCTGTTGCTCCTTTTGTCTGGATGATATGTTCATTACTGAAAGTGAGATATTACAGTCCCTTAGTATTATTGTGTTGCAGTCTATCTCTCCCTATAGATCTATTAATAGTTTCTTTACATACTTGAGGGCTCTGGTGTTGGGTGCACAGATATTTATAATTGTTACATATTTTCATCATTATATAGTGACCTTCTTTGTATCCTTTCCCAGTCTCTAATTTGTAGTCTCTTTTATCTGATATGAGTGCAGCTACTCCTGCTTTTTTTTTTCAGTTTCCAGTGTCGTAGAATATCTTTATTCATCCCTTTACCTTCAGTCTATGTGTATCTTTATATATGACATCTGTTTCTTATAGAAAGAATATAGTTAGGTCTTGTTTCTTTATCCAATTAGTCACATTTTACCTTTTAATTGGAGGACTGAGTCCATTTACATTCACTGTTATTATTAATATGTAAGATCTCACTACTGCCATTTAGGTTGGCATTTCCAGTTGTTTTAACTCCCCTCTTCCATTTGTTCTTTCTTACTGTCTTTCTTTGTGGTTATTTTTCTTTGGCAGCATGTTTTAATTTCTTGCCTTTTATTTTGGTGAATTGCATAGGTTTTGTGTTGTGGTTACCATGAGGCTAACAAACATAACAAATTATTTTTTATAGAAACGACAACTTATCTTTATCACAAATAAAAGAATGAAAAAAATAAAAAATTATACACTTTAACTGCATTCCCCCACATTTTGACTTTGTGTTGTCTCAATTTACATATTTTATATTACCTATCTCTTAAGATTTTCTGTAGCTATTATTGTTTTTGATAGATTTGTCTTTTGAGCTTTATACTAGACTTATAAGTGGATTGCAAACTATTATTATAGTATTATTATGAGTCGATTTATGTACTTAATATTATCAGCAGGTTTTGCACCTTCAAAAGCTCTTTATTTTCACATTAGTTTTTTTTTTTTTCTTTCATTGAGATTGAAGAACTCTCTTTAGCATTTCTTGCAAGACAGGTCTGATGGTAGTGAATTCTCTCAGGTGTTGTTTGTCTGGGAAAGGTCATCTTTCCTTCATCCTTGAAGGATAATTTTGCTGGATACGATATTCGTGGTGGCAGTTTTCTTTTTCTTTGAACACTTTGAAAATATTTTTCCTCTCCCTCCTGGCCTGTATGGTTTATATTGAGAAATCTGTTGCTAGACAAATTGGAGCTCCTTTTTATGTTATTTGCTTCATTTTCCTTGCTGCTTTTAGGATTTGCTCTCTGTGCTTGACCTTTGAGAGTCTGATTATTATATGCCTTCAGGAGGTCTTACTTGGGCTCAATCTGGTATTCTCTGACCCTCCTGTACCTGGATAGCTATATCTGTATCATGTTTTGGAGACTTTTCTGTTATCATTTCTTTATATATGGTTTATGTTTCTTGCTCTTCCTCAATTCCCACTTGATTATCAATAAATTTTGTCTCTTGAGCTAATTTTCTATATCTGGTAGCTGATCTTTGTTGTTTTTCTGTTTTTCATTCTTTCTTCTTTTTTCTCCTTTGACTATGTATTTTTAAATATCCTATATTCAAGCACACTGATTCCTTCCTCTTGTTGATATATTCTGCTGTTGATGGTCTGTAACGAATTTTTCAGTTCAGCAATTTCTGTTTTTTTTTATTATTTAAATGTCTTTGTTAAATTTATCTGATAAATTTCTAAATTGATTTTCTATGTTATCTTGGAGATCACTGAGTTTTCTTAAAATTGCTATTTAGAATTCTTGGTCAGAGAGCTCACCTATCACTCTCTCATGAGGGTCAGTTACTGATTCCTTGCTTTGTCTGTTTAGAGAGATCACGGTTCCCTGTTTGCTGTTGTTTCTTATGGATCTATGTCTATGTCTTTGCATTGAGGGATTAGTTATTTATTTCAGTCTTCTCTGATTTGTTTTGATTTTCTCTCAGTATGTTTACTTAGAGGTTCTTTACCACAAGGTTGCTGCCTACTTTTTGGGTCTTGATGGCTCCTTAAGCCCAGGTTCACCTCAGCTCTCATAAACAATTGGAGTATCACCCTTCCTGAATCAGGAAGATCCCAAAGGTAAGACCCTGGCAATGTGGGAAGACAGGACAGTGGTTCATGCCTAGGTTCATGCAGTGGATTATGCCTCCTACAGTGTGGTGCTGCTGAATAACAACTTTGATTTGGCGGATCCTCTGGCAGTGTTACAGAGCAGAGTTGCCAGGAGTGAGGATGGTAATCCCACCTCCCCCTTTGTCTACATTTGTTCCTTCAGGCACTCACAATCTTCCTGTAAGTTAAGGTAGGGACAAACCTCCTGCCAAGGAACCCAGGATAATGAAGAAGCTTGTTGTCCACCACAATTTCACTTTTTCCATTGTAGACAAAATGAGTTGGAAAAAACCTTCTCTGTGTTTGATGCTGGGCAGAATGAGAGGAGGGGGTTTATGGATGCGGAAGTCCAATTAATTTACCATTGGCTCAGGGCTTTTTTCACTTCTCTGAAGTTCCGGAAAATGTCTCATCTTCATATTTAACTTCTAGGGTATTTATTTTCTTTTTCTTTTTTGAGATGAAGTCTCACGCTGTCGCCCAGGCTGGACTGTGGAGTGCAGTGGCACGATCCCGGCTCACTGAACCTCCACCTCGTGGGCTCAAGCAACTTTCCTGCCTCAGCCTCCTGGAGCTCTAGGATATTTCTGTTGATGATCTTAGCACTGTATGTTTGTTTTTGTTTTTTAGTTTTTTGTTTGCTTGTTTTGAGACAGAGTTTCACTCTTGTCACCCAGGCTGGAGTGCAATGGCCCAATCTTGGCTCACTGCAACCTCCACTTCCAGGATTCAAGTGATTTTGCCTCAGCCTCCCAAGTAGCTGGGAATACAGGCACGTACCACCACACCCAGCAAATTTTTGTATTTTTAGTAGAGACAGGGCTTCACCACGTTGCCCAGGCTGGTCTCAAACTCCTG
This sequence comes from Homo sapiens, assembly GCF_000001405.40. NCBI lineage: Eukaryota > Metazoa > Chordata > Mammalia > Primates > Hominidae > Homo > Homo sapiens. The sequence goes on along the minus strand of NC_000004.12, from coordinate 31,243,896 downwards.
ACCTCAGGTGATCCACTAACCTTGGCCTCCCAAAGTGCTGAGATTACAGGCGTGAGCCACAGTACTGGGCCTGTTTTTGTTTGTTTGTTTGTTTGTTTTTGAGGAAAGTGGTGAAGTCAGCATGCTTCCATACCACAATTTTGGACTAAATTGAGTAGTCTTTTAAAAATGCATTCACTACAACTTAGAATCTCAAACTTTTTGCTATTCGACAGTTCTGAGAAAACTGCATTTTCTGTCTTCGTTGGTCTCTCCCAAGCTACATAGTATTGCTAGAAGTTTGCAGAAATTCTACTTTCATTAATTGCAAGTAGTTGCTTGCTATCTAACCTTGGTTGTTTCCTTTGTGTTGCCTTTCAACTTCCTACTATCTGTCTCTCATGATCCTCCCAAAAAAGCCTTTCCCAAACTTTCTCCATCCTCACCTCAAGCCTTGATGCCTATTCCTAAAGTTATTATTTTATTATACAATATCAGTTCCTAACAGAACTATATGAAAGTGTTGGCCTTTCTCTCCAACTCCAAGTCTTCTTGCTGTGTCTCCTCTTTGTGTTTAATCTGCTAACATATCTGAATATCAAATTTTATTTCTTGTCAAACATTTTCTTTGATCACAACATTTTTCTCTTATAATAGATGCCTCAGTTCCTTTTATTGACCAGTTCCCCATCTTCCATGGCATGTTGAGTTCCCATACCCTAAAGGAAATGTTATTTTTTGGCATTCCTTACAAATATCTCTTCCTTAAGCTATGATACTATTTTCCTTCTATCACCAAATATTTTATTTGAATAACCTGCCCTCATTGCCTCACTTTTTTTTCATTTCTAAAACTTTGCAATGTTTTCAGCACACATTATCAGAGAGAGATTGCTCTCTGAGAAAGATAATGGCCTCCTGATTATGGAATTCAATATCATTTTTCATTCTTCAAACTCTTTGTAGTATTTGATGCTGCTGAAATCCTTTTCCCCTTTAAACTGCTTAATCCTTTGATCCCACATAACGTGACAACTCCCTCTCTATTTCTTCTCCACCTCTGCTAAGTTCCTCATCATCCCAAATGAAAATATTCCTAATAGTTTGGTCCTCAGCTCTCAGAAGTTGTCCATCTGCATTGCTTTCCATGGCGATTTAGTTTATGCCAAGACTATCGACTCTGGGCATAATTAAAACTACCTGTATAACTGTATTAATTTTCTATAGCTAGTTTCTAATTTCCTTCTTAGCCCTAATCAGCAGTGCTTTTTTTTTTGTTTTGTTTTAGATGGAGTTTCGCTCTTGTTGCCCAGGCTGGAGTACAATGGCATTCACCACAAACTCCGCCTCCCGGGTTCAAGTGGTTCTCCTGCCTCGGTCTCCCGAGTAGCTGGGATTACAGGCATGCACCACCATGTCTGGCTAATTTTGTATTTTTAGTAGAGACGGGGTTTCTACATGTTGATCAGGCTGGTCTCGAACTCCCGACCTCAAGTGATCCGCCTGCCTTGGCCTCCCAAAGTGCTGGGATTACAGGCACGAGCCACCACGCCTGGCCATAAGCAGTGCTTTCTAACTTCCATATTTCTACCAGTAGTCTGCTTATGATGTATCATGTAAGATGATACAGATTTTCTCTAGCATCCTCATCTCTTTCTGACCCCTCACAGGCAGAGTCTTCAACATTGACATTTTGAGTAACAGTCTGTCAGAGGAAATCCAGGTTTTTCTATTACACTCCTTGAAATTACTGCAGCCACTGTTTATGGCCCAGTTCCAAAGTCATTTTCACATATTTAGGTGTTTATTACAGCAGCACCCCACTTTCAGGTACCAAAATCTGCATTTGTTTTCTATTGCTGCTGTGACAAATTACCAGAAATGTAGTAGCTTAAAGAAACAAAGATTTATTGTCATATAGGTCTGGAGGTCAGAAATCTGAAATAGGTTTCACTGGGCCAAAATCAAGGTGTCAGCAGTGGCCTGTTCCCTCCAGAGACTGGAGGGTGATGCAATTTTCTTGCATTTTTCAGCTTCTAGAGGAGAACTTGGCCCATGACCCCTCCTCCAATTTCAAAGTCAGCAAAGTAGCATTTTCTCTCCCATTTGACCTCTGTCCCCAGTGCATTTTCTCAATGACTTTTTACTTCCTGCCCCTATCACATATGAATTTTTGTGATTAAATTATGCCCACTCAGATAATGCAGGGTAATCTGCCCATCTCACGATCCTTAATTTAATCACCTCTGCAAAGTCCCTTTTTCCATCAAATAAAGAATCATATTCACAGATTTGAGGATTAGGATGTGGACATCCTTGGGTGGCCATGATACAGCCTACTACAATATCTAAACCTTAATATTCCAGTTCCTAAGCACAGTTCCAACAGCTTGACATTCATTTTTATTCAAATGCTTTCTTGGCACTTTGAAATCAACAGCTCTAAGAGCAAAGGCATATTTCTACCAAGACCAATTAATCCTTCTGATATCTCTTTTTGTTAATGATCTAAGTGGCAAATACAATATATTCCACTTCCATAGTATCTGTTACACAAATCCTTTTATTTCGAATCCCGCTGCCACCTGCATTAATTATCATGTCATTACAGCTTCTCTGGATAATTATTTTATAAGTCATGTATTTTAGCTATTTGTCTGCCTATACCTTCAGATTATAGCTCCTTTAAGGGCAGAAAACATGCTTTGATCATCTCTTTATGACCTGCAAACTTAGAATAAAATCTTATGTGCTTGCATAGAAAGAAAAAAAAGAATTGTCTGTAATTTCATTTATATTAGTTTTGCACAATTATTTACAAATATCCCAGATATACATACGCTGAAAAGCACATAGAAACAAAGACATTTTCAGCCCAAATGACATTTTTACTCAATGAGATTCAATTCAACTCAACATCATGTATGCACTTAGTCCATAGCAGACGCTATACTGTATGTTAGAAATATATCAATAAGCCAGACAAGTTTATTGTCACTGAGAGGAAAACACCAATAGAAAAACAACAGTTCCAATTTGTTGGGTGCTCTGATAGGAATAAGTATGGTGTCCTGTGAGTACAGGATCATGTCCCCAAGCCTTTGAATAATCTAGCTGAAAGTCAAAAGCAGGGAAGGCTGTTAACCTAAGGAACAGAAATGAAAGACAGTTCCATATCAGAGCACTGTCAATGCCTTTTAAAAACTTTACATTTATATTTGCATTAAACATTTATAAAAGTACACACCGGATATTTTACATTTAATTTGGACTTTTTTAAAGTCCTCAAATATACTTTCTCGAATCTTTTGAAAATATAAACTTCTTTTGAAAAAAGAAGAGAAAGGAAAATAAGAAAGAGGAAGAGGAGGAAACATTATAAAAACAATCTTAAATGCTTCCTCTAAAAAGCCTATAGAAGTGGCTTGTAGTAAGTCAAAATTCCTGTACATGTTTTTCCTATTTTTATATGAGAACAAATCTCAAGAAACAGCATTTTCCACTTGTTTTATTACATAGAATAGATATAAAGTGGTTTAAATTCTGTTTCTCAAAAAAAACCAACTCTTTCTCCCTCATGGCATGAGAGCTTATAAAAAATAAATTTCCAACAAGTTTCTCAGAGGTATTATTAGGTAGGTGTTTATTTGCTATTAAAATTACAAGCAGTGAGTTCCCTAATTCCCTTATTCTTTTTTATCTAGGGTAAAATAAATGAAAAACATCACCACAGATAGCAAAATGTTTTGGCAGACTCTTCCTTATTGTTTCTGTGTCAGCATTTTAATATTGCTCAGACTGAGTTCAAGAGGGTCATGTTTTAATAAATGTGGGAGCATGTAAAGGCTTTTATAAATAAAACTAAGCCATCCTGCCTTTTGTCAGGTTGTTTATGTTGCACAGAATGTTCCTTTCCCTTGCTGTACTGATCACATTATATTCTTTTATTTTCCTAAGCCCCAACTTCACAACATACTAATGGATCAAGCCTATTTCACACCATGTAATACCTTGCATTATATAAGTGTTTGTTTACAAAGGCATTGCCTTAAAATAGAGTAGTGGGAAAAGACAGTGCAAAACACCAATTCTACTACCTAATATCATTAGTGGAAAAATTTATTGTCACTGGAAGTAGTGTATTGCTGACAACAGCTTTGGCGAAGCCACATCTGTTTATCCTAATGCTTAAGGGGTAAGATGTGTGACACGGAATGAGAATATGCCATTTGATTTGCTGCTATTACCTGACTTCAAAAACAATGGGTAGGTGCATAAATAAAGGCAAACCATTATTACAGTGCAGCAACTGGACCTCCTTTCAAAAAGCTGAAGCTTTAAACAGACTGCAGAATTGCTGTACCATGGTAAACAATATTGTAATACATTCTCTTAATGTCACAACTTCTCATTCTCAAATAAAAATGCTTTAAAAAAACTTTTAGACATGACTCTTAAATGTCATTTTTAATGTGAATTTCCTTTTATTATTTTATAAAAATCAAGTCAGATAATGTCTATCCTTTTAAGCAACTTTTCTTTCTAATTCATTTATCGGTGTGTGATATAATAGTTTATTGAGAAATCACTCTATTTTGACAAACAAATAATATTAATGGAGGCAGGGAAATACCGGGTAGAAGAGGGTGGCTCCCCAGCAAAGGCCTCACCCTCAAGCCTGGAAATTCACAGCCTTAAATGGGAACAAGCATTCCTGTTTTTGCACCCAAATTTGCCTTTTGGCCCACTACACCCCTCCATCCTGTACTCATATAAACCCCAAACCCCAGGATCTACAAACAGATGAACAGAAGAATGGAAAGGCAGAGGAACAGAGGAGTGGCACGGCAGAGAGGTGAGAAGAGAAAGAACATCTGAACATCAGGTGGAGTTCGTCTGGGGATCATAGGAGAGGGGATCAGCCGCAGGACAGCCAAACTCCAAGGAAAGATCACCTTCCCACTCCATCCCCTTTCCAGCTTCCCATCCATCCTGTTGAGAGCCACCTCCATCTGGCAGTAAAATCCCCCTAATTTACAATCCTTCCTGGATGCCAGATGAGAACGCAGGTCCCAAGAGGGCACTGAGCTGGTTAACACTTAAGCTGTCTGTGAACATCAGAGCTAAAAGAGCACTGTGACACACCCTCTAGGGCTTTGGGAGTTGCAAGCACCCACCCCTAAATGCTAGCATGGAGGTGGAGCCCCAAAGCACTCTCCCTGGTTCCTCTGGCTCCTGCACCTGCCCATCTGTGTGTTGCCCCTCCTGTAAGGGATTTGAGCATGTGGCAGCCCAACAGATGAGCTTATCCCTGTTGCACATCCTGCAAAAGGTCAGGGAACTCTCCCATTTTAATACGATGTTTTTACCAAATATAAAAGTTTTCTGAATGCCGATTGAGATGAAAGAGAGTCCCTTTGAGGTTTATGTTTGGTTTTAAAGAAATATTTGATAATTTCAAGAAACAAATGATGTCCTAGAAACAATATAAGATTATAAGTAAAACACATGTTCGGAGATGAGTTCTCATTCTGAGAACCAATATTTGTCAAAGCCAGCATTTGTCATTCATTCTTACTCAACTAAGTCCACTCTGGAATTATCCAGAATCTACAAATATGTCTTAATGTTAGAGTGCTCTAGAAATAATACAAAGAGTAAATTTATAAAATAGTACCATTTTAATTACTGTTCTTTATATGCAATCATTCGCATTTCTGAGAAGAACTGTTACACATTTTTTTTTAAAGAGACAAGTCCTCATTATGTCATTCAAAATGGAGTACAGTGACATTATCTCAGCTTGCTGTAACCTCAAACTCTTGGGCTCAAGTGATCCCAAGCAGCTGGGACTACTACAGCCATGTACCCACACGTCACTATTTTTGTTGTTGTTCTGTTGTTCTTGTTAGAGAAGGAAGTCTTGCTATGTTGCCCAAGCTGGTCTTGAACTCTTGGCATCAAGCAACATTCTCTTTTCAGCCTCCCAAAGTGTTGGGATTACAGGTAAGAGTCACCCTGTCCAGAGTTGTTACACATTTTTTAAAAGGACATAATCATAATAAATCTAGACATTTTAGTTATACAACAAAATTAAACTATACAGAAGATAAGTCTGTTTATGAAATTATTCCCCTTAGTCTATACCCATAGTGGCTGTGAACAAACCAGGTGCAAACCCCAAATTGTCACTCACTAAGTAATTGTCATGTGCCAGGTACTGTGTTAGATCATCTATGGGATTCATAAAATTACAAAACATAGCCAATGCTCAAAGATCACTTATCCAGTAAGAAAAACAAAAATACAAATAAGGCACTGTAAGCAAAGGTAATGTGTGCTCTGAGAGAGTAAAAATTATTGGGAGTAGAACAGAGAACATTTGATTCTACCCAGGAAGGTTGGAAGAATTCCACACCTTAGAGGATGAGTAATTTGTAAGTCATTGAAGAGATCAAAGAGAATTCAAAACAGAGATAATACACAGAATGAAGATATTGGCATGATGTTACATGGAATATTCTGGAAAATCATGAGTCACCATTGTTAGAAGTGGTTACAGTGTCTGGCAAGTGGGGCAAGGGATCATGATTATAAGTAAATCTGGAAATGTGAAAGGTCCCTCCCTTTATGCTATCCACATGTGTTTTGAAGAATCTGAATTAGTTTGAAACAATGTGTACATGTATTTCACATTATCTATTGTTGATTAGAAAGAGGCATTTAAATATCAGGGAACCAACATAAGTTTAGCATCAACTCACTACCACGTGCTAAGCACTAATGTGCTCACCATTCATTGTCTGCTTTGATGTTCTCCACTACCTCACAAATTTTTATTTCTCCTGTTTGACCAGTCAAGAAGCTGAATCTTACAAAGTGGAAATACCGTCTAGGACTGTCAGAGTCTTATAATAGACTAACAGCATAAGCAGCGTAGACTACTGATTAGGAATACGAACTCTGGAGCCAGACTGCTTAGGGCCAAAGCCCAGCACCCACACATGCAAGGTTTGTCATTTTGAGCAACGATTTAATAATCTCTGTGACTCACTTTCCTCTTCTATAAGTGGAAATAATGATAGACCCTACTCCCTGGGGTTGTATGAGGTACTACGGATATGAAAGATGACACAAACTACCTCTCCAAAGGAAAATAAGACTTGAAGGTGAAATATACCCTCCCAATTGGAAATGTAAATTTCTGTAAATGACAATGACCCTACTTTAGTCTGTATTGTGTGTCATCCCCACAAACTTCAAATTTTTGCATCAGCATATCTCCATTTTGCCAAGGAATTTGAAATTGAGAGAAGCCAAGTAGCGTTATCAGGTTTCAACAGTTATAACCATAACAAAATTGGAAGTCAAATAAAGGGCTGCCTTCATGTGGTATCTGTGCAGCTTTTGCTGCCATTCTATCAGCCTGGGTCTGTTTGAGACAGTCCTCGTGGCTTCAGGGGCCTGGGGCAGAGGGTAGAGAAGTCGTCATAGAGATGCAAGAAAATTCTTTTAAAGGGTGAATAAGAACTGAAAATGTATTCAAAGGCAGGGAGAGTTTGCCAGGGGGAGGAGAAATCATGTGCAAAGAGATCCAAAAGAAAAAGTACATTCAGGGAACAGAGAGCCTTGTTTTGTTGCTGATGCTCGTAATGCTGGTGATGAGGTGGAGGGAGAAGGCGTAGAGAGGTAAACAGGTGGCAAAGCTTATGTGCCATTCTATGGCTTTGATTTTTTTTCACTCAGAGCTCTGGGGAGTCATTAAAGCTTTCTGAGCTGGAGAATGGCATAATCAGATTTGAATTTGTAAGAGCTCATTCTGGCAGTGGTGTAGAAAGGGCTAGACTGTAGACAGGGAGATTGGTTGGAAAGCAATTTAATGAATTGAAGCCATTGGGAAGGAAAATTAAAGGAAAGGGTGAGGTTGCAGAAATATTCAGGCCTTTTTTATTTTTAATTTTTATGGATACATAATAGTTGTACAATTTTAAAATATAAAATAAATATATTTCTATAGCAAAAAAGGAGAAATATTTAGTTCTAAAGATTATTTTATTTTTCCAAAGGTAAGTGACTCCCTCATGTCCTTTATATTCTCTGGCTTTCTCATAATACCTCATGGGCCATTGTGTCCTAGCTAGAACTGTCTTTCTGAACAAAAGATAATTTATTTTCCTTTCCACTTTCTTTAATTAGCTCAATTTGCTTGTGTTACTTTTCACTATTTATTAAAATAATACTTTCAATTTGTTTAGGTGTTTACATTTAAACAGACGCATTTTTGAGAACTCTTCCTTAATCAGAAGATTTTCTTTTTAAACGTAGAAGTAAAAGCATCAAATTATGCCCAGGAAGAAAAAAACCTTAAGAAAGGTTTCTAATGTGCTTGAAAGATCTCATACTTGAACTTAGAAATTTTCATCAAAAAGTTACATAGGAGCAGAGAAACATTGTCAAGATTTTTTTTTTTTTTTTTTTAGATGGAATCTCACTCTGTCGCCCAGGCTGGAGAGCAATAGCACAGTCTCGGCTCACTATAACCTCCGCTTCCCAGGTTCAAGCAATTCTCCTGCCTCAGCCTTCTGAGTAGCTGGGATTACAGGTGCATGCCACCATGTCCAGCTAATTTTTGTATATTTTTAGTAGAGATGGGGTTTCACCATGGTGACCAGGCTAGTCTGGTACTCCTGACCTCAGGTGATCTGCCCACCTCGACCTCCCAAAGTGCTGGAATTACAGGCATGAGTCACTGTGCCTGGCCTTTGTTTAAACTTTAACTTTAGATTATTATGGTACATAATAGTTGTATATATCTGTGGGGTACATGTGATGTGTTGATACAGGCATACCTTGCCAAGATAAGAGAAGGTATTCATTAAACTCATATTGTTTCTCAATAATGGACTATATTGCTTGTACTTGAATCAATGATCTTGCAGATTCTCTGTCAATTGCATAATTTCATTTCTAATTTAATGGTTAATATGAACATTTCAATAAGCTAAAATATTATAACTTTGTTACACATGTATTTATTTATATTATATTAGCAAATGGCAAATACAGAAGTATCCCAGGCCTCCTTCAAAGTCTGAAAGGTCTTGCCTATCTATTTATTCAACAGCCAAATACTGAAACAGGTAAAAGGGGATCCCCAGAGAATCTTGCACGCACCCAACAAGTGTTTACATCACATATTTTTGTGCAGATGAGGGAACCTGCCCAGGGCTTGTCTGGGCATGCCCACAGAGGACTGGAGCCTGAAATGCTCACTGGGGAAAGTGGGTGGAGCCATGGGGAATTTGCGGCTTATGCAGGGGAGGGGCCTGCTCTCTTCAGCTCCTGTGGTGATCTGTGAATCAATCTGTGAGATGGGGGGCTTCTTAGCAGAACTCCATCTTGCTTTGCTGAGGTTTTTTTTTTTTTTTTTTGCCTTTTCGCCCAATAACATCTTGCTCTACTCACCCTCCAATGCGTCCAGATGCCTAAATTTTCTTGGTCCTATGACAAAAAGCCAGATCTTAGCTAAACTAAATTCTGCAACATGGGTATAAAATCCTATATAGGGATTGTTTTAATTGTGAAAGATACAGTCATTAATTTACTCATCAAACTTAGTGCGTGCCAGTCAGTGTTGAGTTGTTAAACGTAGGTAGACATAGCCCCTGCATTTGGCTCACAATCTATTGCCCTCTTTTCAAAAATGCTGTTCACAGACCATTGCTGGGTAATGAAACTGACCAAGTTGTTCATATGAAGAACATATTTCAAAAATGAAAATATAGTAAAATAGAGTGAAAATATGAGAGTAAGGATGCTACACAAAGTAAGGATAGTATTATTTTTTGGTAATATTGTTTTAGTTATATAAGGGGGAGGAGAAATACACTGAGTTGAACAGTAAAATACACTTTACCCTTGAACAACACAGGTTTCACTGGTGTGAGTCCACTTAATATGTGAATTTTCTTCCATCTCTGCCACCCTGAGACAGCAAAACCAAATCCTTCCTCTTCCTCTTCCTACTCAGCCTACTCAACATGAAAATGATGAGGATGAATACATTTAAGATAATCCATTTCCATTTAATGAATAGTAAATATATTTTCTCCCCTTATGATTTTTAATCATTTTCTTTTCTGTAGCTTTACTGTATGAATACAGTACACAATATATATAACATGCAAAATATGTGTCAATCAACTGTTTCTATTATCAGTAAGGCTTTCAGTCAGCAGTAGACTATTAGTGGTTAAGATTTGGGGGAGTCAAAAGTTATATGTGGATTTTCGACTGTGCAGGGGATCAGTGCTCCTTACCCCTGTGTTGTTCAATGGACAACTGTGTATTTTTTCTTGAGCATTCAAATTTTAAAACATCTGTAAAGCTCTTAACTATTTTAATGAGTCATAAATTATGTAATTGTCTCCTCAAAAGAGCTTAAAGTTAGTAGGGCTGGGCACGATGGCTCATGCCTATAATCCCAGCATTTTGGGAGGCCAAGGCAAGCAGATCCCGTAAGGTCAGGAGTTCAAGACCAGCCTGGCCAACATAGCAAAACCGCGTCACTACTAAAAGTACAAAAATTACCCAGGTGTGGTGGTGGGCGCCTGTAGTCCCAGCTACTCTGCAGGCTGAGGTAGGAGAATCGCTTGAACCCTCAGTCTTCTCACTGAGGCGGAGGTTGCAGTGAGCCGAGATCGTGCCACTGCACTCCAGCCTGGGCAACAAGAGCGAGACTCCATCTCAAAAAAAAAAAAGCAAGTAAACAGATAAATTATGACATAGAGAGATGAGTGAAGCAGTGGAAGTAGGCACAAAGAGGAGAGGAGGCATAGACAATGGCTGAATCTCTTTGAGCAGGGAAAGGATCTGACCTTTTTTGTGTTTTTTTCTTACTTTTTTTTTTAATCTTAGAAAAAGCCACAGAAGTTACTAAAACTAATATTCTTAATCTTGTGACTCTGAAAGTCTATTATGCTCTAACCTTTAATAGAAGAGACTATCATCTCCATTTCCTTCTGTGGGGCCGTTCTTACATATGTCAGCCTGAACTTCCTTAAAGACAACATTTGGATAGAGTTGTCTTGTCCAGCAATGTAAGCAGACAGATGAAATTTCAGAAGGCCTGAACTCTGTACATACCTTAAGAGCCTCCCCTTCCAGGCTGATAATGCTTCCTGGTTGAACAACTGGTGTTACCATGTCTAGAGACCCTTTTACTCTCTATGTTGTGTCAACCTCCAGGAATTTCAGAGTTTCAAGTTGTCTCTAAATTATCATTTAAATAATTTAAGTGTTGTTCAATTATACTTAACTAACGCCAGCAAAGACTTCTTTTTCTGTACTAGAAACTAGGTTAAGCACCAAATGAAAAACTAAATTGCAAAATGGGGTTCTTGTTTCTCAAAAAGTTTAGCTAACATGCTCATTAAGCACATAATATTATGCATAAACATAATTATATGCTATAAAATGAAACATATAAAGCAAAGACAGAATATTTCTAGAAAACCAAATTAAATTTGAGGTGAAATTCACAGAAGTTCTCACTGAAACTGTCATCTTTGGCTGAAAGTGGATATAAGGAGCAAACGTGGGGGTGATGGATGAGGAAGTGAGGAAGGGAATGGCATCACTGCGAGAGGAATGGATATCTGTGAAATATACGTAAAGGCCCTGAAGTAGAAACCAGTGTGTTGGGAGAACTGAAAAACTGGTCATGATGGGAGGAGTGAGAAGACTGAGGAGAATCACAACACAAAATACGACTGAAAAGAGACGGGATGTACTGGGCGTTTTGTGTATGTTTCAAAATTTGGAATTTTTATTCGAAGAGCAATGTGAAGTCATTTAAAGACTTTAAACACACAAATTGTGGAAACAATTACAAAATATGACATGTGTCTAATATCTTTTCTTTGCAGTAACTAACTGCACAGACATTGTTTGGTTTATGGTAATTATGTTTAGTCATTTTTATATATTCTTTTAGTTAAAAATGAATGAGACTTCATGTGTATATGAAATATATTAAGATATCACTTCAAGAAGTTATTTTACATGTCCCATAAATAGTAATAACACCATTTATAGTTAAGTAAATGATCTTCAATTGAGAATACTGTATTTGTTTGTTTTCTGTACTCATTGGCTCACTGATTATTTCCACTAGATTATATATTGAAGGTGTCTTATCATTTTCCTGTTGGTTTTTTCCTACTCAAGGTGATTTTTAAATACCAGAGTGCCATAACCAAAGAAAACAACTTTTCTTCATTGCCAATTCACATGTACTTTTTTCTGGTTTGCTTAAAAGCAATTTCCCTAAAATCTCCACTACATAAGTTTTCATTTTTTCAAGTCTCTTGTGATTTCTTCACAGCTAAGCTAAACAAACATTAGTTTTATCAAAATTAATGGAAAATAAAAATTCACAAAAAACAAATAGTCTTATAACAAAATCAAAACCTATCAAGCATGTTTAGCTCTGCAAGATAGTTAGAGAAAAAAATAGCAGGCAAAAGAGAATGATTGGAAGCTTGAATGAGTCCCAAATTCTAGATGAGCAACTGTTTTGTGAAACAATGTTTCAACCACTCACAATCTGAGAGCAAAGACAATAAACTGCATGGTTATATAATCAAATGTATTTGCTTCAACATAGGTTAGCCTAATGGCTTTCAGAGACTATGGTTTTGAGATTAGAGTAAAAAGAAAATTTTGTGGATAAACAGTAATGATTGTGCTTGAGGGACCATATTTTGTGACCTTTTCTTATATGTGACATATTCATACAAATTTTAAAAAATAAAATGCCATCTTTGGTTTTAATTTCTCATGTATAAGAGGAATGGATCCCAATCCTTCCACTAAATCACCACTTCATATACCTTTACAACACTTACAATGCTTAGCTGTGTTGTAAAGGTATATGAATTAAAAAGACATTTGTAAAAGGCTAAGCTTAGATTGCCCTTTGTGGGTCTAAATTTCAGATATGCAAGAGCTGCATTTGTGAGCAGCAGTGAAAGCTGCAGCATTGTGATGTCTAGAGAAGGGAAATTTGGCTCCTCCAGGGCTCCTCCATGATGACAGCTTTAAACCAAAATTGACATTTAGCAGAGGCCACTGAGAGGCTAGAAAAGACCATACTCTGAAATTGTCCTCATAAATAAAGGTTAAGTATATGAATATTGTGATGCTGAAATCCGTATTAAACCCTATTATAAAAAGATGGCCTGATCATAAAACTTGTCAGATTAAAAATGAGCTCCAGAGCTAATGAAAAGCATCTTATTAGCCACAGCAACATTTACCTTCTCTTTCCTTCTCTCCTTCTCCTTTCAGCGGATTCTAAAAAGACTTGCTTCTTTACGGCCATCACCTACAGGGAGGAATTTTTTCTTCTCCTCATCAAGTGGTCTACAGGTAGAGGTTTTTTTCCTTTCTTTGAAAGAATATACCCATATATAAATATTTCCTATTTTTGAATATGCACATATTTTGTACATATATAAATATATATGTATGTATAAAATAGAAAATATATGTGCATATTCAATAATTCATATATGCTTTGATATTTGTTTATATTCAGAACTTGATAGAGGCACTCAAAATGTTTTAGAAATATTGTACCGAGAAACCAAAGATTTTTTTTTTTTTTTTTTGAGACAGAGTCTCACTCTGTTGCCCAGGCTGGAGTGTAGTGGTGAGATCTCAGCTCACTGCAACCTCCGCCTGCCAGGTTCACGCCATTCTCCTGCCTCAGCCTCCCGAGTAGCTGGGACTACAGGTGCCCGCCACCACGCCCAGCTAATTTTTTTGTAATTTTTAGTAGCGACACGGTTTCACCTTGTTAGCCAGGATGGTCTCGTTTTCCTGACCTCGTGATCCGCCCACCTCGGCCTCCCAAAGTGCTGGGATTACAGGCATGAGCCACCTCGCCCAGCCAAGACTGGGTTTTAAGCCTAGCTATACCACAAGCTAATTTCATTATTTTGACTTGATCTAATCATTTAATTAAAAATGTAGCTAGATGATATTAGTGCTGAGTTGGGTCCCATTTCCCTGAAATTGACTATTGAGCCTCCACAGCTAAGAATGAAAGATGTTCAGTTTCTCACACATCAGCTGCAAAGAGAATAGTTATTGGAATTTATACATTCCCCACAGCTGTATCACTCTTCTTAATATAATCAAGAGGCATGCTTGGAGACACAAGTTTGTATTTTGGAGAAGAGCAGGCACAGAACGTCCATTCTCTTTCCTTCCTTCCCCATAAAGGAGATGAGGTTGTTTCTGGCTGCAAAGTCCAGGATCAAGGACTGAAGAAAATAATGAAGTTTGGAGGATTGGCTGCACATTTCCTCTTCCTCTATCAGTGAGGGAGAAGTGATCATATCCCATCTGACATTGATGAGAAATGGAGAAAACATCTTGGAAAATATGCTAGGGACAGTGAGAGTGGAATAGGACCACCTCCCTTCACTATAAATCAGCAGTTCCTAAGTGATGTAGAAGTTGAATACTTCATGAGGCCATAGGTTTGACATTGGTGAGTAACAGGATTGGAAGCTACAGCCTTGTCTTGGATGAATAGCAGGGGAGCAATATGATTGTGAACCAGAGGAATATGGCGTGGTGCCACCAGCCACGCAAAAATAATGAATTTTTAAAACCTGAACATTTATTGAGATTTTATTATATGCGAAATTCTGCCATTAGTACTTCATTTAATCATTACCTCCTTCCCCAAAATAAGTATTGAAACAAGGAGAATCATCACCAACATTTTACAGGTGAAATAACCATGTCACAGAGAAGTGATATAACTTGCCCATGGCCACATTGCTAGTAAATGACAGAGGTATTGTTTACGCCAGGCAGTCTCTCCTGAGATATGGTCAAACCATGCCAGGCAAAGCTAATGTCACTCTCCACTTAAAACCAGCCACACGACCAAATGGTGGTGGAGGAGACAAAGCAAAAAAAAATTTTGAGTTAATACTGAATTTTTTAAATGAATAGAATAAATACTTAAAAATGAAAAGTCTCTGTTTTCACAATTGTCAGTAGCTGAAAAGATGTAGAGCTGGGATGAGAATTGTTATGCTGTTATGCCTTCCTACTATTATACCTTTGCAAAGTGAAGTTTCAACAGATACTTGTGAATATTGGTGCTTACTGGAAAAAATGAAGCCACTTCATGTTTATACTCTCCTAAGTTGGTGCTCCTCAACAAGAAACTGGTTCCAAACCGCTGTCTCACCTTTTAAATGGGGCATTTTGGGACACAGACTTTGGTGTTGGCAAAGTGAGTTAGAAATCCAGTTTGGCATTTCTACTTTCTTGCACTTTGGCCTTGGATAATTCAGATTTCTCAATGGTAAAACGAGAATAATAATACCTATTTCTCAATATTGTCATAAAACCTAGATGAGATGGATGTATATATTAGGGAAGACTGTGCTACTCAAATAACAAGACCCACATTTTGCTTAACAGTGGCTTAACAGGCTGAAATGTTATGTGCTATTCATATAAAATTATTGGATAGGAATTCAGGTCAGCTGGGTGGCTCTTCATCGTGTGGTCATCGGGGAGCTAGGCTGACCACAGCTGAGACTGTAACAGATAGAGAGCATGTGCTAGAGCGAGAATGAGAGAGAGAGAGAGAGAGAGAGGGAAAAAGAGAGAAAGTAAATGCATCTGGAGGGATTTTGTGGGCAAGGCCAATGATGGTGAATTATTTCTACTTATATTTCTGTAAAGAAACTCCAGTCACACGACTGTACTCACCTGTAGGAAATTCTGGGAAATGTAATCTGTGTGTCCAAAGAATGGACAAAGAATGCTGTGGATAGCTGGCAATTCTTGTCACATGTACCTAAAATGCCTGGCACAAATTGCATTCAATTTAGCTGCTGCTGTCTCTCAAAGCCCTAATGGGCTTAAAATTCTAAGAAGTAGAAATGGAAAATTATTTTAATTAAACTGTAGATAACCAAATTTCTTGTAAACAGGATACTTTGAGCATTACAATAAGTTTTTCTCAAGCATAAATACACACACATTGACAGTAAGAAAATAATTATTTCCAGAAATATAGTAAAGTTTTAACATTATGTAACTCCCTCTCCAAGAAATAGCAAAAACAGACATTAAGATTTGAAAACAAGAAAAAAAAAAAGCTTTCATGAGAAAATAAATGATAGGAAAATTACACTATCTACTTTCCAAAGCTCTTATGAATTTTTGCTTAATAACTTAGAGGTGAAAAACAGCCTCACAAAGACCTCACATCAACACACATCTTTTCCTGAGAAATGACCTTTCTACAATTCTATTCCTACTCCCTCAGGATGCAGATCTGTAAGGTGCTAACACTCAACTACATCCGTTAGCTCTCCAGTTTTTGAACTGATATGAAACCTCCAATACTATCCAGGTAAATATTTAAAGGAATCAAGGGAAATTCATTTGTAGCATTTGGTAGCTAATACAGTAATAGGATAGACTTCATTATGTTCAAGGAGGGGTTACCAGGGGAAAAAAGAAAATAGGAAAAAAATCAATATAGAAAAAGCTGATGTAACATAATAGAAGGGGAGA
The DNA here is from genome assembly GCF_000001405.40 of Homo sapiens. NCBI lineage: Eukaryota > Metazoa > Chordata > Mammalia > Primates > Hominidae > Homo > Homo sapiens. Next base: position 31,227,300 of record NC_000004.12, on the reverse strand, counting down.
AAAACAGCACTTGGGAGATAGAAATTTTCTGTAGCGTCTCCTTAGAGATTTCCATGAAGTTAAACAAAACGTGCACTTTATGAAGCTGGAGATAAAAGGCTGGCTGACAATATACAGACAAAAATGGAAAGTTAGCTGTCAGATTTGGAGAAGAAAGTTAAGGAAACAAAGAATGCTTTAGCAAAATGTAAATGGCATAAACAGCAGAATTTGTGGAAAATTCTAAAAAAAATGTAGATATAAATTCCTGTGGGTCTAGCCATGTAAGGATTTTGCACAGTTGTGGGAAAGAGAAAAATAATATCATAAATATTTTTCTTTAGCAACCTGTGCATAAAATTGCTTTAACATATCCTACAGGGTAAGAGCTTTCAAACTTTCATTACCACTACCTACAATAAAAACATTGGTTTACATCATAATCTAGTATACATACATATCACGTACAAAGAAAAATCTTCGGAAACAACACTGTGTATTATATAATGCTCTCTAGAATTTTCTATTCTCTTCTAATTTATTTAAAATAATGTTCATTTAGTTGCATTAATCTGATTGTCTGACCACCTAATGGATTTGACTAACAGTCTGAAATATACTGATAAAGATGTCCATGAATTTTCAGTGAAAAAGAAAGAATGCTGATTCCATGCTTTAAGTTTCTTTTTGTTCAAGTTTTCTGGCGATCCTATCCCATGCACTTAAATTATTAAAGGGCCCATTCTTTTCTTTAAGCTCTTAGAGGATTCCCTTAGGCAAAGCTTAATAGGGATTTACCTAGAAAATGTTATTAAAGAAAAGGGAGGCTGTGAGTAAATTTCTTATCAGCGCCGTCTGTATGCGCACTAGACTCCAGGGAACTCAATAAGCTGAAAAGACTAGAAAAGGTGGAAGACCAAATTTTTGAAATTTCTACTGTGATTGAGCTGAAGGCTAGAAGCAGCCCCCGTCTCCATTTGCCTGTACCAAGACAGAACAATGCCAGCTCAGGTCTCCAGACATTTTAACAATTAAAATGTCTTAGAGCGCTGCAGACAGTGCAAGTCATCTCATTCAGTACTGCTTAAGTTTCAAGATACGTGGAACACTGGATCTTGAAGTAAATTGAGTCATGATAGCATTAATAAAAATTAAATGGAACAGAAATACCTGACCACTTTGCAACTTTTAAGCACAATTTATATTTTTTCATTTACTTAAATGAATATCTGTCTAATTATGTATGTCTGTGTATATGCATATATGATATAAAATATCTTATAGTATGTCACTGAGTAAAGACGTCTTAAACTACTTTAGTTATTAATTTGCCATTGCATTAAAAGGAACTAAAAAGACTGAGAAACTAACTGATTCTGAGTGTTGGGGTCATAGAATTTTCATTTGATTATGATCAAGATTCAAGAAATCTGCATACCATTCAGAAACATCCTCTACAAAAAAAAGGCAAATGAATCTCTAATAATAACTACATTGCAAAAAAATTGTATTGGATCTATTACAAAACTACTATGTAGCACTTCCATAATACACAGCAACAACAAAAATACTAAGAATTGTAAATAATCCAAAGAAGTAAAATATAGAAAACTAACAACAAATATATAATATAAAATACAGTAGTAAGCTAGGCACAGCGGCTCATGCCTATAGTCTCAGCTACTCAGAAGGCTGAGGTGGGAGGATAGCTTGAGCCTAGGAGCTCAAGGCCCATCGGGGAAATATAATGAGATCCTACCTCTTTAAAACAAATACAGTGGTAATTACAATTATACACCACACAATTTCAATCAGTGACGGACCTCATATCCAATGGTGATCCCATAGGATGATAATAGAGATGAAAAATTCTTATTGTCCAGCGATATCATAGCTCTTATAACATCAGAGTGCAACACTGATTCACGTGTTTGTGGTGATGCTGCCATAAACCTACTGTGCTGCCAGTCTTATCAAAGTATGGCACATACAGTTATATACAGTACACATCACCTGATAGTTATCATAAATGACTATGTTACTGGTTTAGGTATTTATTACACCATACTTTTTTTTTTTTGAGATGGAGTCTTGCTCTGTCACCAGACTGGAGTGCAATGGCATGACTGCAAACTCTGCCTCCCGGTTCAAGCGATTCTCCTGCCTCAGCCTCCTGAGTAGCTGGGACTACAGGCGTGCACCACCACGCCCAGCTAATTTTTATATTTTTAGTAGAGGCAGGGTTTCACCACGTTGACCAGGATGGTCTTGATCTCTTGACCTCACGATCACCTGAGGGCAGATCACCTGAAGCCCGGAATTCAAGGCCAGCTGTCCTACAAATATCAAGTAAGAGAAAAGAAAATGAAATTATAGGGGATTTGAAGGATAAAATCAATAGAGCTCATTTACTAACTACATTTCAAATCAATCACAATAACAGGGAAAAATATTAACAAAAAATAGGGAATATTTTTATTATTTTTATAATGATTTCTGTACACACATAAAAGTGATCTAACATTAAATTAAATTAATAAACATTTAATAATGCTCTAGTTTAATGTATATGTATATATAATATATATTTTAAATATATATTATACTATATATATTTAATATAGATACAACTACAAAAAAAGATTCATAAAAGATTATTTAAATAAATGAAATATAATGCCTCCATAGAAGAAAGAAATGTTTTTATTGGTATTTGTATTCTCCCTAGATTATAAAATTACCTCAATATGCATAGAGATTTCAGAGATATATTAATCACTTTGACCATAGGTAATGTTGCAGCACCAAATAATTCCCAAATTTTGGCCTCTTACAACAAAGATTTATTTCTAACTAACCCTATGTATCTATTGTTAATATTGTCACCAGTGTACATCTTATCTGGTTATAGTGAGTCCTATGGCAAAGGGAGAAAAGAAATGATGAATTACATGACCCTCTCACAGTATTGGCTCAGAAGTAGCAAACATCCGTCCTATTCACAATTCACTGGGCAAAGCATCACCACTTTAGCCTGATGTCAATGAGGCAGGGACATGTATACCATCCCTGGGAGGACAGAGGATATTTGTAATTAATATTGTGTTTAGGGATGTGTGTGTGTGTGTGTGTGTGTGTGTGTGTGTGTGTGGAGAGAGAGCGCGACAGAGAGAGACAGAAAGAGACAGAGACAGAGAGAGAGATAAAGAGAAAGAGAGACTAGGACTTTCATGTCCATATGAAAAAGAATGAATTTTAATGTAACTCATTCCTTTCAGACAGCAACTGAAAATAAAAGGAAAAAAAAGGTAGATAGATGTTTTTTAGTTTTACTTCCTTTTAAGACAAATTCAATTTTCAGTAAGAAACTATAAAGGTCCTAGAAGTAAATTACATACATTTATTCATGGGCTGAGGAAAGTTTTGTGTGTGTGTGTGTGTGTGTGTGTAGCACAAAAATAGGAAACGCCAAAAAAAGACTCATAGATATGGTACATAAAAAAGTAGGTACATATATATTCATGCACATGTGTCTGTGTATATATACATATTGATATATGTGTGTGTGCATATAAATATATATATATACACAATTGAAAATAAAAGACAGAAAAACTCTGAGAATACTTTGAAACCTATGTTTTACCAAAGTGTTGATATGCTTAATTAGTCCTTATATGTGTAAATTGTGTATGACACAATTCTAAGGGACAAAATTCACTTTTACCATGCTTGGACATTTGTTTATTATGGATTTGCAAATTTGTCAGTTTGCTGGCAGATTGCAGGCAGTGAGGTGTCCGGAAGAAGGGACTGCTTTTTCTGATTCGTACAATGTGCTATGTGGAAGGGGGCGGTGATGGGAATGATTGTTGTTCCTGCCAGAGTAAAAAAAAAAAAAAAAACAGCCAATTCTTATTAGGTACTGCATTTTTATACTCAGGTTTACATCACTTGCCAGTTAAAGTTATACAAATAATATCATGTTCTTCTATTCAAGGGAATGTTTAGAAATAACAGGTTGTACTTGTCCCTGAGTCAAGCTCCCCAGCAACAATAAGGCAACAACCCGGCCTTTAAACATTTCAGAAAGCCTGCTGCCATTTCCCATGCTAAATAAAAAGAACAAACATTTTTAAAATTGAAAGAAAAATAGCAACCTATATAATGAAATTCAATTAAAAGTCACAGTTACTAAAGTAATGCAATCAAAAATGTGGTTACAATCTTATTGCTGTGAAAATGAAAAGTCAAAGATAATGAAAATATTAGTATTTTCATGTGGGCAGCAAGTTGCTAATTTCCAATGTCATTAATGCTTTTGTATATTTATTTTTTCTTCCTGAAAGAAATTAGATAATGTTTCAAAATTCTTAAAAAATATCATTTTATTTCTAGGAACTCACAGCAAGGAAATAATATTCAGAGATATGAATCACGTGTATGTACAGTAATTTTCATTCTATCATTATTTTTAATAACGAAATACATAAACTTTATGATAAAAAATAGAATGTTTATTAAATTGGAAAATTTTCAACACACTTTTAAGTTTAAAAGGAGGTTAAAACATATGAATATGATTCTATATTTTATTTACTATATATATTTATATAATAGGTAGTAGATTATATAACCTATAACCTCTTCTATATAATATCTTATCTGTTACCCCTAACATGTTATATATCTTATAAGGTATATTATATATTCTCCAGGCACGGTGGTTCATGCCTGTGATCCTAGTGCTTTGGAAGGAGGAAAGATTGCTTGACACCAAGAGTTGAGATCACTTTGAACAACATAGCAGAACTTTGTCTCTACCAAAATGTACTTTTTCCATATCTGAGTTTGGTAGCATGCACCTGTAATAATCTTGGCTACTTGGCAGACTGAGGTGAGAGAATGGTTTGAGCTTGAGGTTGCAGTGAGCTAGATTATGCAACAGCCTGGGTGACAGAATGAGACCTTACTATATCATCTACTATAATAAATGAGATACATTATATATATGCATAATTTACATATTTGATTATATCATAAATTTACTATATTTAATTGTATAGCATTTATTATATTTAGCTTCTGCTATGGACTTATTATTTATGTTTGCCCCAAAAAGTCATATGTTGAAGCCCTAACCTCCACTGTGACTGTATTTGGAGATGGCACCTTTACAGAAGTAATTAAAGTTAAATCATGTTCCTAAGAAGAGACACCAGAGAGCTTACTCTCTCTCTCTTTCTCTCTCATCTCTCTGAGTACACACACCAGAGAACGACCATGTGAGCACACAGGAAGATGACCACCTTTTGCAAGCCAAAAAGAAAGCGCTCACAAGCAACCAAATAGGCCAGCACCCTGATTTTGGACTTCCCAGCTTCAAGAAGTGAGAGTAATAAGTTTGTATTCTTTAAGTCATCCAGGTTACAAGCAGACTAAAGCAGCTTCTTCCACTTGTTCAAAATTCTACATTTTAAATTTTTATAATGTGTTTTGGTTGTTTTAAGTACAACTTTGCAGTATTTCTTATCTTTGGTGGCATTTTCAGAATACCAAATAAAAGCAGGTTGAACAATAAAGACATTTATTTTCTCAGTAAAAAAAGTGACAAGTTCAGCAGTGTCAGTTCCAATCTTCATCCAGTGGCTCAGCGACATAATCAAGGACTGTCTCTTCTCATTTTTCCCTGTCCACTGTCCTCAGAAGATTGTAGAACCTCATAATTGAAAGACGGCCATTGCACTTTCTATGATCAAAAGTTCTTATCAGATATCACTGAAAGCAGAAAGGATAAGATCAGAAGGAAAAATTGTCTTTGGTGGTGGTAAATTAAATAACCAAGAGACCATTAGTCCGACTCTGTCTCCATACTTTGAGTTCACACATAACAAACCACAACCTAACATAGTATGTAAACCAAAACTGAACTTAGAAGTACATTTTTTTGGTAACCAATAATCAGGTTTCATCCAGTCACAAATAGCACAGTTTCAGCCAGTCACAGGCAGCCAACTAATCAAACCATGTTGAAATAAGGAAAATACCTCATCATAGCATACCCAAATAAGACAGATGCTTAGCTTTCCTGCTAATCAGGAAACTTTCCTATTTTGCTTCCATGTTCAGCCTATAAAAGCTTGCTGCTCTCACTGCTAGGTGAGCTCTCTGAACTTCTTCTGGCTCTGAGTGCTGCCCAATTCATGAATTATTATTTTTCACTCAAATAAACTCTGTAAAATTTAATTTTTCTGAAGTTCTTTTTTTTGGACACTGGTTATAAATTGAGTCACATCCCCACCTAAATAAGACAATTATTGATGAATGGGAATGGAATTACCATGATTGTTTAACTAATAATTATGTATACCCTAGGTCTTGGTCCACTGCCAAAAATAGTGTTCTATTGATTAAGAACAAAATCGAGGATCAGCCTATATCATTATTTGAAGTGTAATCTAATATGATGTCACATTATCAAATCTCCTTCACTGTCAAGATGGTTGCCAACTCAATAATATCAGCACTTCAACAAATATGACTTAGACTCAGATGGGAGTTAAAGCCAAGGGAGGTTTTTCATATGGTTGAATAATGGAAATTTTGTGAGAATGCTCCAAACATCTAGTTTCTGTTCCCACCAATCTGACTGGGGAACAGGCATCCTGCAGTGGCTGTAATCCAGATCCTCCCCTTTAGGATTGAGGCACATTCCCCAGCTGCCAGGAATGTTTGTTCAAAATGGTAATTATATGGCACCATATTTCTTCTCATAGTTTCTCTGTAAATTTCCTCATTTCTGAATTATTAAAAAATTAAGGTCCTGTTCTTGCTACCATATCAGAGTAAAACAAATAAATATTTTTCTGTTGGCAAGAGGTAACTTTTCTAAAACAAAAATAGTTAATGTTCCATCCTGGCCAGCATGGTGAAACCCTGTCTCTACTAAAAATACAAAAATTAGTGTGGCATGGTGGTGTTCACCTGTGGTGCTAGCTACTCAGGAGGCTGAGGCAGGAGAATCTCTTGAACCTGGGAGGCGGAGGTTGCAGTGAGCCGAGATCGTGCCACTGTACTCCAGCCTGACAACAAAGCGAGATTCTGTCAAAAAAAAAATAGTTAATATCTTAGGTAGTTTGGTTTTATTATGTAAACTGTCACCCCAACAATCATGTCTTTTATATCTATAAATGCTTCATGGAAATCAGAGACAGATGGCTAAGGTCTAAATATGGCAATATCTAGCATACGAAAACAGCCATGGAAGATGAGTTAGGAAGAATAATGGTCCTTCAAATACATCCACATTCTTATATGCTGAGCCTGATATAAAAGATTATATTTATATGATATTTATATGTTATATAATTAACAAATGTTTACGATGTTACAAAACATAATAACATTTATTCTGTCTGCTACCTTAATCACTCTTTACTTTCCATGGCAAAGAATGATTAACGTAGCAGATAGAATAAATGTTGCTAAATTAGCTGCCCTTAAAATTGATTGTCTGGGCAGACTTGATGCGATGACAATGCTCATTTAAAGTGGAAAAAGGAGGCTGAGTAGGACATCATAGTGATACAATATGAAAAGATCTCAACCCTCTTTATCCGGCTTTGAAGATGGAGAAAGGGAACAAAGAGCCAAGGAAGGTGGGTTGTCTCTAGAAGCTGAAAACTGCAAGAAACTGTCTCTTCTCTGGAGCCTCCAGAAAAGAATGCAGCCCTGCCTACACCTTTATTTCAGCCCTGTGAGACATTTGACCCCCAGAACTGTAAAATAATAAATATGTGTTTCCTTAAGTCACTATGTTTGTGGCGATTTATTACAGTTTCAATAGGAAATTAATACAGAAGGCTAGATGCAATTGGGTTTGGTTTCACGAGAATGCAAGCCCTTAAGAATGCACAGAAATCCAGGAAGAGAAAGAGATTGTCCAGAGAATAAAAGTGGGGTAATTAAGCCAATGTAATATAAATCTCAAAAGATGGGTTAACCATAACTTAATCTTAACATCTATATTTAGCTACAAAAGAAGACTGCTTCCACTGCTATCGTATCTATTGCTGTTGTTACAGTTGATGCCGTGCTTGACTTTCGACACTCATATTTGCATTTTACTCAATTCTGGGTTTGGGTTCATGATCCTGTATTTATGTTACCCTCTAAAATGAATCTCCACGTTGTAATTTCTCTGTGGCCATGTATTCCAAGGAGACCACAGCCCAGAAGCATCTTCTAAAGCTGCAGTCCTCAAACTGTGGTGTGTTAAAAACAGATATTCAGAGGCTGTCCTGGGAGTAAAAAAAAGTCATATCATCTTCACAAATAATCTTCAGGCAACATCAGTTTTACTCACAGATCTAAGGGGAAACAGTTTTATTTTATGTGTTTGTTTATTTTTATATTACAAATAGGTGAACAAAACTGCAGAAACCTTCTTTCCTAGTTTAGATAATTTTATCCTTCTTTTCCTCACACATATACTGATACTTACATGCAGTCAGGTACTGAAAGATTGGGTACTTTTATGCTGTCAAAGAATCGCATAACACTGTTATTAGTACCGCAGTCTTGATTCAGCCAGATTGAATTCTGCTATTTCCCTGGTTGTCATAGGTAATTCTAGTTCCTACACTTAGCCCCAATAAAATGATCTTGAAAACAGGAGCCCAACACAACTGGAATTTTTTACTTCATCATTTGTGAACTAGTGTTGTTGCTTTTTTTCATAACAACACACATGCACACCCACATTCACGCACACATACATACATGCATACGCACACATCCACAAATCAATTCAAAACACTTTGACAATTAACTTCATCAAACTTCCTGTTAACAATTGAATATTCAATATTTCACATAAATATTTGAAAATATATGTGTTGTGTAATTTTTTGGTCTTTTTAAAAGCAGGGTATTCTTAAAATTATGTTTTCAACTGAGATCATAGGTGAAAAATTAAAAAGAGGAACTTTGAGAAAATGGGAGTGTAAAATAAACTTATTCAGATAAATTAAGGAAATTCAATGCCACTTTAAGTCATTGAGGATTCTAATAGGCATGTTGTCATTCAGATGAAGGAAATGAACTTTACAGTGTATCTCTGTGTTCTACCCCAAATATAGTTAGTAAGTTTGTTGAAGCAGTAGTTTTTGTAAAGAGAATAATTTAGGTTTTTATTAATCATATGTACTTTATTACCAAGGAAATGCAAGTCAGTTTAAACCAACAGAAGTGATATTTTGCAACTTCTGAGCCTAGTTGCCAAGAGATCTTACAGCTTTATATGGTTTGGCTGTGTCCCCACCCAAATCTCTTCTCAAATTGTAATCCCAATTGTAATCCAAATTGTAATCCCCATATGTTGAGGGAGGGACCTGGTAGAAACTGATTGGATAATGGGAGCAGTTTCCCCAATGCTGTTCTCATGATAGTGAGGGAGTTCCTGCGAGATTTAGTTGTTTGATAAGTGTCGGGTGCTTCCCTCTTTCTTTCTGTCTTTCCTGCCACCTTGTGAAGAAGGTGCCTGCTTCCCTTTTGTCCTCCACCATGATTGTAAGTTTCCTGAGGTCTCCCCAGCTGTGTGGAACTGTGAGTCAATTAAATCTCTTTTGTTTATAAATTACCCAGTCTCAGGTAGTATCTTTAGAATGAGAACAGACTAATACACAGCTTTTATTCTACTTTTTTGGAAACTTGTCCTGAGATCACCATAGATAGAAGCCCTCTCATAGGCGGGAATTGAACAATGAGAACACTTGGACACAGGGTGGGGAACATCACACACTGGGGCCTGTCCTGGGGTTGGGGGAGGGGAGAGGGATAGCATTAGGAGGAATACCTAATGTAAATGACCAGTTAATGGGTGCAGCACACCAATATGGCACATGTATACATATGCAACAAACCTGCACATTGTGCACATGTACCCTAGAACTTAAAGTATAATAAAAAAAAAAAAAGAAAAAGAAGAAGACCTAACATGCTTAATGGAGGATAAGAAAGTACATGAAGGAGAAGAAAGTTGACCCAGGTAGGGCCTTCCAGAGCAATGGGCTGCCAGCCAGCACCAGCTTCAAGACATATGAGTGAGGCCATCTTAGATTACTGAATCCTTGTAAAGCTGTCAAATTTACAGTTGCATAAATTACCCTTGGCAAAAAAAAAGAAAGGAAAAAAAGAAAGAGAGAAGCATTGCCTAGGTGAGCCAAATCCAAGCTGACCCGTAGAACCCTGACCAAAAACAGTTACAGTTTTTTTTGTTTTTTTGTGCTTTTTTTGGAGACAGAGTCTCTCTCTGTTGCCCAGGCTGCAGTGTAGTGGTGCAATCTCGGCTCACTGCAACCTCCGCCTCCCAGGCCCAAGTGATTCTTCTGTCTCAGCCTCCTGAGTAGCTGGGACCACAGGTGCACACTGCCACGCCTGGCTAATTTTGTGTATTTCTTTAGTAAAGACAGGGTTTTCCCCCAGAAAAAGTTACAGTTTTAAGATTACATGTCTTAGGTTTTCTTTTTATAAACAGCAATAGGTAACTGATACAATATGTTCATTACCTGGTGTACATTCAAAACCCAGATATCCTTTTATAAGACATCAAAAATATTATTAGAACACACTAAAATAAATCAACTGACATCTTTAACATTTGGCTTTAAAATATCCTTAGTGAGATCTACATGTTCATTAGAAGAAAAAATGTGCATTTTTCAATTTACTACGAATAGTTTTGCCAGTTTTTTTCATGCCTCCATAACGTAAGTCCCCAGTTTTCCAGCTTCTATTAGAAGTTTTCTCACTAGTTTTCAAGTGCCCACTGACAATTTGTTTTCCCTGTCTACAACCTTGCCATTTTTCCAGCCTATTGCCATTATTTCCCTTGAAGCCATGCCCCTTGTTTGGAAATTTTGTTATGGCAATATCCTATATCTAAATATTAATTTCTGTATCCATTATCTACTGATACTTAACTTAGTGATGCAAACTTAGTAAGTTAAAACAAACTATTTAATTTGCTCACTATGCTGTCAGTAATTTTAGCCACACTTAGCTGGACAGCTCTTCTGCTAGTCTCGCTTGTGTTCCCACATGCAGTGGCTGTCATCACACACTGGACTGGGGCTGGATGGGTGTACAAGGCTGTTCTCATGCTGCTGATAAAGACCTACCTAAGACTGTGTAATTTACAAAGAAAAAGAGGTTTAACGGACTCACAGTTCCACGTGGTTGTGGAGGCCTCACAATCATGGCAGAAAGCGAAAGGCACATTTCACATGGTGGCAGGCAAGGGAGAATATGAGAGCCAAGTGAAAGAGGAAACTCCTTATAAAACCAACGGATCTCGTGAGACTTATTCGCTACCACAAGAACAGTATGGGGGAAGCTGCCCCCATGATTCTCCACTGGGTCCCTCCCACAACATGTGGGAATTATGGGAGCTATAATTCAAGATGAGATTTGGTGAGGACACAGCCAAACCATATCAATGGGCTATAATATCTTCACTCATATAACTGGCAGTTAGTGCTGGGTATAGGTCAGTTGCCTTCTGCTGAAAAAGTCTGATCGTGTTCCATAAGGCTTTCATGCTTCAATAGAGTAGACCAATTTTTTTTCATAACACTCTCAAGACTGCATTCAAGAAGAATAAAAGCAGAAGCTGAGTGCAACGTAAGCCCATGCTTATTCTGCCAAAATCTACTGATCGAAGCTCATCATAAGACCAGCCTATATTTAAAGGGTGGTATAATGGTTTGAATAATGGCTTCTCAAGATATACATCTATGTCTTAAAAGCCAGACACTGAATATTACCTTATTTGGAAAAAAGATCTTTGCACATGTAATTAATTTTTGTGATGATACCATCCTGGATATCCCCAGGCAGGCCCTGAATCCAATAGCCAGTGTTCTTATATAATAAAAGGCAGAGGAGGAGACACAGAGAAGAGGAAAACCCCATTTCAAGACAAAGGAAGAGATGAGTGATGCCAGCACAAGGAATGCTGACAGCCACCAGAAACTGAAAGAGGCAAAGAAAGATTTCCTTCTGGAGACTTCAGAGGAAGTACAGCCCTGGTGACACCTTGATTTCAGACTTTTGGTCTCCATAACTGTGAGAGAATAAATTTTTTGTTGTTTTAAGTCACCAAATTTATGATAACTTGTTACTGTGGCCACCAAATATGGCCTCCACCTTCTTATGGGAGGTGTAAGTAAGTAACAAAGTCACCTTGCAAAGGAGTAGACATAAGGAGCGAGAGGAAATATTGCAGATATATTTGAAAACAATCGACCGTATGTATGAAGCCCCAGCTCTTGCAGTAACATTTCTGAGTCATTTTCGTTAAAAATGGAAACTTGAATGAGAATGAAAATTGTATTCAATTAAAACAAGAGATGTCTTGCATAGAAACAATATATTTACAACTTCAACATGCAATTTTTTAATGCTCAAATTCTCTTATTTATCAGTTTCATGCCTTTCTAAAAAAAGCGTATTAATAGGAAAAAATTTGGTAACATTTTGTTTTTATAGATTAAACTGTTTTACATAAAAAAGCAGCATGGCTGAGAAAGATGACCTTAATTTTAAAAATTGATGATGCATTTAAATGACTTCAAAAGATATGCTTGACTTATTGATTGAAAGACAGTTTTTTACCTCAAAGTAGCTATTTATATTTTTGTTTATATTTATAATGATAGTCCCTATAGAACAGTTAATTTACAAATCATGTATGGAAAAATTGATGTTGCAGGTATTTTAACAAGTTGTGTGATTTTTTTTTTTTAGCAAGGAAAATTAGCCATTAAAGTAGTAATAAGTGCTGGAACCATGCACAGATGAAACCAAATCAATGGGGAACCAAAGAATGTGAGTGGCATCTCAAAACAGGCTCATTGTAAGCCCATATTATTACCATCATTAATCACCAATGAAGTATCCAAGATATTGTTTCTTAATTGTCTCAGGGTGGTCAATGAAATGGTAAAATTCAAAATTTTGTGCAAAGAAAATCCAGTTGATTTTAATATTCATGTTTAAAACATATTTATAATAAAGCAGAGTGAATGTACGTCATCATGCCCTGTCAACACACAGAAGGTGCTTACAATTTTTGAACACAGAACTAAATTCTTGTTACGTATTTTTCTTTGCTTTTTTCCTATAAAGGAATAAAAAAAATAAAGAGACTGCAAAAGACTTTAAGGCTTGATTAATTTGCCTTAATGAGCAATGCCCTCCAAGTTGGGTAGCTTTGTGGATGTGGCTCCAAGGCTTAGCACTCCTAAACTACTTCAAGGCACAACCATAAATGCTTTCATGACATATGGCAACAAAACTACAAAACAGCAAAGTGTAAAAACTGGATGAAGAGAAATGATTATAGGAACTGTGATTTGAATGTGACTTTTAATTCGTTTATTTGTGGTTTAAGTTACAGATTCAAAAGGAAGGTAAAGAATAACACTACTGATTATTTTTCTTCAATGAAAAAAAACATTTTGGTGATTATTGCCTTGAGGCAATCAAAAAGGCTAACCAGTGGATTAAAGACCCCCTCAGTCTACCATATAGTGAAAATTCTGCATTTCTTCTTCCCACCCCTACTCTCCCCCAAAGAAAATTTCTACTAATATTTTATTGTTTTATTTATTGGTCAGTTTTTTAGGCAACACACCTTAGCAACTACCTGATCATAGTGAATGGATAAAAATGCTGTTACTTGTAATTATGTATTAATGGAAGGCTAAGTTTTCAAAATATGATGAAAACATAACAATGAAAAGAACTTGCTAGAATGATGTTACCTATTATAATCATAGCCCTTTTTTCAGTTGAGACATTAAGTGTAACAGCCCATCTTTAATTTACTATCAAGTAAAGTAGAAAACACTCTATCATTTGTTGATAACTTAAAACATTGCACTGTATATTGAAACAGGCTTCATCTGTTTTTCATGAAAAATTTCAAACAGAACCATCCAGCTTTTATAATACGCATGCATATTATGTCCCAGAGGTTTAATGTTTGAGTTCATTTACCTCTAGGCTACTTAGGTTTCAGAAGTTGGAGACAAACTATTCTGAGATGTGTTTGTCAACACAGCTATATAATGTTTTTGTCACTGTTTGGGGGCAAATTTCTGGCCTCATATGTCCTGTGAACAACTAACAATCTACTCTGAGATTGTTTAGGACATTCTGTTTACATTAGCCCCGTAAATTGGGGGAAGGGGTGGTTAGTGGTCATGATTCCAGGAGAAAGTACATCATTTCTGAAAATAACAGATCTCTTTTTTTAACTTTCACTTTCAAAGTTTGTCTTTCATTTTTCTCTAACTTTCAAAGTTTGTCTTGGTGACTTAATGCCGTATATATATGAAATAGGGTTAAAAACACCCCTTGAAACAAATCAAAGGCTGACATATTCACAATTTTTAATAGCCGCTTATTTCTCCAACCCTTCCTCCCCTACCACATACATACTCAACTTGTTGGTAATAGCTGCAGATCAAAATTTGCAGGTAAAATTGATGACTGTCTTAGTTCATTTTCTGTTGCTATAACAGAATATCACAGCCTAGGTAATTTGTAAAGAAAAGAGATTTATTGGTTCATGGTTCTGGATGCTGAGAAGTGCAAGATAGAGGTGCTGTATCTGGTGACTGGTGAGGGCCTTGTTGCTGTGTCATAACATGGCAGAAGGCATCACATAGTTAGTGAAGGTGAGAAAGAGAAGAAAAGAAGGCCAAACTCCCCCGTCCCTTTTATCAGGATCCCACTCCCATGATAGCTAACCCATTCCTGTGATAATGGCACTACTCCATTCATGAGGGCAGAACCTCTACATCTAATCATATATTAAGGGCCTCATTGCAATGTAATAGCGATTTGGCAATTAACTTTCAACACGAGTTTTGAAGGGGACATTCAAACCATAATAATGGTGTTATGGGAAGCTCACTGTTGTTATTATGAAATCCAATCTTTCGTCAGATTTCATGTAAGAAATACAACTCAACTTTTCCAATTACTGCTCAGATATTTTTGCTTTCTTTAAAACTCCTTGGAGTTGAAGCTTAGCTTTTATCAGTTGACTTAATGGCCTCATTAAACTTTCATTAACTTCTAGAAGGACACTTTCATATTCTTTATGCAGTTTATGACTTTACCTAGATTATAAGTATTGTTAGTTGTGCATGCCTTCAAAAGGCTTATGCTAAGATAAAGGCTAACTCTGTCCTTCAATTACTATTAAATTCTCCATAGGTAGGTTGGAAGGATTGTATCTGCTGCATTTTGGATAAATAAGACAACTGTATGCACCTTATATCAGTTTATTCTTTTGCATTTTCCATTAAGTATTTCCAGAAATGTTGAAATTTTATTAACATAAAGAAGCAAGACTCAGTTAGAAATGTCAAAACTATTTTTATTGAAGTGATAATCAATTCCTGTTGGCATTGCTAAAAACTTCCAAAAAGTTTATTAATTCTACAAATAATAGGTTAAGATTATGTGACTTGCCAAAAACCACATTATTCTTAAGAATACTACCTAATCAAAGAGGTGCAGATCCCAGCTGCTGTCTTCTACAAGTACACCAAAAAGAACAGAGAAACTGTTATTTATAGTCAAATTGCAATTTATTAGAGCTGTTATTTTGTCAACACGTTACTTCAGTGGTTTGTTTGACATTCTTCTAGATGGACTCTCTCTGGTCCTGTCAATTTTTTCAGTCTTTCGAAGAGCCTGTCAGTAAAAAATATAAAAATCATAGTTGTCTAATGAGGTCTTGCCATATGCGTACATGCACATCTATGATATGCATGGCATTTTAAATCTGTGGATAAAATAAATGTGAATACTTGTTTATTATTTTTTCCATGGGTTCTGAACTAATTATTCAAGTAATTAGGTTTTATCTTCTTTTAGATAATTGACCTTCATACAATGAAAGATCCCTTAATTTTTATAAATATCTAAAATGCCATATATTTGTTGTTTTTATTTCGTGTTTTGATGTGACACAAGCACCAATTTCCTTGCAATACATAGTTTTCTAAAAATAAATCATATTAGTAACACTCAAAGGAACTTTGGAGCTTTGACATGACATATATGTTTTATGAGCTTTCAATATGTCCTTGATAAATGTAAAGGCTTATTAAATGAGCTTCTGTAAGACAAAAGAATCACAAGGTTCATTTTGCCTATACAAGCTTAATTCAAAGCTCCCTCAGACAGTTTTTAAGTTTGTTCATTCACTCAACACATATTTATTTTGTGCCTACCACATATCAAGCACTTTTCTAGGGATAAGAGATACACAGTAAGACAAACCCAGATCCCTGTTGTAATGGATTTTATACACATGGGTGTTGTAAGAGGGAAATATTTGGTAGAAAAACTAGACATGTGAATATAAAATAGGGCATGGTAAGGGAGATAGAGGTACCTGAGTGAGTGTTGCTAATTGATATAGGATGTCAGGGAATTAAGGTCCTCTCTGATAAGGTGACATTTCAGTAGAGATCTGAAGGAAGTAAGAGAATGAACCCTGCAGATAATCCTGTCAAAGGGTATTCCAAGCAGAGGTGGTACAGTAACGCAAAAGGCAAGAAATAGGATCTTGCTTGTCACTGTCAAGGGGTAATAAGGGGACAGTGTGCCAAGGGTTGTTTTGTTCCAATTGCCAATGTTTGAATTTATTGATAATACTTTTAATTTAAGAATATTTTAAGATTTACCAAACATTTGAATATATTATTGTGTTGATTCCTACTACATGCCTGAGATATCATTGGGAATTATTATCCTGCCATTATTTGGGAAGAAATTGAAGTTCAAAGATTTTAAAGGGCCTTGTCTCAAACCTCATAGCTGGTGAATAGACATGCTAAAACTGCAACCTAAGTTTCCTGAGTCCTGGAACATTTTTCTTCCTATTGTTATTATTATTTTCTTCTTCCGATTCTTATTATTATTTTATATTTTGCATCACAGTTAGAGGAGACTGGCCCTTCTCTAAACTTTTCTAAAATTTTCATTTTCTAAAATACATGTTTTTCAAAGGACAAATTCAACCCCAAATGTGAGAATGCAGAAACAAAACCCGGAACAATATCTCTCTTTAAAAGTGCCTGCCGAGAAGCAACCAGAGTGACCATCTGTTGAAATCTTCACATTTTGGCAAAAAAGAAACCAAGGTCAAGAGATACATATTTACAAAGCTTGTAAGACACTTGAATTTAAAAATTGTTTTTCTCCTAAGGAATGGCATATTCATTATCCTTAGATGAAAAGTATTAACTGTCATTCAATAGTTGATTGATGTGAGACTTTAAAATTATTTGAGTCCAAAAATTCAGGACATATCAGACCTCCTCTGAACAGAGGATATGCCATCCTCCCACCAATCCTTTATTCCTTTCATATCATCTACTTAAAATACATTTTCTTTTTATTTTTTTTATTTTTTGAGACGGAATTTTGCTCTTGTTGCCCAGGCTGGAGAGCAATGGCACAATCACCGCTCACTGCAAACTCTGCCTCCTGGGTTCAAGCGTTTCTCCTGCCTTAGCCTCCCGAGTAGCTGGGACTACAGGCATGCACCACTGCGTCCGGCTAATTTTGTATTTTTAGTAGAGACAGGGTTTCTCCATCTTGGTCAGGCTGGTCTCGAAGCCCAACCTCTGGTGATCCACCCGCCTTGGCCTCCCAAAGTGCTGGGATTACAGGCGTGAGCCACCGCACCCGGCCCCTAAAATACATTTTCATTCTCACCACCTCTGAAAGTTTTTTTTTATTGTTTGAGGTATCATTTATGAACCACTATGCCAATCACTCCCTGACTCCTTCATATCAGTCTCATATAGGTCAGAACACCATCAATGCTTGGGTTGATTTCTCATTTTGCAGCTAAAATATGCTCTTTTTATTGTCCGTTATGTTTAAACTGTCAATAATATCTGTCTTAGCATCCCTAAACAAAACAAATGATAAACTTTTATGGACTCTTTGTATTTCCAGCCCCTTTATTTTACACACACACACATAAACATATATACATATACATACAAACACACATGCATGTATATATAATAAATTCTATGATAATCGCTTATAATAATGGATGGTGTTGATGATGATGAAAAAAGAGATGACTTAAGTCAAAATGGCTGATTATACAAAACTTATGGTTCATATGGACTCTTCACCTTCCAGAATCTTATAATTTTATTCCAGTGCCTATTTCCAACCAAATGCTTACGAATGTTCCTTTGGAGATACAGGGCTGTGGGGGAAGAAATTTAAAATTATAGTGCCTTTACACAAATTTAAATACTGCACAGTATTCCACAGTAGGGAACGCTATGGTGAGCATATTGAGTCATTCTCCTAAAGAAGAAATTTAAATTTTTTGATGACTTTTTTTTTATAGTAATCACCAGAATTTTCTTCCTTGAAACTCTCTGGAAAAAAAAAAAAAAGCCCTTATTAGTTAGCTAAGCATTAACAGTTCCTTTACTACTTGGATCCTTAGTCTTCCTAATTATGTCTCAAGGGCTTAATAATCTGGCAGACAAAGGGAAACCAGTTTCATGCTTATTTCAAAAATTCTTTAAGGCACAGGAACTTTATATTACTTTATACATTTAAGGCAAACCAATTGTTAAATCAAGGTTTTTCTTACAGAATGGAAATAAATTATATAACTTTAACCAAGTTTTTTTTTTTTTACCAAGAAAAAGACAATTTCTGATAGCACATACAAGAGTGAAAGTGGTAATTTAATATACAAATACATTCAAAGCAGTGAGAAAAAAATTAGCAACCATACAATCATGCTTTCTGATGATGAGTGAACCACAGATAAGAAGTTGCCTTTTATTGAAGATTATCATTTTCACTTAAGTAACTCAGTACATGGGAACTGACTGGAAACTCAGGTACCTAGGCAAGCAAAAAAAAAAAAAATGGTTTTATGTGTGGATGCAGAAGGTACATATCCAAGAAGAAAAACTAAGTTTAATAAGGTCCCAAGGTCCATTACAGAAAGGGTATCAAGAAATAGCTCTGAATCTGTTTTGTGAGATAATGTCTTACAACTTAGAATATTGAGTCAGAGAGAAATCTTGGACTGTTGTTATCTCCTGCTGCAATCATAGTCCTGAGCTAGAAAGCATCATGCATAAAGCACTACATAAAGAAAAAAACAACTGATAAAGTATTCACTTAGCTTGGTATTTCCAAAGACAGTTGAAACCAGAGTGACAAAAGTTCTCTTAGAAGCCTAGAATGCTGGAAGGATTTAGATAGATCAAAATTTAGCAGGGTAATCTTAATAATTGCTCATTTCTAGTGGAAATTGTGGCTCCAGATAGCAGTTCAGTAACAGGATCCTTCAGCCAATCAAATATAATGAAATATAAATAATTAAATGCAATTTTAAATAGTGGTCAAAAATATTTTGGAGGAAAAACCAAAACCCTGGAGAAGTTATAGACCAAATAGCCTGTTTTTGCTCCCAAAGTATGATGGACAACCTAAAATATTAGAAGACTTTTTGAATAACATGAGCATTTCACATGTGGTGTTCTCAGTGTATAAATTGTGCTAAATGAACAACATTATTTGATGCACAAAAGAAATCCTTTGAGGAAAAAAGTAATCATTAGCTATGTCAGGCAGTCTTGTGACAGTGCCACAACATACCCATCTGATATAGCGTAATATCATTGATTTTTTTTTTAAATAACAACCCTGGGTTGTGCTGAATAAAAAGAAAACTAGAAATGGACATTGATTGAATACTCACTAGGCAATACACTATGCATCGTACACAGACTTCCTCATTTAAGCATTACAACCACCATATGAGGAGGTTTTTACCTGATTTTTTTTAAATGGGAAGATTGTATAGTAAGAGGGGGAGAAACAGGAGAGAAGGCACAGGAGAGAAAAAAAATAAAACTAGAGAACCAGAAAAAATGTTGAAAGATCCAAGACAGCTGAAATTTTTTTTAATGCTTCAGAGCTGATACATTCCAAGATAGCTGTCCCACTTCCAAATTGCCCATAAAATATAACTCTAAATATACATTGAATTAATTTAGCTGTAGAAAACCCTCACTTAAAGGCATTTACTGAAAAGTGAGCCAAATATTGATTTCTGGAAATAACTATTTGAAATTAAATATCTAGATCACAAAAGAAATAACCGATTGATATCAACATTTGCCAAAATATATTCACGAGGATTACTGTGCATGGTCATGAAAACGCCATGCAACTTTTTGATGATAAACACTTAACTAAGCTCTTCATTTATCCCTGTTAATATTTAAGCTCAATTTTTTTAAAAAGAAAGATCTAAATTAGAGATCAAAAAGCTTTATTAAATTATTGCATGTTGTAATTTGATATTTAGTTATATGTAGAACTGACTTTGCTGAAGCTAAGGTGAAGGTACTGTTTTATGTTTAGAATGAAGAAAAAGTTTATTTGAAATATTTCCCAAGATTCCTCCACTCATAATTAATTCCCTGCCTCTCCTTTTTCTTTTGCAGTTTTTGTGAAGGATATAGTCACATTTCCTATAAAAAGGTCAAATTAAGCAGTACTGTATGCCTTACGTACATATAGTTTTTCTTCCCTTTTGTGCATAATGAAAATGTTAATAAGTATCACAAATTCTAAACGGATGTTCAGTAATATTTTTTCATCAAATAATTCTAAATATTCTATTAATTCAGAGATATATTTTTCCATGTCTTTATGCAATTTGAAGAAATCTTAAAGTATAGCAGCTCTGCAATCAGAAGACGTTAAAAAACATAAAAATAAAAACCTTGTGACTGGGAAAATGGGCATTTATGGTTGAACCATTTGGACAATTCGTTATTTCTTTGTGGTATAAAAACAGGTCTCATGTTTAGGGCTTGCATTCACATTACTCCGTTCTACTCTGTTATATCCTTTACTTTTTTTTTTTTTTGAGGTGGAGTCTCACTCTGTTACCCAGCCTGGAGTGCATTGGCATGATCTCAGCTCACTGAAACCTCTGCCTCCCAGGTTCAAGCAATTCTCCTGCCTCAGCCTCCTGAGTAGCTGAGACTACAGGTGTGTGCCACCACTCCTGGCTTATTTTTTGTATTTTTAGTAGAGCTGGGGTTTCACCATGTTAGCCAGGATGGTCTTGATCTCCTGACCTCGTGAACCACACACCTCGGCCTCCCAAAGTGCTGTGATTACAATATCCTTTACTCTTAACTTCAATAGCTCTGTCATGCGCTTTTTTTTTTTTTTAAACTTGCTCCTAGAGTATTCTTAATCCTGCAATTATCCAATAATCAAGGCATTTGATTATTTTAATTTCCTGTTTATTTTTTCTTAATGCCCCAAATAATTACAGACTGAAAAGAAAATGGTTTAGGGTGACATTATCACACTAGCTTGAATAAACATTGCCCGATTATTTTTTACCTGCCCTGTATAACTTTACTTGTTCTTTTTTTTTTTTCTGGGCTGGAAAATAAAGGTCATTTTATAAGTAAGATAAATAGAGCCGGGAGCTTTTTCCTTCACTATGGATCTCACATTCATTGAAACTGAACCTACCCCTACTTCTTGCATATTGTCTTTTTAGTATTTATTAATGTAGTTCCCTCTTTTCTTCTGGTTGGTGTGACCCCGCCCCGCTTTAAACTGCCCTCTAAATACTTTTCATTATCCTATTCTGCAATGGAGAATAACTTGTGACTCAAGATATTTTCTCCCTGATTTCCCTCCTTGACCTTCATGGGTTCTATTAATAATAATTAATAAAAATACTTCTTTTAGTTTGAGCAAAAAAAAGCACTCTCAGAAAATGATCCTGTTTTTTCTTAGATACCACATAGTATTAGAATGACGTGAAGTAATTATCAAATAGTCACAAAATAAGTTTCCCCGACTCATAGTCACTCACAGGGTGGAGTTTTCATTTATCCACTTTGTTATATAGTACACATATTGGAAACTCATTTTTGTTTAATGTGATGCAAACTGGTCTCTAGGAATACACTAGGAAGCATCTTCACTCAGACAACTCTGCAATCTCATTTGTCTGCCTAGACAAGCTAATCTGATTGTAATCATGTTACTTATCTCTTAATTTCTTTTGAAGCTGATGTACATCAGAAGTGGCATTCAGCTGGGAATAACATAGGTAAAATTGATTTTTATCACATTTGAATGTTTCAGGGCCTGGGCATGTGTTTTTTAGATAAGCAATCTTAAACTACCTTGGGGTGGGAGTCCAACAGAGAAGCCACAGGCATAAACTCAATGGTGAAACATAACAAGACTATAATATTGCCAACAACAACAATTATAAGTAAATTCTGATCCCCATCGCTTTTTTTTCCAGAGTGAATTAGTCATAGATAATCACTAACAAATGCACACCTATTTTATTATAGAACTAAAGAAACTGGTATTGTTTAAACAATGCCTGACTGCCTTCCTCCTCTTGAATTAGATTCCCTTACAATGTCAAAAACAAATACTATGAAAAACAATAGTATAATTTATTTCTAAACTGGATTCATGAAAGATATTAAATAGCCAAGTCATTTTAAAATGAAGCACACCAGCTGCAAATTTTACTTGATAACCATTGGTTGAGCGGGGCGGGCCAGGGGTAGGGGGGGAAACACTAGAAACCATAAGAAGTCATAATGATTTTATTTATTCATGATCTTGTACACACACTCCCTGGTCTGAAAAAGATACAAGAAGCCTTCAGGCCGGGCGCGGTGGCTCACGCCTGTAATCCCAGCACTTTGGGAGGCCGAGGCGGGTGGATCACGAGGTCAGGAGATCGAGACCATCCTGGCTAACAGGGTGAAACCCCGTCTCTACTAAAAATACAAAAAAAAATTAGCCGGGCGCGGTGGCGGGCGCCTGTAGTCCCAGCTACTCGGGAGGCTGAGGCAGGAGAATGGCGTGAACCCGGGAAGCGGAGCTTGCAGTGAGCCGAGATTGCGCCACTGCAGTCCGCAGTCCCGCCTGGGCGACAGAGCGAGACTCCGTCTCAAAAAAAAAAAAAAAAAAGAAGCCTTCAATTTCAGGTTACTGAATTAGATAATTTCTCAGTGTAACTTCTTCAAGAATTGAGTGCTGACAGCATATACCATGGAGAGACAGATCCATGATGAGAGGTCTAGGTAACAGATAATGGGAGGATGGCCAGCTAGGCAATTAGAGACAGGCAACCAGAACTGTGATGATAATCGTCTGGTGGTAGAAATCACAGCAGATGGCTGAATGTAGGAAGAATGATCAATCACAGCATTGTTTGTAGTAACTAAAATTTGGAAATAACTAAATGCCCACCATTAGAGAAATAGATAATGAGAACATGGACTATTAATGGAACAATGATCAAAAATAGTATATACAGGGAGAGAGAGACATGCAAGTAGAGAGAAATTGGTTTTAAGGACTAAATAAAAAGCGAAAGAAGTCTATATATATATATACACACACACACATATATATGTACATATATGTATATATATGTGTATATATGTACATACATATATACATATACATGTACATATATGTATATATATACACACAATTTTTTTTTTTTGAGACAGAGTTTCTCTCTTGTTGCCCAGGCTGGAGTGCAATGGCATGATCTGGGCTCACCGCAACCTCTGCCTCCCAGGTTCAAGCAATTATCCTGCCTCAGCCTCTCGAGTAGCTGGGATTACAGGCATGCCCCACCATGCCAGGCTAGTTTTGTATTTTTAGTAGAGACGGGGTTTTTCCATGTTGGTCAGGCTGGTCTCGAACTCCCAACCTCAGGTGATCCGCCCCCCTCAGCCTCCCAAAGTGCTGGGATTACAGGCGTGAGCCACCATGCCCAGCCTATAATATGTATTTTTAAAATGCCACTCTTCAAAGTAAATTTGTTGACAAACCAATATACATGTAGGTAAAAGAATAAAAACAGACTAGAAGTGCATGCACTGACCTTTTGATGGTCTTTGTCTCTGGACATATGGATAGGGATTATTGGAAGGAAGATAAGATTATAAATATTATTATATTATTATTTGTGTTTTTCTATATTTTTACATTTATTTGCAATGAAAAAAAAGAAAATGCATAAAATACATTCAAGTAGGTAATATGAGAACACCAGATATTCTGTATATGGAGTTCCTGAGAGTTATAGCAGGGGGCAAACTGATGGATGTATGTTACTGGGGAAATCAATTACAACAGGATACATAATAGGTCCCACTTGCTATGAATAATTGCATTATTTAGGATTCTTGATTGCAAGAAATAAGGCTAGGGGGCAAGGAGGGAGGGTGAGATGGGAAAAGAGGAGATGTCTATCAAATGTTATGAAGTTTCAATCCTTTAGACTGGAGGAATAAACTGTAGTGTTTTATTGCACTGCAAACATCATATTTAAAAGGGAAATATAACACATTTTCCCCTAAAAGTGAGAAGATGACAATGATATACAGATTTAACAATTCCATTCATTATTTTAATGGAAGTCTGAACCAGTGCATTAAGACAAGAAAAAGCATTAAAAGGCATCCAAGTTTGAAAGAGAGAAGTGAAAGAATCCGTTTTTTTTAACATGTGACAAAACTGTGTTTCTAAGAAACCCTAAGGAAACGATGACAACAAAGTAAAACCCACATAATAATAAGGGAAGTTACCAAAGTTGCAAGATAGATGATCAATATACCAAAATTTATTTTGTATTTCTACATAACAGTACTAAAAATTGAATTTAAAAATGTTTAAAATTACAGAAAATTATGAAGCATTTAGGGCTAAAAATGCAATGGTGCAAAAGAAGCTCTACTCTAAAAACTACAAATCATTACTAATGTGTCCGGAATTGGTTCCTTCTGGTGGGTTTGTGGTCTTGCTGACTTCAGGAGTGAAACTGCAGACCTTCGCAGTGAGTGTTACAGCTCTCAAAGGTGGCACGTCCGGAGTTGTTCACTCCTCCGGGTGGGTTCCTGGTCTCGCTGACTTCAGGAGTGAAGCCGCAGACCTACATAGTGAGTGTTACAGCTCTTAAAGGTGGCACATCTGGAGCTGTTTGCTCCTCCTGGTGGGTTCGTGGTCTCACTGGCTACAGGAGTGAAGCTGCAGACCTTCTCGGTGAGTGTTACAGCTCATAAAGGTAGTGCAGACCCAAAGAGTGAGCAGCAGCAAGATTTACTGTGAAGAGCGAAAGAACAAAGCTTCCACAGCGTGGAAGGGGACCCAAGCGGGAGCGGGTTGCTGCTGCTGGCTCGGGTGGCCTGCTTTTATTCCCATATTTGGCCCCACCCACATCCTGCTGACTGGTCCATTTTACAGAGCGCTGATTGTTCCATTTTACAGAGTGCTGATTGGTCCATTTTACAGAGTGCTGATTGGTGTGTTTACAATCCTTTAGCTAGACACAAAAGTTCTCCAAGTCCCCACCTGATTAGCTAGACACAGAGCACTGATTGGTGCGTTTACAATCCTTTAGCTAGACAGAAAAGTTGTCCAAGTCCCCACCCAACCCAGAAGCCCAGCTGGCTTCACCTCTCACTAAAATAATGAATTAAAACCTAAGAAAATAGAAAACTCTATCATGTTCATAGATATCTCCAAAATAATCTATAAGCCAATCCAATCGCAATCAGAATCTCCATAAGGATTTTTAAATGATAAGCAAATTCTAAAATTTGTTTAAAAATTCAAAGTATCCAGAACAGTTAAAACAATCTTGAAAACAAAGAACCAATTACAAATATTTATACAACCTGATCTCGAGACTAATTATAATGCTACAATTAAACAGTGTAGTATTAGTTTAAACATAAACTTACAAGTCCATGGAACAGGACATAGAGCCAAAACATGGGCCTGCACATATATGATCAACTGATTTTCAACAGACACTTAGGCAATCCATTGAAGAAAAAAATGTTTTACTTAAATAATGCTGGATCAAGTGGATGTCCATATACAGCATATGTGTTAATTTAAAAGAGGATTGTTTCATATTTTACCTCCTATCCAAAATTGACCTGAGATTAATCAAAAATTGAAATATGAAAGCTTAATTTATAAATTTTCAGGAAAAAAGTATAAGGGAATATCTCTGGAACCTTAAAATAGTGAAATATGTCTTAGCCAAGACAAAAATATCATGAAATAAAAAAGGAAAATAAATAAGTTGAACTTCATCAAAACCTAAAATTTCTGCTCCTCAAAACCCAATATTAAGAATATTTTCAGCCACAGACTGATAGAAAATAAAATACAAAAAGAATTGTATTCAGCATTTAAAAATAATGCATGCATTAATAACAAAATTTTAAATAATTCAATAAAAATTAACAGAAGACTTGCATAGACATTTGAAACAGAAGATACACAGATATCTTGAAAAAATTTTTGATATGGTTTGACGGTGTCCCCCACCCAAATCTCAACTTGAAGTGTATTTCCCAGAATTCCCACGCATTGTGAGAGGGACCCAGTCTTGAATCATGGGGCCCAGTCTTTCATGTGTTGTTCTCGTAATAGTGAATAAGTCTCAGGAGATCAGATGGGTTTATCAGTGGTTTCCACTTTTGCTTCTTCCTCTTTTTTCTCTTGCCTCTGCCATGTAATAAGTGCCTTTTCCCTCCCACCATGATTCTGAGGCCTCCACAGCCATGTGGAAATGTAAATCCAATTAAACATCTTTTTCTTCCCAGTCTCTGGTATGTTTTTATCAGCAGTGTGAAAGCAGACTAATACAGTAAATGGATACCAGCAGAGTGGGTTCGTCCTGAAAAGATACCTGAAAACGTGAAAGCAACTTTGGAACTGGGTAACAGGCAGAGGTTGGAAGAGTTTGGAGGGCCCAGAAGAAGACAGGAAAAGAAGAGAGGTTTGGAACCTCCTAGAGACTTGTTGAATAGCTTTGACAAAAATGCTGATAGAGATATGAACAATAAGGTCCAGGCCGAGGCAGTCTCAGATAGAGATGAGGAACTTGTTGGGAACTGGAGCAAAGGTGACTCTTGTTATGTTTTAGCAAAGAGACTGGCAGAATTTGTTCCCTGCCCTAGAGATCTGTGGAACTTTGAACTTGAGAGAGATGATTTAGTGTATCTGGTGGAAGAAATTTCTAAGTAGCAAAGCATTCAAATGTGACTTGGGTGCTGTTAAAAGCATTTTGCTTCAAAAGGGAAACAGAGCATAAAAGTTCAGAAAATTTATAGCCTGATGATGCAGTATAAACTAAAAACCCATTTTTTGAGGAGAAATTCAAGCAGCTGCAGAAACTTTCATAAGTAGCAAGGAGCGTAATGTTAATCCATGAGGAAAATGTCTCCAGGCTCCAGGCAGCCTCTCCCATCACAGGCCTGGAGGCCCAGGAGGAAAAAGTGGTAATGTGGGCTGGGGTCAGGGTACCTGTGCTATTTGCAGCCTAGGGACTTGGTGCCATGTGTGCCAGCTGCTGCAGCCATGGTTGAAAGGGGCCAATGTAGAACTTGGGCTGTGGCTTCAGAGGGTGGAAGCCCCAAGCTTTGGCAGCTTACACGTGGTGTTGAGCCTGCGGGTCCACAGAAGTTGAGAATCGAGGTTTGGGAACTTCCGCCTAGATTTCAGAAGATGTATGAAAATGCCTGGATGCCCAGGCAAAAGTTTGCTACAGGGGGAGGTCCCTCATGGAGAACGTCTGCTAGGGCAGTGTGGAAGAAGAATGTGGGGTCAGAGGCCCCACACAGAGGCCATACTGGGGCACTGCCTAGTGGAGCTGTGAGAAGAGGGCCACTGTCCTCCGGACCCCAGAATGGTAGATCCACTGACAGCTCGCACTGTGCACCTGGAAATGCTGCAGATACTCAATGCCAGTCCATGAAAGCAGCCAGGAAGGAGGCTGTACCCTGCAAAGCCACAGGGCATACTATGGGCACTCACCTTTTGCATCAGCGTGACCTGGAGCCAAAGGAGATGACTTTAGAGCTTTAAAATATGACTGCCCTGCTGGATTTCAGACTTGCATGGGCTCTGTAATCCCTTTGTTTTGACCAACTCCCTGCATTTGGCTCAGCTGTATTTACCCAGTACCTGTACCCCCATTGTTTCTAGGAAGTAACTCACTTGCTTTTGATTTTACAGGCTTATGGGCAGGAGGGACTTGCCTTGTCTCAGATGAGACTTTGGACTGTGGACTTTTGGGTTAATGCTGAAATGAGTTAAGACTTTGGGGACTGTTGGGAAGGCATGATTGGTTTTGAAATGTGAGGACATGAGATCTGGAGGGGCCAGGAGTGGAATGATACGGTTTGGCTGTGTCCCCACCCAAATCTCAACTTGAATTGTAGCTCCCAGAATTCCCACACATTGTGGGAGCGGCCCCAGGGGAGGTAATTGAATCATGGGGGCTGGTTTTTCTAATGCTATTATCCTGATAGTGAATAAGTCTCATGAGATCTGATGGGTTTATCAGGGGTTTCTGCTTCTGCTTCTTCCTAATTTTTCTCCTGCCACCGCTTCCTGCCATGATACTGAGGCCTCTGCAGCCATGTGGAACTATAAGTCCAATTAAACCTCTTTTTCCTTTTTTTTTTTTTTATTTTTATTTTGAGATGGAGTCTTGCCCTTGTCGCCCAGACTGGAGTGCAATGGCATGATCTCGGCTCACTGCAACCTCCACCTCCCGGGTTCAAGTGATTCTCCTGCCTCAGCCTCCTGAGTAGCTGGGATTACAGGTGCCCACCACCATGCCTGGCTAATTTTTGTATTTTTAGTAGAGATGGAGTTTCACCATGTTGGCCAGGCTGGTCTCAAACTCCTGACTTCATGATCCACCCACTTCAGCCTTCCTAAACCTCTTTTTCTTCCCAGTTTCAGGTATGTCTTTATTAGCAGCATGAAAATGGACTAATACAGTCTTCAATATCAATAGTCATCAGTATCACAGCCTATTTTGTGTTGTTATAAAGGAATCCCTGAGGTTGGGTAATTTATAAAGAAAAGAGGTTTATTTGGCTCACAGTTCTACAGGCTGTACAAGAAGCATGAGGCCAGCATCTGCTTCTGGTGAGGGCCTCAGTCTGCTTTCACTCATGGCAGAAGGTGAAGGGGAGCTGGTGTATAGAGATCACATGACCAGAGTGGAAACAAGAGGAGAAGGAGAAGGTACCAGGTTCTTTTTAACAACCAGCTTTCACAAAAACTAAAAGAGGGAAAACACACTCACCACCCCCCAGAAGAGCATTAATCTATTAATGAGGTATCAACTCCCATAACCCAAATAACTCCCATTAGGCCCACCTCCAATACTGGGGATTAAATTTTAACATGAGATTTGGAGGGGGTAAACATCTTAACTATAGCAACCAGTAAAATGAAAACTAAAACAACAATGAGATATCATTTCATTTGCATTTGAATAGCTAAAATTAAAATGTCTGACAATACCAAATACTGGCAAAGACACAGATCATATTGGAATCCTTGTATGTTGCTGGCAGGGATATAAAATGCCACAAATACTTTGGAGCATTGCTCCTGATAATGTAATCAATTCCTGATACTGTTAAATAAATGTCTAACAATACGAGAGAATAAATAATTTGTGTTATTATGTAATCTTACCACGAGATACAACTAGTAATAAACATTTTGTTGTGTAAAATAAATCTGAAAATAATTGTTTCTTGGAAAATGGGATGACTGTACAGTACACAAGGAACCTTTTGGGAATATAGAAATATTTTGTATCTTGTTTTGCACAGTGGTTACTTTGCTATATATATTTGACAAATTCATTCAAATGAACACTTAAAACCTATGCATGTTATTTTACGTAAATTACACCTCAATGGAAAAAAAAATCAAAACCTGTCCATTTTCTTTCATGTAAATTACACCTCCATGAAAAAAAAAAGAAAAAAAGTGAAATTTATAACCAATTCAATCAACAGGTATTTATTGATTGGACATCAGCTGGATCCAATGGTAATGGAGGTGTAATTAATTCTAGCAGCATAAGATTCATAATCTCAAACAACTAATAAGCAAAAAAGGTTAAAAAATAATTTAAAATAACAATTTAAGTAATGGCACAATGCATTCTATGGTAAATTGTATTTCATTCTTCTCTTTCTGGAGGCTGTTGGACAAAATCTGTTTCCTTGCTTTTTCTAGCTTCTAGATGCCACCTGCATTCCTTGGCTTAATGGCTTCTTCCTCCATCAGCAAAGCCAGTAGCATAGGATCTTGATATCTTTCTCTGGCCTCCAATGTACTGCCTCTCTGCTCTTACAAGGAGCCATGTGATTACAGTTGGTCTACCCAAAGAATCTACCAATCTCAAGACCCTTAACCTAATTACATCTGCCAAGTTTCTTTTTTCCCTTTTTTTTTTTTTTGCCAAGTAAGTTAACATATTCACAAGCTTCAGGGAGTAAAAAGTGGACCTCTTGTGTGTGTATGTGGGGGTATCTATCATAGCACACTTCTAACCCCCCAATGATTCATATATGTCCTACACACAAAATACATTCACCGCACTTCAGGGTTCCCAAAAGTCTCAATCCATTACAGCTTCAACTCAAAGTCCAAGATCTCATCAGTTCAAAATTTCCAACTCTTACCTACATTATCTAAATTGGATATGAGTGAGGCTGTAGGTATAATTCATCCAGGGGCACAATTCTTCCTCTGCGAACCTGCAACACTCAAGAAATGAGTTTCCTGCTTTCAAAATACAGCAGTGGGACAGGCATATGACACCAGTTATAAACACGGACCTATCTCCATGATGGCTTACTCACATGACCGGCAAGTGGCTCCTGTCAGAAGGAGGCCTTGGTTTCTCACCCTGTGCATTTTTACAGTAGAGCTGCATAACGTGGTAGTTAGTTTCCCCTTAAGTGAGCAATCTAAGCAAAGAGAGCAGAAGCAGCAATTTATTTACTCTTGTCCATATCCTATTAGTCATGTAGCCCAATCTTTTGGTTTATTTGTTTGTTTGTTCGTTTTGGGTTTGTTGTTGTTGTTGTTTGTTTTGAGATGGAGTCTCACTCTGTCACCCAGGCTGGAGTGCAGTGACGCAATCTCCGCTCATTGCAACCTTCATTTCCCAGGTTCAAGCGATTCTCCTTCCTCAGTCTCCCAAGAAGCTGGGATTACAGGCATGTGCCACCATACTCAGCTAATTTTTGTATTTTTTTTAGTAGAGATGGTGTTTCACCATGTTGTCCAGACTGGTCTCGAACTCCTGACCTCAAATGATCCGACCATCTGGGCCTCCCAAAGTGCTGGGATTACAGGCGTGAGCCACTGTGCCAGGCCACATAGCCCAATCTTGATAGTTTTTCAGGGGACTACACAAGGGGGTAAATATCAGGAGGTCATTATCACTGGGGGCCATTTTTGAGATGGCTACCACAGTGAGCAATATAGACCTTACAGAAAAATGTACCAGATGAAAACTCAGTTGTGAAACAAATTCTCACAGGAGATGAGGGGGAACCTCCACTATCTATGAAGGATGTGAATTCAGTATTTTAAAAAAGTATTTTAGGACGGGTGTGGTGGCTCAAGCCTGTAATCGCAGCACTTTGGGAGGCTGAGCTGGGCAGATCACATGAGGTCAGGAGTTCAAGACCACCCTGGCCAACATGATGGAACCCCATCTCTATTAAAAATATAAAAATTAGCCGGGCGTGGTGGCGTGCACCTGTAATCCCAGCTGCTCAGGAGGCTGAGGCAGGAGAATCGTTCTAACAGGCAGGCTTGAACCTGAGAGGTGGAGGTTGCAGTGAGCTGAGATCATGCTGCTGCACTCCAGCCTGGGCAACAGAGACACTGTTTCAAAACAACAACAACAACAAAAAAAAAAAAACAACAAATAAAAAAAAACTCCAAATCTCTCTCTTAAAAATATCCTTAAATTTTCACTGAGAAAAAAGACTGACAATAATTAGGCGGCAGACTTCATGAAAAACAGAATATTATTGACATATAAGTTAATATAGATCTAAACCACTGAAAACATGTTTGCCATACGTAGTACTTGAGACCCTGAAAGAG